>NC_000006.12:37029696-37332727 GCF_000001405.40 Homo sapiens
TGTGATCAGAGCCCACTGGAACCTTGACCTTCTGGGTTTAAGCTATCCTCCTTCCTCAGCCTCCTGAGTATCTAGAAGCACAGGTGCACGCCACCACATCCAGCTAATTTTTAAAATTTTTGTAGAGATGGGGTCTCACTATATTGCCCAGACTGACCTCAAACTCCTGAGCTCAAGCAATCCTCCTGCCTTGGCCTCCTAAAGTGTTGGCATTATAGGCATGAGCCACCATGCCCGGACAGCATCAGCATTTTATTTATTTTTTATTTTTATTTTTATTTTTGAGATGGAGTCTGTCACTCTGTCACCCAGGCTGGAGTGCAGTGACGCCATCTTGGCTCACTGCAACCTCTGCCTCCCAGGTTCAAGTGATTCTCCTACCTCAACCTTCCAAGTAGCTGGGATTACAGGCGTGCGCCACCATGCCCGGCTAATTTTTGTATTTTTAGTAGAGACGGGGTTTCACCATATTGGCCAGGCTGGTCTCAAACTCCTGAACTCCGGTGATCCACCCATCTCAGCCTCCCAAAGTACTGGGATTACAGGCATGAGCCACTGCACCTGGCCTGCATCAGCATTTTAAAACTCGCCAATGATGCTGAAGGCAGCTGGCTCGGTGACAGCAGAGTCGATTCTGCAGCACTGATACCTAAGCTTTTCCAGGGGTTTAATCTGAGTGGGAGTATGGAGAGTGGCTTCACTGTGGAGCAAAATGAGGTAGCCGTCAGGAGAGGGAAGCGAGGGCACACAACCTTTGTGCTGTCATTGTTAGGTTTACTGAGGTGTAATTTACAGACTGTAAAATCCACCCTTATTAGTATATTTTCTAAGTTTTGGCAGAAGAGTACAGTCATACAGCTACCACCACAATCCCCCTATAAGTGTCCCCATGCCACCCTTTGTAGTCAACCCACACCCCTACTCCTTGCCTCTGGTAACCATTGATCTGTTTCTGACTGATAATTTTGCCTTTTCCAGATGTCATTTAAATGGAACCATAGCTTTTTAAGCCTGGCTTCCTTTACTCAGCATTATATATTTGAGATTCATCCATTTTGTTCTCCATGTCAGTAGTTCATTCCTTTTTCATTGCTGAGTAGTATTCCATTGCATGGGCATACCACAGTTGTTCATCTGTTTACCAGGTTAAGTATACTTGGGTTATTTCCAGTTTGGGGCAATTATGAATAATACTCCTATGAACTATAAACGTTCATGTTCAGTGTTTGTGTGAGCACGTTTTCTTTTCTCTTAGGTAAATACCTAAAATTGGGTCACTGAGTAAGTGTCTAACTTTATCAGAAACTACCAAGCTGTTTTCCATATTGGTTGTACCATTCTGCATTCCTACCAGCAATGTATGACATTTCCCCTGCTCATGCATTTGGTATAGTCAGGTTTGAAGTTTGTTTTTTTAAAATTAATAATTTTAGACATTCTGGTGAATGTATAGGGCTCATGACCTTTTAAATGTTTATGATACAAAGAAATGCATACAGGCTCACATCTGTAATCCCAGCACTTTGGGAGGTCAAGGCAGGAGGATCGCTTGAGCCCAGGAGTTTGAGTCTGTAATGAGCTATGATTGTACCACTGCACTCCAGCATGGGTGACAGACTGAGACCCTGTCTCAAAATGAAAAAAAAGTAGGTATTTTGCAAATGATTATTACCTACTATGTGTACCTAATACGTGCCAGGTAGTATACTACTTATACTACTTTTTCTTTTCTTTTTTTTTTTTTTTTGAGATGGAGTTTTGCTCTTGTTGTCCAGACTGAAGTGCAGTGGCACGATCTCCGCTCACTGCAACCTCTGCCTCCCAGGTTCAAGCGATTCTCCTGCCTCAGCCTCCCAAGTAGCTGACATTACAGGTATGCACCACCACGCCCAGCTAATTTTGTATTTTTAGTAGAGACGGGGTTTCACCATGTTGGCCAGGCTGGTCTCAAACTCCTGACCTCAGGTGACCCACCTGCCTTGGCCTCCCAAAGTGCTGGGATTACAGGTGTGAGCCACCACGCCTGGCAAGGTAATATGCTACTACTTTCCAAATCTCAGGGGCAGCTGATATCATGCAAAGGGCACCCCCTTGATAGCCTGAAAAGCTCAAATTCCAGTTCTGTTGAAGGCTTGACATAGGGTCTTGGGGATATCACCCAACCTCTTGAGCCTCCATGTATTCATTGTAACTTGACAAGCAGTGCCTCTTTGTAGGATTTGGTGTGAAAACCAAGTGAGATAATTCAGGGAAAGCTCCTAGCCCACAGACGGAGCTCGCTGGCTGGGAGTTGTTACTAGCTATGCTCTTCATGGACGTTTCTGCTTTCCTGGGACCATTTGTTCTGGCCGCAAGCCTGGTTGCTTCTACCTTCAGGATATACTGCGAACAGAGCCCGTCCTCACACCTCATACCCCTCACATGCTGTCACTTGGCCCGGCCACTGTGATATCTCTGGGGGTGATTGCTAGAGCTTCCCACCTGCCCTTCCTGCTCCCACACTTGTCCTCTGGCATCTTCACACAGATTCTTTCAAATCTGAAAGCTGAGCTAGTTTTCAGCTCCCAGCCCTCCAGTAGCATGGGGTTAGAAGCCCATCTAATGCCTCCCTCCGTGTGCTCCACCAGGCCCTTTGGGATGACCCCTGGCTGCTTCTCAGAGTTCCCCCTTCCCTTGCCCCATCTCACCTCCCTCCCTCAGCACACTTCCACCTCAGGACTCTTGCACCTGCTGCTCGTTCAGCCTGGATGCTGTTCCTCCAGAAATCCGCCCGATGCACTCCCTCACTTCTCTCCAGTCTCTGCCTCATTGGCCCTCGGACAGGCTTCCTTGTCCACCTGCCTCACGTAGTGCTCCTGGCAACTCTGCCCCTGACTCTGCTTCACATAATACAAATCGTTTTATCTATTTTGTTTCTTTCTTTCTTTTTTTTTTTCTTTAGACGGAGTCTCGCTCTGTCACCCAGGCTGGAGTGCAGTGGTGCGAGTGGCAAGCTCCGCCTCCCGGGTCCATGCCATTCTCCTGCCTCAGCCTCCTGAGTAGCTGAGACTACAGGCGCCCGCCACTGCGCTGGGCTAATTTTTTTGTATTTTTAGTAGAGACAGGGTTTCACCGTGGTCTCGATCTCCTGACCTCGTAATCCACACGCCTCGGCCTCCCGAAGTGCTGGGATTACAGGCGTGAGCCACCGCACCCGGCTTCTATTTTATGTTTCTTAGATTAGTGTCCTGTCTCCATTTTTGGAGGGCAGAGAGTTGGTCTTTTGTTCACTGCTGTTTCCCAGTGCCTGGCCCACAGCCAGTCCTCAATAAAAATCTGGGGACTGGCTGGGAGTGGTGGCTCACAACTGTAATCCCAGCACTTTGGGAGGCTGAGGCGGGCAGATCACATGAGATCAGGAGTTTGAGACCATCCTGGGCAACATGGTGAAACCCTGTCACTACCAGAAAATACAAAAATTAGCTGGACATGGTGGCACACGCCTGTAGTACCAGCTACTTGGGAGGCTGAGGCAGGAGAATCGCTTGAACCTGGGAGGCGGAGGTTGCAGTGAGCCGAGATGGCACCACTGCACTCCAGCCTCAGTGACAGAGTGAGACTCTGTCTCAAACAAAACAAAACAAAAGATCTGGGGACTGACAGAATGAATTGTGTGACTCAGACACGACAAGGCCATCACCTCGTACTTACTAATCATCGCCACCACTATGTCCATGAGGTCATGGGACTTTCACATCTTTCCACTTCCCCAGCATGACGCTCTGTTATTCGTCTCTGTATCCCAGGGCTTAGCATGTAGCAAGTGCTTGAAAAATACCCTCTGGCCTGGATTCACGCCAGCTCTGCCCACCCTCCAACACAGTACATTTTCATTTTCTTCCTTGAGGTGACTGGAGGTCAAAGAGGTAAAATGATGTGTCCAAGGCACGTAGCATTCCTGTGCACTCTCTCAGGGACCGGGACGCAGGTCTCCAACCTCTGACAGTGACCCCACACCTTTGTCCTCACCTTACTGCCTGTCCCGCCCTCATGGCTTGATACCAGGACCTGCTTCTTTTTGAAGATGGCCACAATGAGAGTATTTCCACCATGGAAATTGGCAAACATGAAAATTGGCATGTCAGCCCCTCTGACCTGTCATCCCCCAACAAAGAGCTAGTTGTTCCATTTTTACCAGCACCTCACTGGACAGGGAGCCTGGCATTCTGGGGAGACTGAGGGAAGCCATCTTAGCTCACATAGCCCTGTCTCGATCTTACAACCAGACCACAAGCCCCTCGAGGGTGGCCAAGATGCCTTATCCATCTCTTTTCCCCACTCCTGTCCTCACTCTCTGTCCTGGGCTTGCTGCCAGCTAGATTTGGGCCTAGGGAAACACTGAGCTTCTTCAGGTTGAAGGCCAAGGTAGGGGTGAGGGCATCTTCCTACTGGTACTGCTGGCCTGCCCTGGCCTCTGCCTGGCCACCGTATTCCTGTTCTTACTGCCTGGGGGAGCTGAGCACTGACATGCTAGAGCCATTTCCACCTCTGAACTGTTCTTCTCACCCTCTTCTCTCTATGATTCTCAGATTTCTCATCTTTGCCATTATCATGTCTCACTTTCTTTTTTTCTAGGAATAAAAACAAAAGTTAATTTTTGATGAGCACTTACCATGTGCTTTCTTTTTATTGGCTCATGTAATCCTTATACCAGCTCCATTGTACAGAATGAGAACAGAGAGGCACAGAGAGGTTCAGCAACTTGCCCAAAATCACACAGCTGGTAAATAGGGAAGCCAGAGCTCAGTCTAGATGATCCGAGACCTCTCTGGAAAGCAGCAGTGAGCACATCAGACTTAGAATTGTAAAACATGGGTTTGAATACAGGCTCTGTCACCTCCTGTGACTTTGCTGTCTAGGTCTCAGCTTCCTTCCTCATTCACAAGGTGGGACGATGAACATGCACCCCATCCATTCATAGGGTCATTTCAAAGTCAAATTATGTAACAGGCGTAAAAGGATATTGAAAATGGGAAAGTGGGCTGGACGCGGTGGCTCATGCCTGTAATCTCAGCACTTTGGGAGGCTGAGGCAGGCAGATCACTTGAGGCCAGAAATTTGAGACCAGCCCGGCTAACATGGCGAAACCCCTTCTCTACTAAATATACAAAAATTAGCCAGGCTGGTGCATGCCTGTAATCCCAGCTATTTAGAAGTCTGAGGCAGGAGAATCACTTGAACTGGGGAGGCAGAGTTTGCAGTGAGCCAAGTTCATGCCACTGCACTCCAGCCTGGGCGACAGAGCAAGACTCCATCTCAAAAATTAAAAAAAAAAAAAAAAAGAAAAAGAAAAGAAAAGAAAAAAAGAAAGAAAGAAAGAAAAGAAAATGGTAAAGTGCTCAGCAAATGAGTGGATTATTAGTATATGGTTCTGTTTTCCAATTTTGATTTCCTCTCTTGCCTCTCAGAAGAATTCTTTGTCTGCTTCTGTTGTACCAGCATGCACAGTGCCCAGCAAGCTCCCAGATGCAGAGGCGATCAGGCAGTGTTGACTTCTCTTCCTGTGTTCTCTGCTGGGCTCTAATTTCTCTGATTTTTTTTTTTTTTTTTTTTTGAGATCGAGTCTCGCTCTGTCGCCCAGGCTGGAGTGCAATGGCACAGTCTCGGCTCACTGCAACCTCTGCCTCCCAGGTTCAAGTGATTCTTCCACCTCAGACTCCCAAGTAGCTGGAATTACAGGCGCATGCCACCACGCCCAGCTAATTTTTTTATTTTTGTAGAGACGGGGGTCTCACCATGTTGGCCAGGCTGGTCTCGAACTCCTGACCTCAGGTGATCCTCCCGCCTTGGCCTCCCAAAGTGCTGGGATTACAAGCGTGAGCCACCGTGCCCGGCTCTAATTTCTCATGTCTTTCAAGGAGACTCAATTCACCTCTCCTTTTCTCTTTCCATCATCAAGCCCAGACTCAGAGAGTGGGTGGGTTCACCCCAGCAGGCTCCTAGTGCTCAGACCAACACCAGTACTGCCACTCCTTGAATGGAGTCAGTACATGAATACATCTTAGACGTTTTAATGAAAGCCAGTTGGAAGTTATGCTTCACTTTCTAGAAACAGGCTTGAGTAAACTTTTTAGAAACATATTTATTTTTGTGGAGCAAGGCAATATATCCTGGTCTGACTTTATTTTTAAAATTATTTTGGGGGGTGGGGGTAAGGGGAGGGAGAGCATTAGGACAAATAGCTAATGCATACAGGGCTTAAAACCTAGATGACGGGTTGATAAGTGCAGCAAACCACCATGGCACATGCATACCTATGTAACAAACCTGCACACTCTGCATATGTATCCCGGAACTTAAAGTAAAATAAATAAACACATAAATACATAAAATTATTTTTAATATACAATAATCCCTTGCTATCCATGGGAGATTGGTTCTGGGAACCGTCCCCCCTCCACCGCAGATACCAAAATCTTCAGATGCTCAAGTCCCTGATATAAAATGGTACCATATTTGCATGTAACCTATGCCCATCCTTCCACATACTTTAAATCGGGGGGGGGTCCCCAAACCCCAGACCGTGGACCAGTACCAGCCTATACCTGTCAGGAACAGAGCCACACAGCAGGAGGCAGGCATCTGGCAAGCTAGCATGACCGTATGAGCTCCCCCTCCTGTCAGATCAGCAGCGGCATTAGATTCTCAGAGGCGCGCAAACCGTATTGCAAACTGAGCATTCGAGGGGTCTAGGCTGCGCGCTCTTTATGAGACTATAACGCCTGATGATCTGAGGTGGAACAGTTTTATGCCCCGGTCAATGGAAAAATTGTCTTCCACAAAACCAGTCCCTGGTGTCAAAAAGTTTGGAGATTGCTGCTTTAAATCATCTCTAGATTATTTATAATGTCTAATATACTGTAAAAAATATGTAAATAGGCTGGGCATGGTGGCTTACACCTGTAATCCTAGCATTTTGGGAGGCCGAGGTGGGCGGACCACCTGAGGTCAGGAGTTTGAGACCAGCCTGGCCAACATGGCGAAACCCCGTCTCTACTAAAAATACAAAAATTAGCTCGGTGTGGTGGTGCGCTCCTGTAATCCCAGCTACTGGGGAAGCTGAGGCAGGAGAATGGCTTGAACCCAAGAGGGGGAGGTTGCAGTGAGCCAAGATCACGCCATTGCACTCCAGGCTGGGTGACAGAGCAAGACTCCATCTCAAAAAAAAAAAAAAAAAAAAATAGCCGGGTGTGGTGGCAGGCACCTACCTGTAATCACAGCTACTCAAGAGGCTGAGGTAGGAGAATCACTTGAACCCAGGAGGCAGAAGTTGCAGTGAGCCAAGATCATGCCATTGCACTCCAGCCTGGGTGACAATAGTGAGACTGTCTCAAAAAAAAAAAAAAGTATATGTATACGTAAATAGTTGTTAGGCTATATTGTTTAGAGAACAATGATTTTTTTTTTTGAGACAGGGTCTCACACCATCACCCAGGTTGAAGTGCAGTGGCCTAATCTCGGCTCACTGCAGTCTCCATCTCCCAGGCTCAAGTAATCCTCCCACCTCGGTCTCCTGAGTAGCTGGGACTACAGGCACATGCCACCACATTCAGCTAATTTTTTTGTATTTTTGGTAGAGATGGGGTTTTGCCATGTTCCTCAGGCTGGAAGAATAATGATTCTTTTTAAAGTCTATATGTATTCAGTACAGATGCAAACACCCATTTTAAAAAATATTTTTGATTCATGGTTGGTTAAATCTGTGGATATGGAACCCACAGATATGGAGGGCTGACTGTATTTTATCATGTCATTAGAATACATCACTTTTTTTGAAGCATAATTTAAAATAAAGTGCATAGAACTTAAGTGTATGGATTGATGACTTTTCATGTGTGTTCACCCACGTAACCATCAAGATCCAGAATGAAGGCTCAGAAGACGTCCAGGGCCCCGGAGGGCTCCCTTGTGCCCCCTCCCAGTCAGTACCCACCCCGCAGTAGTGATTTAATTTTGGATAGGCAATACATTCACATGGTACAATTCAAAAAGTACAAAAGGTAAACTAGAAAATCTCCCTCCCATCCTGCTGCCAGAGACCCATTTTTTGGAGGGGTGGAGGAGAGACAGGGTCTTGCTCTGTCACCCAAGCTGGAGTGCAGTGACACAATCACGGCTCACTACAGCCTTAACCTCCCCGGCTCAAGTGATCCTCCCACCTCAACCTCCTGAATAGCTGGGACTACAGGCGCACTCAGCTGTACCTGGCTAATTGTTTGTATTTTTTGTAGATACAGAGTCTCACCATGTTGTCCAGGCTAGTCTCGAACTCCTGGGCTCAACCCATCTGCTCAGCTCAGCCTCCCAAAGTGTTGAGATTACAGGTGTGAGCCACTGCGTCCAGCCTCAGACACGCATTTTTTCTCCCATGAGAAAATATTACTGGTTTCTTGCAGACGCTTCCAAAGAAAGGAGATACACACACTTTATATATTATATCATATCATATTATACTATATTAATTTTCTCACCTTTTTACACAAAAGATACATAACTAGTCAATTGTGTACTTTTTGCTTAACAACTTACAATGCTAGAATCATTTCAATAATTAGCAAATTAATATATTTACCAAAAAGTGCCCCTTACAAAAGAGTTGGTTTATTAAAATTCAAACCTTCATTACCAAACACTTCAATGATGCTTGGCTTTACAGCCCTCTGAAGGTCCTTAGGCAGTAAGCCCTGCTGCTACATCAGAAAATGCAATTCAATTAGGAAGACGTGATTCATGTTAACTTCTCGGCAGCCCTCCCAATAAACCGTGCTGTGAGATTCTGCCGTCTTGGTATTACCTCTTCCTTTATAGCTGTTATCAATAATAACCACACGGATTTATATTAGCAGTAACTCATGAGCTCTAAAGAACATGTGTAAGACACACACAAAAATGTGACTGAAATTTGAAGCATAAATTGTGGAATTTCTCAAAGGCCTGAATTATTGGAGCTTATTAGGTTGAGGTGAATCAAAGTGGAAAGAACTATTTTGCCCTTTTAGATGTATTAAGCAGTTTTCCTGGGAAATTGGTCAAGAGAACCGACTGGTGTTGTGTGAACTTCTCGGAAAGAGCAGGTCTGGCCCTGCCAGAAGGCAGCTGAGAGAGTTGGGCTGGGCTGAGTTCCAGGAAACAGAGTAGGGGCTAGTTAGGAGTGGGAAGGCTAGCAGGATGATGCAAATTCAAATCCCCAGGTACATCAGCAAGGCCAGAGGGTATAAACAGAGCCCCAAACCAGAGCCACAGCCAGTGGGCAGGGCTCTGGAGCTGGACTGGCTGAGAATGGGCTTAGGTGCAAGTTGGGAGACACTGGATCATCGCCAAGAATAAGGGCAAAGTCTGGCCGAGCGCAGTGGCTCACACCTGTAATCCTAGCACTTTGGGAGGCCAAGGCGGGCAGATCATGAGGACAGGAGTTCGAGACCAGCCTGGCCAATATGGTGAAACCTCGTCTCTACTAAAAATACAAAAATTAGCCGGGCGTGGTGGCACGTGCCTGTAGTCCTAGCTACTCAGGAGGCTGAGGCAGTAGAATTGCTTGAACCCAGGAGGCGGAGGTTGCAGGGAGCCGAGACTGCACCACTGCACCACAGCCTGGGTGACAGAGCGAGACTCCATCTCAAAAAAAAAAAAAAAAAAAAAAAAAAAAAGAATAAGGGCAGGGCAAAGTCCACTAGTCTCTGGGAGAGTGTGTGGGGCACGCTGACTCAGTATGGGAACAGATACATATGGGCTTTGCAAAGGGTCCGCATGGAGAATTGTAACAATAATAGCCCCAAACAGAATCAAGTTCCCTGTGTCCATGCTCTTTTGCAATGTAACTTTGTTGCTTCCACTACCACAAGGTGGAATCTATTTCACCATCCCTTGAATCTGAGTTGGTCTTGTGACTTGCTGTGACCAATAGGATGTGGCAGAAGTGATGCTGAGCAGGCCGGGCGTGGTGGCTAATGCCTGAAATCCCAGCACTTTGGGAGGCAGAGGTGGGTGGATCGCTTGAGGCCAAGAGTTTGAGATCAGCCTGGGCAATGGTAAAATCCAGTCTCTACAAAAAAATTTTTTTAAAATTTAGCCAGGCATGGTGGTATGTACCTGTAGTCCCAGCTACTCTGGAGGCTGAGGTGGGAGGATCACTTGAGCCCAGGGGGCCAAGGTTGCAGTAAGCTATGATCACGCCATTGCACTCCAGCCTTGGTGACAGAGTGAGACTCCATCTCAAAAAAAAAAAAAGTGATGCTGGGCAGCTTCTGAGGCTGGGCTTCTGCTTTCGTGCTTTTGGAGTGCTTTCATAATTACGTGAGGAACCTGGCCTGAAAGACCACAGGAAGAGAGAGGCCCAGGCACCCCAGCCAGTCTAGACCACCTAACCCAGCGAAGCCATTAGCAGACTGTTGCTGTGTGAATGAAAACAGCAGAGGAACCATCTAGCCAACCCACAGAATTGCAAGAATAATAAACAGCTGTTCTAAGTCACTAAGTTTAGGGATGGTTTGTTACACAGCATTACATAACTGATACATCCATCTACACTATCAGCGTACCACTCAGGTCAACAAAGGGTATCTCATGTTGTGCAAACTCAGAATTGAGACCCAAATTGTAAGCATTTTATGTGTTAATAATTATATTCTCCAGAACCCTTTCACATGTTCCTTTTATTTTTCTGAGGCAGGGTCTTGCTCTGCAGCCCAGGCTGGAGTATACTGGCATGATCGTGGCTCACTGAAGCCTTAACCCTCTGGGATCAAGTAATCCTTCCACCTCAGTCTCCTGAGTAGCTGGGACCACAGAAACATGCCACCATGCGTGGGTAATTTTTGTTTGTTTGTTTGTTTTGAGATGGAGTCTCTCTCTTTCGCCCAGGCTGGAGTGCAGTGGCACAATCTCGGCTCACTGAAAGCTCCGCCTCCCGGGTTCACGTCTTTCTCCTGCCTCAACCTCCCGAGTAGCTGGGACTACAGGCGCCCGCCACTGCGCCTGGCTAATTTTTTTTTTGTTTGTATTTTTTTAGTAGAGACGGGGTTTCACTGTGTTAGCCAGGATGGTCTCGATCTCCTTATCTAGTGATCCACTTGCCTCGGCCTCCCAAAGTGCTGGGATTACAGGCGTGAGCCACCACGCCCGGCCATGACTGGCTAATTTTTTAAATTTTTTGTAGAGATGGGATTGCACCATGTTGCCCAGGCTGTTCTCAAATTCCTGGGCTCAAGCAATCCGCCTGCCTCGGCCTTGAAAAGTGCTAGGATTACAGGCATGAGCCACCACGCTCAGCTCCACAGGTTCTATCTAATTTGTCATGACAACCCATTGAGAAAGAGGAAAAGGAAATGTGGTATCTCTCCATTAAACAGATAAGAAAACTGAGGCTCAGAGAGATATGTGGCTGTCCCAAGATTACTCAGCAAATCAGTAAAGGTGCTGTTATAGACTGAACTGTGTCCCCCCAAAACTTATATGATGAAGCCCTAGTCCCCAGTGTGATTATATTTGGAGATAGGACCTTTAAAGAGGTAATTAAGATTAAAGGAGGTCATAAGGGCCTTAATCCAACATGACTGGTATCATAAGTAAAAGAAGAGACAGGCCGCGTATGGTGGCTCACGCCTGTAATCCCAGCAATTTGGGAGGCTAAGGCGGGAGGATTGCCTGAGGTCAGGAGTTTGTGACCAGACTGGCCAACATGGTGAAACCCTGTCTTTACTAAAAATACAAAAATTAGCTGGGCGTGGTTGTGGGCGCCTGTAATCCCAGCTACTCAGGAGGCTGAGGCAGGAGAATCACTTGAACCCAGGAAGTGGAGGTTGCAGTGAGCTGAGATCGTGCCACTGCACTCCAGCCTGGGCAACAAGAGTGAAACTCTGTCTTAAAAAAAGAAAAAAAAAGAAAAAGAAGAGACATCAGGGATGCGTGTGCAGAGGAAAGGCAGCAGTGAGAAGGCGGCCGTCTGCAAGTCAAGGAAAGAGGCCTCAGGAGAAAAAAACCTGTGATACTTTGATCTTAGACTTGCAGCCTCCAGAACTATGAGACAATAAATTTCTGTTGTTTAAGCGACCCAGTTTGTGGTATTTTCTTATGGCAGAAACTAATATAGCAACTAAACTAGCAAACTAATATAGATACCGCTACTCAAATTTAGCTCTTATGCTTTCTTAGAAGGAATTTTCTTAAAACAATGACATACCATTTCTTGCATATCAAATTGGCAGAGATTTTTAATTAAAAGATAAACTTAGTGCTAGTAAAGATACAGAGAAATTGACTTTCTCAATCACCAGGGGTTGGAATCTAAATTAGTACAACTTTCTAAAGGAGATTTGGCAATACATATAGAAAGTCTTTAAAATCTACTTACTAACATATGGTAATAGCAAAATATTGGAAATAACCTATGGCAGACTGTATTTTCTAAAGATGGAAGCACTGATATATCCCATTTCCCATGCTCTTCTTATAATGCGATGTTAGCATCCTCCTTTGAGAGGTAGGGTCAATTCCCTCTGCTTGAACCTGGGCAAACCTTTGTAGTTGCCATAACCAATAGAATGTAGTGGAAGCAAAGGTGTGTGGCTTCCAAGGCTCGGTTATAAAAGGCATCACAGCTTCTGCCTCAGCTTCCTGGACAGCTTCCAGAGGACACTCGAGCAGCTCTGTGGAGAGATCCATGTAGAGAGGAACTGAGGCCCCCACCTACAGCCAGCACCAGCTTTCCAGCTGTATGAGTGAGTAACTCTAGACATAGATTTTCTTGAGCCCAGTATGGTGGCTCATGCCTGTAATCCCAGCACTTTGAGAGGCCAAGGTAGGGGATTGCTTGAGCCCAGGAGTTTGAAACCAGCCTGAGAAAAACAGTGAGACTCCTATTGCTACAAAAAATTGAAAAATTAGCTAGGCCTGGTGGCACACACCTGTGGTCCCAGCTACTCAGGAGGCTGAGGTGGGAGGATCGCTTGAGCCCAGTTCGAGACTAGCCTGAGCAACATACTAAGACCTCATCTCCAAAAACAGTAATAATAAATTTTTTTAGAAAGAAAGAAGTAGATCTTCTAGTCCCAGTTGAGCCTTCAGATACCTTCAGCCTCAATTTGCATCTGACTACAGCCACATGAAAGACCCCAAGTGAGCACTGCCCAGATGAATCCTTCTCAAATTTCTTACCAGCAAAAAACTGTATGAGAAAATAATTTTTTATTGTTTTTCTAAGCCACTGAACTTCTGGATAATATGTTATACAGTCATATATAACTAATATGTAACCATCAATAAGGGACTACGTCTATCCAACAGGGGACTACTTAAATATATTATGGTAAATGCATATAATAAAATATTATGTAGTACTGACTTGGAAAACTCTACAAGATAATTTCTTAAGTGAAAAAATGCAAAGTGCAGAATAGTATAGAGGATACTGCTGTCTTAGTTCATTTTGTGTTGCTATAACAGAATACCACAGACTGGGTAATTTATAAAGAAAATACATGTATTTGGCTCATAGTTCTGGAGGCTGGGAAATCCAAGAGCATGATGGTGGCATCTGGTGACAGCCTTTGTGCTGCATCATCCCATGGCAGAAAGTGGAAGGGCAAGAGAGGGCAAGAGCAAGAGAGCAAAAGGGGGCCAGACTCACTTTTTTTCTTTCTTTTTTGGGACAGAGTCTCGCTTTGTCACCCAGGCTGGAGTGCAGTGGTGCGATCTCAGCTCACTGCAACCTCCACCTCCCGGGTTCTAGCAATTCTCCTGCCTCAGCCTCCTGAGTAGCTGGGATTACAGGCACGTGCCACCACGCCCGGCTAATTTTTTTTTTGTATTTTTAGTAGAGATGGGGTTTCGCTGTGTTAGCCAGGATGGTCTTGATCTCCTGACCTCGTGATCCGCCCACCTCGGCCTCCCAAAGTGCTGGGATTACAGGCATGATCCACTGCGCCCGGCCCCAGACTCACTTTTATAATATGCCCATTCTTAAAATAACTAACCCATTCCCACAGTAATTGCATTATCCTGGCTCTGCCCTCATGACCTAATCACCTCTCATTAGGCCTTGCTTCCCAACACTGTTGCATTGGAGATTGAGTTTCCAACACATGAACTTTGGTGGACACATTCAAACCATAGCAACTACCATTTGTGGAAAAAAAAAAAAAAATAGCTAGGCACAGTGGCTTATGCCTGTAATCCCAGCATTTGGGGAGGCTGAAGCAGGAGGATCACTTGAGGCCAAGAGTTCGAAATCAGCCTGGGAAACATAGCAAGACCTCATCTCTATGAAAAAGACAAAAATTAACTGGATGTTGTGGCATGTGTGCCTGTAGTCACAGCTGCTGGGGAGGCTGAGGCAGGAGAATCACTGGACCCCAGGAGTTCAAGGTTGCAGTGAGCTATGATAACATCACTGCACTCCAGCCTGGGCAACATAGAGAGACCTCGTTTCTAATAAAAATTAAAACAAAACAAAACAAACAAAGCAGCCTGTCATAGTGGCACATGCCTATAGTCCCAGCTACTTGGGAGACTGAGGCAGGGGGATCACTGAAGCCCAGGAGTTTGAATTGCAGTGAGCTACAATTGCACCACTGCACTCCAGCCTGGGCGACAGAACAAGACCCTGTCTCTGAATATATATATATATAATATATATATATTTATATATTTTTTATGTATATATATTATATATATATTTATATATTTTTATGTATATATATTATATATATTTATATATTTTTATGTATATATATTATATATATTTATATATTTTTATGTATATATTATATATATTTATATATATTTTATGTATATATATTATATATATTTATATATTATGTATATATATTATATATATTTTATATATTTTATGTATATATATTATATATATTTATATATATTTTATGTATATATATTATATATTTATATATTTTATATATGTATATTTTATATATATTTATATATTATATATATTTATATATTTTATATATATACACACACATAGAGATATATGTACATATGCATAGAGATAATACACATATATTTTGTAATGTGTATATATACACCATATATATTATCTATTCAAAAGTAAATAAAGTTGAACATTTTAAAATAATGCTTTGCGGCGCTGCGGCAGTCCAGATCAAAAATGGCGGCAGTTGGTGTGTTCTCGGTTTCTCGGCTGCTGGGTCGGTCCCGCCCACAGCTGGGGCGGCCTATGTCGAGTGGCGCCCATGGAGAAGAGGGCTCAGCTCGCATGTGGAAGACCCTCACCTTCTTCGTCGCGCTCCCCGGGGTGGCAGTCAGCATGCTGAATGTGTACCTGAAGTCGCACCACGGAGAGCACGAGAGACCCGAGTTCATCGCCTACCCCCATCTCCGCATCAGGACCAAGCCGTTTCCCTGGGGAGATGGTAACCATACTCTATTCCATAACCCTCATGTGAATCCACTTCCAACTGGCTACGAAGATGAATAAAGAGAATCTGGACCACTACCCGGGCACCAGGGACCACAGCACTGGTTTGGACCATTACTCTGCACATGGACCAGAAAAAGTATATGGGACCTTAAGCTCACCTTCTTTACTTGTATCAAATGATGACTGGTATACTGGTCTCCCATCCCTTTGCTTGTGGCGGGAGATGGCTTAAATAAATAACTTAAACTTAAAAAAATAAAATAAAATAATGCTTTGTCTTTAACTCAGAAGTTTCGCTTCTACGAATTTATCCTTAGTAAATGATCATGGCAAAGATTTAGCTTAAAGGATGTTATCACAGCTTCATTTGATATTGTGAAAAAGGTAAAACAACCCAATTATTCAACAATAGGAAATTTGTTGAATAGCTTATGCCATTCTCGTACTCGGCCACCGTCTTTAATGGCCTCTTAGAAAACGATCCCATGCCCTGGGAAGTGATCATGATATACTAATTGATAAGAAGTTATGACATGGCACCGTGTAATCTTATCTTTCAAGTCAATTGAATTATATAAGTGTAGATTGAGATGTAGATTAAAACACAGGGAGAGATGAAGATAGATACAGAAACCAAAATGTTAACACTGATCTCTGGGAGGTCCAATTACTGTTGATTTTGTTTTCTTCTCTTTCACCTGTGTTTTTCAACAATAAATGTGCTACTTTGTAAAAACACAAATGCTACAAATTTGTCTCCTTTTTTTGTGAAGGATTCCTAGATGATTCTATAAATAGCAGCTCCAGATACAGAATTTGAAACTTTGTTTTTAAAGAGAACAGAGTTTTCAAAGTCAAAGATTACCAGACATACATCGTTGGTTAGAGAGAGCTGCCAGGCCTGTTCTAAGAAGTCCTATCATGTTGGTGACAACACTGACCCCCTCCCAGTCCAGCTGGCCAGTGGTGGCCATGTCCAGAGGGGACATCCTGAGTGCAGGCTGTGTCCCTAAACTACCTCTAATCAAAACTAGTAGGCATGGGAGGCGCCAGAATTTGCATAGGATGATCTTGGGACCAGTATACAATCTGCACTTCCAAAGCCAGCCCACTGTTTGTACTTACATCATAGCTTAAAAAGTGGGCTGGGGCCAGCTGGGTGCAGTGGCTCACACCTGTCATCTCAGCACTTTGGAAGGCTGAGGCAGGAGGATCACTTGAGGGTAGGAGGATTACTTGAGGTTAGGAATTCGAGATCAGCCTGGGCAATATAGTGAGACCCCCTCTCTAAAACATTCTTTTTAAGCTAGCCAGGTGTGGTGGCTTGTGCCTGTACTCTCAACTACTGTGGAGGCTGAGGTGGGAGGATGGTTTGAGCCCAGGAGTTTGAGGCTGCAGTGAGCTATGATGGTGCCACTGCACTGCAGCCTGGACAACACAGCAAGACCCCATCTCAAAAAAAAAATCATAAGTGTTACAAGTTTAATTCTATGTCCCCAAAACTCCTATATTGAAGTCCTAACCCCAAGTACCTCAGAATGTGATTGCATTTAAAGACAGGATGTTTAAAAAGGTAATTCAGGTAAAATAAGGTCATGAGGATGGGCCCTGATCCAATCAGAAGAGGAAATGAGGAGAGACATGTGCAGAGGAAAGACCATGTGAAGAGAAAGAGAGAAGACGGCTCCCGGCCAAAAAGAGAGGCTTCAGAAACCTGCCCTGATGACACTGTGCTCCTGGACTTCCAGCTTTCAGAACTGTGAGAAAATAAACTTCTGTGTTTAAACCACCCAGTCTATGATACTTTGTTATGAAGACGTCATGTTTACTAAAGACATTTTTTTTTTTGAAACGGAGTCTCGCTCTTTTACCCAGGGTGGAGTGCAGTGGCGCGATCTCGGCTCACTGCAACCTCCATCTCCCAGGTTCAAGCAATTTTCCTGCCTCAGCCTCCTGAGTAGCTGGGATTCACTTCGCTTCCACGTCCAGCTAATTTTTTGTATTTTAGTAGAGACAAGGTTTCACCATGTTGCCCAGGCTGGTTTCGAACTCCTGAGCTCAGGCAATCCGCGCACCTTGGCCTCCCAAAGTGCTAGGATTACGGGTGTGAGCCACCATGCCTGGCCCTGAAGACACTTTTTAATGTATACTTCATATAAGACTGAGAAAATGTCCATTGTCCAAAACAAAGACATTTTCTAGTGGTGCCTCTGAGGTATAGAGCTGATGGCAGTTATGGGGACTTTGGGCACCTCCAGCCCCCAGGCACCTCCACTGCAGGCTGCAGGTTTGCACCCTGGCCTTCCCAGCAGGCAGAAGCAATCCCACCATCCCACGAGCCTGGAGAGCCCGGGTCTCAGCTCCTGGTGGGTCCTCAGGTCCCCGTGCAGAGCTGCAGCCTGGCTCTGAGGCTCTGTCTGGTCTCACCAGTCACCTCTGCAGGGACCTTTTGGGACCTGCTTTCGTCTGTCTGACACTCCTATCAGAGGGGTCTTCCTGCCTCCCAGACCGGACCCCATCTCTAACCCTAGAGGTTCTAGCTCACTCCCTCACCACCACCCTGCTGCTCCTAGACCCCCGGATGTGGTTTCTGGCCTGCAGGAAATTCACTGTCTCCATATCCCCAGCCTGTCTTCCAAGTGCGCTAGAGGCCCAGGCATCCTTATTCTTGAGGCCACATGCTTCCACGTGTCAAATATATTCAAATGCACCCACATGCATCACATATAATTTACATAAACCATAGGAGTTAAGTTGCAAATGTCTAGTTAACATTTTGTAGTCATTTAGTAATTTCACTCTTAACAGTTTACTTCCCTGCTTTTGAAGCTAATGATCGTCCCCTCCCTGCTGTGGCTCAGGTGTTGCCATGGGCGTTTGCCACTGCTCATGGCTGGGGCACCTCAGTCATGGACCTAGCTGTGGTCCATGCCCAGGGTCCCTTCTAAGGAAGTCCAGGCATGCACTGGTGTGCCTGACCCAGGGGAGCCCTCCAAACCACCCAACATCCAGGTACAATGGCCCAGTCTCCGTGCAGTGCTGTAGGGCAAGAGGGGCGGCCCATTTCCAAGCCAAGATGGCCTCCTCCTCCTCTCTACACTTGCTCCTTGGCTAGCTCACTCATACCTTCACTTGCTTCCAGCAGATTTTCCACTATGCAAGAAAAGCTAAGGGCTAAGAGGGTCACTTGACATCGTAGAATCCAAAAGTCCTTCCCATTACAGAGATAAGAAAACTGAGGCCCCGAGAATGAAGCGGTGACCTTCAGGTGCATCCTTGCATTTTGTGGAATTTGAATGTGGAATTCTGCCCTGGGCTGAGGTTGAGATTTTGCAGTTGCTCAAGGGGAACCCTGGAAGCAGAGTGTATCTACCCTCCTCAGACCACTGAGACCCTCAGATTTGTCTTCATCCCAGGTCAGTGGACTTCTCCCAGGTTTTGTTGTCTTCTCTCGGCAACACCCTGCTGAAGCCAGGGGGAAGGCGGGAGATTTATCCTGGGTGCTGAGTATCTAGGGTTATCAGATAAAATGCAGGATGGCCAGTTACAATTGAATTTTAGATAAATAACAAATAAGTTGTTTAGCATGAAGGTGTCCTAAATGTTGCTGTTTATCTGAAATTCAAATGTAACTGGGCATCCTGCATTTTTATTTACTAAACCTGGCCACCCTGTAAGTATCCCATTTCGTTTGGGCCAGGCCCCTCCCCACTGCAGCTGTGAGTTTTCCTGCCACCCAACAGCGTGAGTCACACAGCTGTGGACCTCCAGGCAAATGTTTTTGAACAGAACAGCATCACGGTTTAGGGGAATCCCCTCGCTGTCCCCATAACACATGCTTCAGCAAAGCAAAAACCTTAAAACAACATCTCTGGGAGGAAAATAAAGAAGGCATCAAGAGTTCCCAATGACTCGGGGAAGGCCCCAGCCACGGCCACATTAGTGCAGCCAAGATGGCCACGACTAGATGGCTGGCTCTTCACCTCTGGGAGAGGCACAGCTGGCTTTGACAATCGTGGGAAATTGGAGACCAGACCTTCCCAGCCAACTCCTGTCAAGGTCTGATACTCGTCCTTCCCCACCTTTCTGAGAAGAGGCCTACGAGGAAGAATGGGCTCATGGGCTATGTGAGCCGAGCAGGTTACTTGACTGTGGGATCATGATTGTATCTTTGTCATGGCATCACTGTGGGGATTATAGGAGGAAATTAATGTAAAATGCTTGGCCCAGTACCTGGTGCGCAATAAGCACTTACAATCAATGGTGGCTATTGTTATAAGAACGTCAGGACATGCACTTGGCCATCAAGCCAGTGGGTCTTCTGAAGAGGGTGAGCTTGGAATTCTCTGGGTGCCCATGGTTTGTTGCCCCTCAGAAAGCTGTGGGCCTCTAATATGGGCATATCCCCTGGACTGGAATCTGCATTAAGCCAGTGTCATCTGTCAGCGCTTTGTTTGGGTTAGTCGTTTTTTTGTTTTGTTTTGTTTGAGACAGAGTCTTGCTCTGTTGCCCAGGCTGGAGTGCAGTGGTGCAATCACAGCTCACTGCAGCGTCGACTTGCCGGGTTCTAGCAATTCTCCCACCACACCCTAGTAGCTGGGACTATAGGCGCACACCACTACGCCTGGCTAATTTTTAAATTTTTTTTTTTAAGAGACAAGGTCTCACTGTGTTGTCCAGGCTGGTCTTGAACTCCTGGGCTCAAGTGATCCTCCCGCCTTGGCTTCTTAAAGTGCTGGGATTATAGACGTGAGCCACCATGGCCAGCCCTGGGTTAGATTTTTAGTCACTCAGCAGGGTCCTGAGGAGGCCGGACTCAGAAGAGTTCAGCTTTGAAGGTGGAAAAAGCAAGTTTTCTACCTGGGATGCCCCCAAGGGTAGCAGGCCATACTTCCTAAGTGTGCATGTTGGTGGGGAGGGAGGGTATCAAGGAGTATGTCCCTGGAGAAGGGAGAAAGGAGGGGGCGTGGGAAGGGGCCTGTGGAACGCACGTGTCTCATTTCCTCTTTCGGAATGTCCGCTGTGGGCCCCAACAAAGGAACTTCGGTTGGAACTGGGGTGAGGAAGCCCCCGAAGATCAACTTCTCTTCCTTTAACATTTGGCTCTGCTGAGGGCCCTGGGGTTGGAACACCCACCTTCTTAGAAAGAAACTGAAAGGCCTTAGGAGAAACCCCGCCACTTCCCCTTCCTCGGTAAGAGGAACTTGGCGTTGCCCTGACAGGAAAGTCTTGGTGGGGCTTCTCGGAAGCCGCCACCGCTGCACTGCTGAGCAAAACCACAGGTCAGGGGCCAGGCCGGGGGCCAGGCTAGTGAGGACTGGCCATTGATAAAGTCACAGGCTCCATCTAAGCCCATCGGCAGAACTGGGGAGCTGCCAACATTTCCTCTTCCAGCACCGCCTGCCAACTCCTGTTTGGGAGCCACCAACCCCTCAGCTCTGCCAATGGGTCCCTCCCCACTCACACCAGCCCTCCAACCAGGATCGTTCTGTGTCTGCGTTCTGGACCCCCAGCTATGCCCACCACCCAGCAAAGCTCATCCATCCAGCTCCCATCCCCCACAGAGGCACTGACTCTCCCGTGGAGTCCTGGGGGACCTCACGGGCACGTGGAGCTGTGCTTTGGAATAGGTCACACCCTGTGAGCTGCTTCGGATGGCCTTGTAGATTAAGAAAAATGGTCTTTTGCTGGGCACGCAGGAATGCTTGACTTAACGGTGACTGCTATCTGCTGCGTCCATTCGGAGATCAGAAACAGGCTTCTCTCTGGGACTGGGGATGCCTCTCCTCATCCCTGATATATCCAAGGGCAGCTGCTGTGGCAAGGGGGACAGTGCACAGGTACAAATCACATCTCAGGCCAGCCCCAAAGGGGCCGAGAGATCCTTGGGTCCTAAAGGGTCCCAAAGCTTATTTGTATAAGCTTATTTGTACTAAGCTTTAATATAAACATGTCAGGATGGTGTGGCACCAGAGCCCGGCCACCACTGTGGGGACAGGGTCCAGCCTGCACGGCCTTGCACAAGACCTGTGCCAGGGACCCCTGTGCTCCATTCCAGCTCCTCCTCCAGGCTTTGCTGTGACGAGCCTCTGCCTCCTTCACCCAGCCCTCTCCTGCCCACCCTGTGAGACTGAGCCCCAGTCCAGATGGGTAGGGGCTGCCTGCATGACCTCACTGAGTATATCCCCCAGGGACCCTTGTCCACATCACTTGGTGGTTGCTCTGAGCAACACCCAGCTGGCCTATAGGCTCCCGGATAACAGCAACAGTGGGCTTGGCATCTCTGGATGAACATTTGATGAGGTAATAAGTAAATGGGTGAATTTAGTGCTATCTACCAGGCCTTGTGGCTGAGAGCCCCACGTGCCCACATGCTCAGACATCCACGTGTGGGCAAGTGCACCCGCGTGCGGCAGGAGGAGACACGTGCACGCCTGCCACGGTGTCCCTGAGACGTGTGTCTGTGGATCCCTGCGTTTGTCCCCAGCATCACCCATGATGCCAGCCAGCAGGTGGCGGTGCGCCCCTCCTCTGCGGGTTCGTTGGTCCAAACCGCCGGCAGCTGTCAAGACTGAAGGGGCCTCAGCAGGCACATGGAGCCCACCTCCTTCCTCCCACAGGGGGTCAGGGCTGCTTGGGTCTTGTGGGGAATCAGCCTGGTCTTCCGACCCAGGAGCCAAAACCCTAGTCCAACCCATGTGAGTGGGGCCATCTGTGTGCCCAGCACGGAGCTGGACCCTGACCCCGCAGGAGGGACTGGCGTCCAGGCAGCTGCACAGCTGTGGAGTGGGGAAGTAAAGGCATGGGCTCGCACTCCCAGCCCTGTCTCTGCTGGCTGTGTGACCTTGGGCAAGTTCCTTAACCTCTCTGAGCTTGTTTCCGTGTCTGTTAAGCAGGAATCATGGCAATCTGTAAAATGAATTAGTCAGTGTAAAACATGGGCCACAGTGGGGCCCTACCATAAGGCAGCAGTTCTCACACTTAGGTCTGGAGGGCTTTTGAAAACACAGAGGCCCCGCCTCCAGAGTGGCAGATTCACTAGGTCTGGGGAGAGGCCTGTGACTCTGCATTTCTAAAGAGTTCCCAGGTTGTGCTGATGCTTCGGGCCTGGGGACTACACCGTGAGGACCAGTGTATACGGGATGCTTGGTGTCAGTCAGGAGAGACCCACAGGGTTACACACAAGGCAGGAAGCATCAGCCTCCAGCGAAGACATAGAGGGGCAAATTCCAAGGGCTGCAGGGGGCCCAAGGGAGGACACACCCCTATGATGGGGGTGGCCGGAGGGGCAGAAGGAGGAGCCTCTGGACCTGTCTCTCCCCACCACAATTATCAACATAATCCCTGTCCTGACTGCACCTGCCGGCCCTGCCCGGAGGAAGTGGACCCTGGAGCCCTGGAAAGGATGGGTTAGTTGGCTGTCAGTTCCTGGCTTGGCCAACACTGTGCTCCAGCTTCTGGGAACTCACGTTTTCTTTCTCCTTTTTTTTTTTTTTTTTTGAGACAGGATCTCACTTTGTTACCCAGGCTGGAGTGCAGTGGCTCGATCATAGCTCACTGCAGTCTAAACCTCCCTGACTCAAGCAATTCTCCTGCCTCAGCTTCCTAAGTAGCTGGAACCACAGGTGTGCCCCAGCGCAACCGGCTAATTCTTTAATTTTTTGCAGAGACAGGGGTCTCACTCTGTTGCCCAGGCTGGTCTCGAACTCCTGGACTCAATCAATCCTCCCATCTTGGCCTCCCAAAGTACTGGGATTACGGGTGTGAGCCACCACGCCTGGCCCCTTTTTTAAATATTAGTTTTAAGTCAGAAAGGTAATGCATGTCCATCTTAGAAATTAGTACAATGCAGAAAACTGTAAAGAGGAAAATGAAAATAGTAATCCAAACTTCAGTCAATCAGAGCTAATCAGTATGAGTCTATTTCTTTTTCTTGTCTATGTGTCTGCTTCGTGCATACCGTGGTATCCACTTGACATCGTAGCATAAGCGTTGTCCTTTGATGTTAAAACTCTCAGAAACGGCCGGGCGCGGTGGCTCATGCCTGTAATCCCAGAACTTTGGGAGGCCGAGGCGGGTGGATCACAAGGTCAGGAGATCGAGACCATCCTGACTACCACGGTGAAACCCCATCTCTACTAAAAAAATACAAAAAAAACTAGCCAGGCATGGTGGCGGGCGCCTGTAGTCCCCGCTACTCGGGAGGCTGAGGCAGGAGAATGGCTTGAACCCGGGAGGCAGAGCTTGCAGTGAGCCAAGATCCACTGCACTCCAGCCTGGGCGACAGAGTGAGACTCCGTCAAAAAAAAAAAAAAAAAAAAAAAAAAACTCTCAGAAACGTGAATTTAAGGTCAGCACAACAATCCAGTACAACAAGGTGCCAGACTATATCTGCTTGACTTAAACACTCCCTACTGTTGGACATGCAGGCTGTGTATTTATTTATTTGGCGATTCTAAATAATCCCCTGTGAAGGGTTTGATCCATCAGTGCTGCCTGCATTTCAGATGGCTTCCCCAGCAGAACTTCCTTGAAAGGGATTCACTGGGTCAAAGGGCATGAAAGTTTAAAAGTCTTGATACATATGGACAAAATACTTTCCAAAAATATGCCGGCTGACGGTCCCACCTAGGGTGGGAGGGAGATGACAGCCTGCTCAGCTCAACTCACATAAAACCCTGCTTAGCCCAATTCCTGACATCTGAGATTAAACGAGGTGGCCCAAGCCCCCCAGCAGGGAAGAAGGGCCCAACTCTGTCCAAACTCCACATTGGTCAACCTGCGGAGTGCCATGTCCCACGTCACACTCCAGGTAGAAGATGTGGCACCTCAGGCCAAGCACGACCTGGGCAGAGCTGCCCTCCCGCTCTTGGAGCCAGGATTGTTCTTCAGCCCTCACTTTCTTTCATACCTCATGTCCAGGATGTCTGCAAGTACATTTGGGGCTACCTTCAAAACATCCCCAGCTGGGCATGGTGGTGCACACCTGTAGTCCCAGCTACTCAGGAGGCTGAGGAGGGAGGATCGCTTGAACCCAGGAGTTCAAGGCTGCAGTGAGCTATGATCATGCACTGCCCTCCAACCTGGGCAACGGAGTGAGACTTCACCTGTAAAAAATGAATTAATTTAAAAAACTCCACATCCTGAATGTGACCACAGCTCCTCTCTCCACCACTACCCTGGCCCACCTCTCACCTGGTTATCTCAGTAGCCCCCTCTTTGACTCTCTGCCTCCCCGGGCGTGAGCCACCGCGCCCGGCCGTTTCTGAGAGTTTTAACATCAAAGGACAACGCTTATGCTACGATGTCAAGTGGATACCACGGTATGCACGAAGCAGACACATAGACAAGAAAAAGACCCCCTTAGAGTCTGTTCTCCATAGCAGCCAGAGAGATCCTTTCAAAACCTAGGTTACATCAGCTCAGCCCTGAGCTCACAACCCTCCAGTGGCTCGTTCACGTGGGGTAAAAGCAAAGCCCTCACTATGACCCGCAAAGCCTTTAGGACCTGTGCCTCCCGCACTCCCATCACCTCCCTCACCTAACATCCTGCCACTCCCCTGCACCCTCTCAGCTCCCTGATGCTCCTCAGAACACCTCCAAGTGCATTCCTGCCTCAGGGCCTTTGCACTTGCCGTTACTCCTGCCTGGCATATTTCCTCAGGTACCCACAGGGCTCCTCTCCTCAACTGTCATCTCAAAACAATCATAAGCAAACAGGATCTGCTTTGGGAAGGCCCTCCCTGATCAGCCCATCTGAAGAAGCGCCCTGGCCCCTCTCTCTTCCCTCACCCTGCGTCGTGCTCCCTTACTCTGCGATTATTCTCTGCCCTCTCTAGTAGTAGAAAGCCTCCACAGGACTGCACTCTGTCTGTCTCGTTCACTGCTGCAACCCTGGCACCTGTGTGCCGCCTGGCTCCCAGTTGGTGTTCCACTGTACATCTGCTGAATGTTGACTTGAATGGGAGATTGCACTGTCTGGGTATGTGCGTGTGGCTTCCCCTGCCTGGGTGATACCTTACTGTCTCTAAGGTCCCCAGCTCGCAGATACTGCCTGGCATTTAGTAAGTAGCCAGGTTGGATTCGCTGTACAAATGGACACATGAAGACAGGAAGGAACTCACAGCAGGGCAGGAGAGACCACTGCATGGGGGTCAGGAAACTGGAATTCCAGATAAACCCCTGCCACTCACCATCATTAGGCCTTGGGCAAGTCACTTCACCTCTTTGAACCTTAGTTTTTCACCCATAACATGGGCATGGTGACCCCTGTGCTGTTGGCCTCACAGGGCTGTTGTGAGGATTACATGACAAAGACAAAGCAAGGCACAGGGACAGCCCTGCTCAAGCTGCAGCTCTCCCATGAGGCTCCACCTGACACCTCACCTTGCCAGGCCAACCAATCCTTTCTCTGAGCCCCCGAGGAGCCCCTCCAGCGCCTCATAGATTGTGTGTGTGTGTGTGTGTGTGTGTGTGTGTGTGTGTGTGTGTGTGTGTGTGTCAGGGCCCTGCTGGTGCTTTTATGGAAGCTATATTTTTATGACTACCCTCCCCAAACTGTGCACCCCTTGAGATGGGGCCCTGCCCCACCATCTTTGCGTCCGTTGGTCTTACCCTGTGCCTGGCAGCTAGGAGTGCTCCTGGGACATCTGATGACTGGCCAAGTACATTTGTTGAAAGCTATGGATGTATGAGTATGATGTGAGTAACTACAGGTGGCGACTTTAGGCCTGCATAGATGGCTGGGGTGAGGCAATTCAGCAAGGGGCTATTTGGGTTCTGGGGCAGGAGGGCCAGGTGGGGCCTCAAGTGCCCCCCGGCCCCCCCGCCGAGAGGAAGGGAGGGGGGTGGTGCTGGACTGGCCAAGTTCACTGTAGGCCAAGGGCTGGACAGCTTCCTCCCCAGACATGGGCCACATCGGCCACATCTTCTGAGCTGCGGGGTGGAGGCCTGGCTGCCCACCTGCATTCCTTACTCTGCGTACCCATGATCTCATCCCGGCCCTCAGCCACCCACAGGGCAGGAGGCTTTGCCCCATTGTGCAGATGAGACAGCCATGCCCTGCCCTGGGATGGTCATTTGGCCTGGGCTCAGGGCACTCTAGTGGGCCCCAGGCTCCGGCGGGGTGAGTGGAATGTGGTCACGGAGGCCACCCCACGCTGTCTTGTTGGGTTTAATGAGCCCCATTGGTCTGTCCATACCCTGAATAAGCTCTGGTCTACCGACCCTCCTATGGGCTGCTGGGGCGGGGGAGGTCCCAGGGTTTTCCAGATTCAGCTGTCCTCCCTCTGCAGTCTCAGGGACCCAGACAGGGCTGGCTGACAAACAGGTCCTGCCCGGGATGGGCGTGGGGCTGAGCGAGCGAAACTCCTTTTAGGAAGGAAATCTCGGCCAGGTTGAGAAACCAGCATCTTGCCAAGGCCTAGGGGGTGGGGGAGCCCAGGTGAGCCGACTCAGTCCTCAGGAATGGGTGGGGTCTCCAGGAGAGGCGGGCACTTCCTCCGCCCCAGCCCAGGGTCCTGTTCAATCCTTATTGAGGAGTTTCCTGGCGACAGGCAGTGACCTGTCGGCTGCCTGTGTGGGAAGCCGCTTGGCGTGGCCCTCCCCATCTCATTAGTGGTGATTCACCTGGACTCACCTGGCTGTCAGGGACCTGTCCCACTGCCCGCTGGAACCAGCTCAGCAGGCACCCTCTGAGGGGCAGAGACCTCGTTCCCTCAGCTCCCCGTCCTCCATGGTGTCCAGGGCAGAGTGTACCAGGCACACAGTCAGAGCTCACAATTCATTCATTTGACTAACAAATATTTACTGAGCACCTACTGTATGCCAGACACTGGGCGAGGTGCTGGGGCTACAGAGTGAACCAGGCAGACCCAAATCCCTGCCCTCTTGGAACTCACATTCTTGTGGGAAAAGTCAGACAGTAAACAAATAAATAAGTGAATCACATAAGCTGCAGAAGATGGTGAGTGCTGTGGAGAAAAATAAAGGCAGGAAGAGTGTGAGATGGGGGCCATGCCTTTAAATAGGGTGTTCAGGGTGGGCCTTTCTGAGAATGTGGTATTTGAGCAAAATCTGATGAAGGTGGAGGTAAAGAAGGGAGCTGTGCAAATAAGGGAGAAATAAACTATACCAGGAAACAGCGAGTGCAAAGGCCCTGGGGTGGGAGTGGGAGTCAGGGTGGTTTCAGGAATAGCCAGGAGACACGTAGCTGAAGCAAGCTGGCAACAGGGCAGATAGCGGAAGACGGGGTCAGAGAGGTGGAGGTGGTGCAGACTTGTGGGGTCTTATAGGCCTTTGTAGGAACTTTGGCTTTTTCTCAGTTGATTTCTGTCAAAATGCTCCCAAATCCCCCAGTTGAACCTGAGACCAGCGCCTCAGTCTTCTTCCGCCCGGCTTGGAGCTTGCAGAGATAACTCAAGGGTCAGGGGTGTTTTCACTGGGAGGCTACCTTCTAGCAGGGTCTGGGTGGATAAGTTTGCTGGGCAGGGGTGAGGTGCCCGTGGAGCACATGTGAAGAGGAGGAAGACTGTTCAGGACACAAGTACTTGCTGCAGGGGGATTTGGTGGGAAGAGGAGCAGAAAGGAGCTAAGCTGAAAGAGAAAGGTGAGGCCCGTTCTGTAGGAGCCAGCCTCACGCAACTGTCCTTCCAGCCTCAGCTGGGATTGTGCCCCAGCTGACAGTCCATGCTCCAACATCTCTCTTTAGTCTGGGTCTTTGCACTGCTCTTCCTTCTGCCTGGAAATCCTCACTGTCCTTTGCCTGGTAAATTCCCATGCATCCTGGCGGTCTTGGCTTAGATATTACGAAGTGGTCCCTTAGGTCCCAGAGCAAGGGCTCCTCCCATGGGCCCAGCACGCCCCCCACTGAAGCATGTTTCACATCGTATCATAACTGCCCACCGTGGGGTCTTGCTTCTCTGTGAGACCATGGCCTCCACAAGGGCTTGGACCATGTTGGGGTTTGCCTAGAACAGAGGCTGCCACAGGTGCGAGCAAACACGCACTAGGATTTGGATCCCTCAGATGCTTCCAAGCAGAGTAACAAGATCAGACTCACATTTTAGAAAGATGACTCTGACTCCAGTGTCTATGTTGGGGAGTGGGCGGGGCTGGAGATGGGCAACAGCTTAGAGGCTATTGCAATAGTCCAAGCAGATGCAAGGAAGGATAGAACCAGCGAGTCAGCTGCTGGGAGCAAGAAGAGGAGCACGATCTGGGAGAGTTTTTGGAAGAGACATCAACAGGACCTGGTGACCACTGGCCCTGGGGATAGTGAGAAGGGAGTGGAGGGTGGGTCCAGCTTTCCCTCTGTTATTTTGTGTCCTTCCTCCTGTCTTGCCGGTGAACAGATCCGACTTCCTAAGGCACAATATAGTGCAGCGGTTATGAGCACAGGCTTTGGAGCCCAACTCTGGGTTCGGCTCTCCTCTCCACTACATACTTGCTGGGTAAGATTGGGACAGATTTACTCAACCTCTCTGTCCCTCAGTTTACCCGTCTGTAAGGCAAGGATGGTAACTGAGATTTAATTACTGCATTTCATGGATTCTAAGATGATTAAAATTGATCTCCATTTTAACATTTCTGAAATCAGGGTGAGTCTGAAAATCAATGGCATATCAAGGATTAATTGGCAGCATCGTTTAGTGGTACACAAATAACGTGATGTCTAATGATTGATGGAACTGTAGATTTGATGAAACACAAAAATACACGGAGAGACCAGTACCTGGCATGTCGTAAGGGGTGAATAAACATTAGCTGTTATTATTATTGTCATAATTTGTTTTCTGGAGAATTGTTTGCATACAAGGTAACAAATGCCCAATCAGATTAAGAGACAAATATAATTAGGAGCTAAAAGAGAAAAGAAAGCCGGGTGCGGTGGCTCACGCCTATAATCCCAGCACTTTGGGAAGCCAAGGTGGGTTGATCACTTGAGGCCAGGAGTTTGAGACCAGCCTGGGCAACATGGTGAAACCGTGTCTCTACCAAAAATAAAAAAAAATAGCCAGTCTCATAACCTGGTCTCAAAATAAATAAATAAATTAATTAATTAATTAATTAAAAATTTTAAAAAGAGAGAGAAAAGAAGCTAATTCATAAATAGATACAAAGCCTTAAAACTTTTAGTAATCTCCCCCCCAAAAATTCCCAAAGCCGAATGCTTCCCCTGAAAGGTCCTACAGAATTCTGCCAAAGTTCCAGAGAAAACTTTAGAAATTCCTCCTTTACAAAGGGGACCAGAACTTCTGGCTCCCTGACCGGCAGGGGGAACCAGGGCATGTCCCTGGATGACTTTGGGGGTGTTCCCTGTGTCCTTGTGAATTTCCCTGAGTCACCATTACTCACTGCCCACAATCAGGGCTCTGCTACCTTCCAACCAGGAGAGCAACAACACCCGGGGATCAAGGGCCATCCTCAAACAAAAGTGTGATTATAACGCGTTCTGCACGGGCTATAAACCGTCCCCAGCTCCGGAGAGCAGGGTGACCCTCACCAGCGTCTTATTTCTGGCCTCCTGGGTTGTGTTCCTGCCTACTGACTTGGCAAATCCTAGGCGACTCGCCTTGTTTTCTCTCCTCACTTAAATACATGTCTGGAAAAAGCCTCCACCCCCACAGACCCTGCTGTGTGCGGAGAGGGTGGCATGCCTGGAGGAGGAGGAGAGACAGGGCGGGCTGACTCGCAGAGCCTCCTGCTCCCTGTGGAGAAGACTTGGCCCAGGAAGGCGCCCCCAGGCCCAGCTACTGGGGGAAGCAACACTTCCCGGCTCCTGTGCTCCTTCAGGCTCAGCCAGGACCCTCAGCACAGCTCTTATTCTCTCCTGCTGTTGTCTGCATTGCCAGGGGACTGTCTTGGCTACCCCCACCCTGTCAGGCTCACACACCAGGGCCTGGTGACAGGGGCAGCCTCGACCTCCCAGACTCAAGTGACCCTCCCACCTCAGCCTCTCAAGTAGCCGGGACCACAAGTGCACATGGCCACGCCCGGTAAATTTTTGTATTTTTTGTAGAGAAGGGGTTTCACCATGTGGGCCAAGCTGATCTCAAACTTCTGGGCTCAAACATTCCTCCTGCCTTGGCCTCCCCAAGTGCTGGGATTATAGGCGGGCATCTCCATTTCCTTTTCACAGCTGAGGAAACTAGGCCCAGTGATAGAAACTGATTTACAAGAATCGGAGTGCTCCCTCTCATTGACAGAAAGGAAATGGGCTTTCAACGTGAGTGCTCCATTTCCTCAAATTGAGCATAAGTTCCTTGGCAACAAGCCATACTCATCTTACATTTCTTGACTTGCTGGAAGCATTAAGCACAATGCTGGGCACATGCAGTTAGTGGGTATCAAACACTTAAGAACTAGTTGATTTGAAGTAAATAAATAGGCCAGGCAAGGTGGCTCACGCCTGTAATCCCAGCACTTTGGGAGGCCAAGGCAGGCAGACCTCCTGAGGTCAGGAGTTCAAGACCAGCCTAGCCAACATGGTGAAATCCTGTCTCTACTAAAAATACAAAAAATTAGCCGGGCGAGTTGGCAGGTGCCTGTAGTCCCAGCTACTTGGGAGAATTGCTTGAACCTGAGAGTCGGAGGTTGCAGTGAGCCGAGATCACGCCATTGCACTCCAGCCTCGGCAACAAGAGCGAAACTCTGTCTCAAATAAATAAATAAATAAATAAATATTAATTTAAAATAAATAAATAAAACAACTTTTCAAATAACCATGATGAATTTTCACAGAAAATATCATTTAAGCACTTTCAGCTCATAAAGCATTTTCACATACATTAGCCTATGTGCTCCTGATGGAGTAACTGGATAAAAGAGATCATTATCGGCCGGGTGCAGTGGCTCACACCTGTAATCCTAGCACTTTGGGAGGCCGAGGCGGGCGGATTACCTGAGATTGGGAGTTTGAAACCAGCCTGACCAACATGGAGAGACCCCTTCTCTACTAAAAATAAAAAAATAGCCAGGTGTGGTGGCACGTGCCTGTAATCCCAGCTACTCAGGAGGCTGAGGCAGGAGAACCGCTTGAACCCGGGAGGCAGAGTCTGCAGTGAGCCAGTTAGACTGCAGCCTGGGCAACAAGAATGAAACTCCATCTCAAAAAAAAAAAAGATCATTATCATATCTATTTCACAGATGAGGAAGCGCAGCACAGGGGATGTGTTTAAGGTCATGCAGCTGGGATTACAATTCCTGTAGGCACGACTTAACAGGTGTCTCAGGACACCAAAGTCTGTGTTGCCTTTGCAGGTGGCCTGGTAAATTGGGGCTGGGCACCCTATCTCACTCTTGGTTCTGTTAATCTTGTGCTGTGTTCACCTGCTGCTGAGACGGCAAGTCTCGATCATAGCAGCCAAATAAACTCCAGACGGTCCTGAAGGCTGCAGGCGCCTTTCTTGAGATTGCAGTTGCTGCAATGAATACTCAGCCAAACACCATGTGCCAGTGAGTGTCACGTGGGGGCATTTCCAGCCCCAGGAAAGGGCTGGTCAGGAGGGTCAGGCCAGAGTCCAGCTAAGCAGAAAGGCCTGGCAGCTGGCACCACGCAGGGAGGCACAGACAGGGTCAGGCTGGGGGACACAGGGCCATGCTGTCTACAGGAGCCGACCAGGTCTGCTGTCCAAGTGGTTAGAGATACATTAGGCCAGAGGGGCTGGAGTGGGCCAGGCAGGGGACCGAGGCTGATTGCTCTCTGCCCTGTTACTCACCCTTGCCCAAGGGGGCCTGAGGATTCTGGCCTAGAGTGAAGGTGGTCAGTGGCCTGCAGACAGTGCAGCAGGATGGCCCAACCACATCTCTTTGGCCCTTTCATTATGACATTTTTACCCCTGATTGCAAAAGTATCTTGTGTTCGCAATAGACAAACTGAGGACCACCAAAAAACCCCACATATGCACGAAATAGAAATCACCCATAGTGCTGTCTTTTTATTTTCTGCCCCCGAGATGAAGTTTCACACTGTCGCCTGGGCTGGAGTGCAATAGCGTGATCTCGGCTCACTGTAACCTCTGCCTCCTGGGTTCAAGCAATTCTCCTGCCTCAGCCTCCTGAGTAGCTGAGATTACAGACGTGCACCACCACGCCTGGCTAATTTTTGTATTTTTAGTAGAGATGGGGGGGTTTCACCATGTTGGCCAGGCTGGTCTCGAACTCCTGACCTCATGATCTGCCCACCTTGGCCTCCCAAAGTGCTGGGATTACAGGCGTGAGCCACTGCGCCCGGCCTAGGGCTGTCTCTTTTTAACTGTATAAAGTACAAAAGTTGAAAAGCAAATGCTCCTGTCTCCTCCCTCTCATCCCTTCCCTCTCCATCCGAGGTCATAATGGTAGCAGTTACTAAGATGCCGTCTCTCTTCTTCTCTTCCCTTTGGAAGGAGTGGTGCAGGGTTTTCCCAAGAGGGGAAACAAAACTCAGTCACTGTTTTGATCAAAAACATAAATGTCCATTTCACTCTCATTCTTTTTAAGTATGAAACATGTTGGTGACAAGGCACTCTGGGGAGTTTCCTGGCTCCACCCACTCGGGACACTTTTACTGGCTCCACTCTGGCCACCCTTACAATCTCCCTTCAGCAGGACCAGAGAAGGAGGCCTCTGGGGTTTGATTTCAAAGCAACCAGAAGGCTTTGCCGCCCTCCAGCCGCCTTTTCATCAGATCACCGATACCCAAAATTCCACCATTAGACATCATTCCTTCAACAGAAAACTTTGTTTTCCCTGAAAATACATGGAAATTGTGAATCCTTTAAGATTATGGGAAGTCAGGTACAGTGGCTCACATCTGTAATCCCAGCACTTTGGGAGGCTGAGGTGGGCAGAACACCTGAGGTCGGGAGTTGGATACCAGCCTGGCCAACATGGCAAAACCCCATCTCTACTAAAAATACAAAAATTAGCTGAGCATGGTGGCGTGCACCTGTAATCGCAGCTACTCAGGAGGCTGAGGCAGGAGAATCCCTTGAATCTAGGAGGCAGAGGTTGCAGTGAGCCAAGATCATGCCATTGCACTCCAGCCTGGGTGACAAGAACAAAACTCCGTCTCAAAAAAAAAAAAAAAGAGTATGGGATAGTAAAAAAATACATTGTGATTTTCTTTCCGGAGGACGTGGTTTGGATTTTTTAAAAGATTATGATATTTATGGGTGTTGTTTTCCTGATTATAAAAGTAACACATTTCTTGTAGAAAATGTGGAAAAAAGAGAAAAGCATAAATAAAAAAACAAAAATAATACTTGCTTATAAAATATCACCCAGAAGACAGGTATGGTGGTGCACACCTATAGTCCCAACTACTCAGGAGGCTGAAGCAGGATCACTTGAGCCCAAGAGTTCGAGGCCAGCCTGGGCAATATAGCAAGACATTATCGTTACAAAAAAAAAGTGTTAAAAATATATTCATTAATTTTTAGTAGAGACAAGGTCTCACTATGTTGCCCAGGCTGGTCTCAAACTCCTAGCCTCAAACAATCCTCCCACCTCAACCACCCAAAGTGCTGGGATTATAGGCGTTTGCCACCACTCCTAGCCAAAAAAATGTTTTATTTTATTTATTTATTTGTTTTGAGACGGAGTTTCACTCTTGTTGCCCAGGCTGGAGTACAATGGCGCAATCTCAGCTCACCGCAACTTCTGACTCCCGGGTTCAAGTGATTCTCCTGCCTCAGCCTCCCGAGTAGCTGGGATTACAGGCCTGTGTCACCGTGCCCGCTAATTTAGTATTTTTAGTAGAGATGGGGTTTCTCCATGTTGGTCAGGCTGGTCTCAAACTCCCAACCTCAGGGGATCCACCCGCCTCGGCCTCCCAAAATGCTGGGATTATAGGCATGAGCCCCCACATCTGGCCCCCAAAACATTTTTAATTAAAAAAAAAATCGGCTGGGCGTGGTGGCTCACGCCTGTAATCCCAGCACTTTGGGAGGCTTAGGTGGGTGGATCACGAGGTCAGGAGATCCAGACCATCCTGGCTAACACGGTGAAACCCCCGTTTCTACTAAAAAATACAAAAAATTAGCCGGGCATGGTGGCGGGCACCTGTAGTCCCAGCTACTCGGGAGGCTGAGGCAGGAGAATGGCATGAACCCGGGAGGCAGAGCTTGTAGTGAGCCGAGATCGTGCCACTGCACTCCAGCCTGGGTGACAGAGCGAGACTCCGTCTCAAAAAAAAAAAAAAAAAAATCACCCAGAGATAACCACAACTATCATATTGATATAAAATTTTCCAGTCTTTTTCTATGTAAATTATGTACAGTGTATAAATGTAGGTACACAGACACATTCCTATTTACACATATTAATGATGCGGAAATGACGCTTTCCTTTATTATTGTACCATGTCATTAAATGTTCTTTGCTCATATAGCTTTAATGTATACAAGAGGTCTTCAAAAAGTTCATTAAAAATGTGTATTATGAAAAAACCTGCCTGAATTTCAATTTTTCTTTTGCACCAAAATAAAGTCATACTAAAGTTATAACATGGCCAAAGAAGATCTAGTTTTAGGCAGCAGGGCACAGTGGCTCACGCCCATAATCCCAACACTTTGGGAGGTCAAGGAAGGTGGGTCACTTAAGCCCAGGAGTTCGAGACCAGTCTGGGCAATATAAGGAGACCCACCTTTCTACATAAAATTTAAAAATTAGCCAAGCATGGTGGTGTTCACCTGTGGTCCCAGCTACTTGGAAGGCTGAGGTAGGAGGATCACTTGAGTCCAGGAGGTCGAGGCTGCAGTGAGCCATGATCGTGCCACTGCACTACAGCCTGGGTGACAAAGTGAGACCCTGTCTCAAAAACAGAAAAACAGAAACGAAAACAAAAAACTAGTTTTAGGCACTAAGAAAGATAAGATCTCAGTTTGAAAAGAGCTCCTTTCAGAGCAACATGAATTCCGCTAAAATTGAAGCAAGAACACATGTCACATTTATGGTAAAGCTTGGGTGGAAGAATGGTGAAATCACTGATGCTTTACAATAAGTATATGGGGAAAATGCCCCCCAAAATCAGCAGTTTATTATACAAGTGGATAATTTCTTTTTCTTTCTTTTTTTCTTTTTTTGAGATGGAGTCTCGCTCTGTCACCCAGGCTGGAGTGCAAGGGCGCGATCTTGGCTCACCGCAAACTCTGCCTCCCAGGTTCAAGTGATTCTCCTGCCTCAGCCTCCCGAGTAGCTGGGATTACAGGCGCCCACAACCACGCCCAGCTAATTTTTGTATTTTTAATAGAGACAGGATTTCTTTTTCTTTTTTTATTTTTGAGACGGAGTCTCACTCTGTCACCCAGGCTGGAGTGCAGTGGCGTGATCTCGGCTCACTGCAAACTCCGCCTCCCGGGTTCACGCCATTCTCCTGCCTCAGCCTCCTGAGTAGCTGGGACTACAGGCGCATGTCACCACACCTGGCTAATTTTTTGTATTTTAAAGAATTAGATGAGATGGGGTTTCACCGTGTTAGCCAGGCTGGTCTCGATCTCCTGACCTTGTGATCCGCCCGCCTCGGCCTCCCAAAGTGCTGGGATTACAGGTGTGAGCCACCACACCTGGACTTTTTTTTTTTTTTTTTTGAGACGGAGTCTTGCTCTGTCGCCCAGGCTGGAGTGCAATGGCGCGATTTCGGCTCACTGCAACCTCCACTTCCCGGGTTCAAGCGATTCTCCTGCCTCAGCCTCCCAAGTAGCTGGGGCTACAGGAACGCGCCAGGACGTCTGGCTAATTTTTGTATTTTTAGTAGAGAGGGGGGTTTCACCATGTTGGCCAGATTGGTCTTGAACTCCTGACCTCGAGATCCGCCCACCTCGGCCTCCCAAAGTGCCGGGATTATAGGTATGAGCCACCGCGCCTGGCCAACTCATTTTAATAAGGAACAAAACAAGATTGATGGAACCTGCAGCGGCAGCCCATCTAGAGCAATTTGTGAAGAATTAATCTTGTGCACGCCCTAATTGAAAAGAACCAATGATTTACAGCAGAAACAACAACCAACACCATAGACATCTCAACTGGTTCACCTTACACAGTTCTGACTGAAAAATTAAAGTTGAGCAAACTTCCTACTCCGAAGTTTGTTCCCAGAAGCCATTGTGCCCAGATCAGCTGCAGACAACAGCAGGGCTTTCAATGGAAATTTCAAACAAGTGGGATCAAGATCCTGAAGCCTCTCGGACATGGTGGCTCATGCCTGTAATCCCAGCACTTTGGGAGGCGGAGGCGGAGGCGGGCAGATCACTTGAGGTCAGGAGTTTGAGACCAACCTGGCCAACATGGTGAAACCCCGTCTCTACTAAAAGTACAAAAATTAGCTGGGCTTGGTGGTGCATGCCTGTAATCCCAGTTAGTTGGGAAGCTGAGGCAAGAGAATCACTTGAACCCGGGAGGCGGAGGTTGCAGTGAGCTGAGCTCATGCTACTGCATTCCAGCCTGGGTGACACAGCGAGACTCCATCTCAAAAAAAAAAAAAAAAAAAAAAAAGATCCTGAAGCATTTCTTCAAATAACTGTAACGGGAACAGGAGATGAAACAGGGCTTTTACCAGTGCGATCCTGAAGACAAAGCACAATTAAAGCAATGGCTACCAAGAGGTGAAAGTCAGAGCAAAAGTGGACCAGTCAAGAGTGAAGATCAGCTGGGGGCAGTGGCTCATGCCTGTAATCCCAGCACTCTGGGAGGCCAAGGTGGGTGGATCGCTTGAGCTCGGGGGTTCGAGACCAGCCTGGGCAACATGGCGAAATCCCATCTCTACAAAGAATACAAAAATTAGCCAGGCATGGTGGCATGTGCCTGTAGTCCCAGCTACTCGGGAGGCTGAGGTGGGAGGATCACTTGAGCCTGGGAAGTCAAGGCTACAGTGAACCATGTTCGTGCCACTGCACTCCAGCCTGGGTGACAAAGTGAGACATTGTCTCAAAAAATAAAAATAAAAGAGCAGTCAGGTGCGGTGGCTCATGCCTGTAATCCCAGCACTTTGGGAGGCCGAGGCGGGCGGATCATCTGAGGTCAGGAGCTCGAGACCAGCCTGGCCAACACAATGAAACCCCCGTCTCTACTAAAAATACAAAAATTAGCCAGGCATGGTGGCAGGCGCCTGTAATCCCAGCTACTCGGGAGGCTGAGGCAGGAGAATCGCTTGAACCTGGGAGGTGGAGTTTGCAGTGAGCCGAGATTGCACCAGTGCACTCCAGCCTGGGTGACAAGAGCAAGACTTCGTCTCAAAAAACAAATAAATAAAAAAAATAAAAGAGCAAAGATCATGGCAACCGTTTTCTGAGATGCTGCAGGCATTTTGCCTGTTGACTTTCTGGAGGGCCAAATCACAATAATATATGCTAATTATGAGAGTGTTTTGAAAAAGTTCACCAAAGCTTTTACAAGGCAAATACCTGGGAAAGCTTCACCAAGGAGTCCTTCTCCACCACAACCATGCTCCTGCTCATTCCTCTCAACACACAAGGGCAATTTTGCAAGCGTTTCAATCGGAAAGCGTTAGACATCTCGGTGTGGCTCCTATAACTTGTTTCCTTTTTTTTTTTTTTGGAGACAGTTTCGCTCTGTAGCCCAGGTTGGAGTGTAGCGGCACAATCTCAGCTCACTGCAACCTCCGCCTCCTGGGTTCAAACGATTCTCCTGCCTCAGCCTCCCGAGTAGCTAGGATTACAGGCACCCTCCATTACACCCAGCTAATTTTTTGTATTTTTAGTAGAGACTGGGACTGGGTTTCATGTTGACCAGCCTGGTCTCGAACTCCTGGCCTCAGGTGATCTGCCGGCCTCAGCCTCCCAAAGTGCTCACACCTGTAATACCAGTACTTTGGGAGGCTGAGGCAGGCAGATCACTTGAGGTTAGGAGTTTGAGACCAGCCTGGCCTACATGATGAAACTCCATCTCCACTAAAAATACAAAAATTAGCTGGGCATGGTGGCAGCTTCCTGTAATCCCATCTACTCGGGAGGCTGAGGCACGAGCTTGAACCTGGGAGGCGGAGGTTGCAGTGAGCCGAGATCACTCCACTGCACTCCAGCCTGGGCAACAGAGTGAGACTCTATCTCAAATAAATAAATAAAATAAATTTAAAACTATTTAAAGGGGAGCCATTTTTCTTCAGTTAATAACATTAAAAAGACTGCATTGACACACTTAAACTCCCAGGACGCTCAGTTCTTTAGGGATGGACTACATGGCTGGTATCATCACTTACAGAAGTATTTTGAACTCGATGGAGCTTATGTTAAGAAAAAAGTTTATGTTTTTTATTTGTATCTTTTAATCCCATTTTTTCACAAACTTTATGAAGTCCCCTCATACATGCACAGTCATAGAAATATACATAATCATAGGTAACCACTCCCCTCACTCTGGACATGTAAGCTGGTCCTAATCTTTCTCTACTGTGTCCAATGCTGCAGTGAATATCCTCTATAGAAATGCTAAGGGCAGGTTTTAGTCACGGGACTGGGGAGCACACACGGGAATGCCAGTGCCTGGGAGCAGAGGGGCAGTGAGAAGACAGTGTCATCCACCAGGGAAACCCGAAGAACGTGGAGACCGAGGGCACCACAACCTTCCGGGATTGTACAACGTGGCCTGCAGCTGGCCCTCACTGAGTGGCACGTGAGATGTGACAAGCAGGTGCTGTTTGCTGGGTAGATTAACTGCATGAGTGCCATCTTCCCTCTATAAAAATCGCTCACATTCTGTGACGGATCGACAGCCTGCACTGTTGCCTCTGAGAGTGAGCTGTGCCCACAGCCCCCACGGGCGCTCCTGTGCACCGCTGGGACATAAAAGCCCACACCCTGGCCACAAGTGCCAGGGCAAAGTTTGGCCTGACACGAAGGCAGACATTTATGGACTGGATATGCGGGAGAGGTAGCCCAGCAAAAAGACTGCCCAGTGGAGACCTTCTACACTGGACAGTGACTTACCAAGCCCATCAGACTGTCTCTCACGGGGCTGCCTGAAAACCAGAGGACCACAAAGTGGGCCACAGGCAAGGGCTACATAGGAGAAGGTAGTGGGCAGAGGCCAGGAGGTGGAAGCCAGGAGGTAGCAGAAGACATCAGGCAGAAAGGATCCATAATTGGCCTTGGCCTGAGCCTCCAAGGACTCCAGAAAGAGGTTCTTCTCCTCCAGGAGGGCTGCTCTTTGTCTGCTGAGGCCCTCCCCGGCTTCCCACCCTGCTGCTTAGCTTTACAATAAAGCCTCATCACTGGAGCAACCAGAGTGGGTCTGTGCTCCCTGCAGCCTGCAGGACCCTCACTGCACATGTGCAAACAGCACTTCACAGTTTACATGGTGCTTTCCCAGGCATTCTCTCATCACAACAAACGTGGGAGGGAGAACACCTTATCCTCATGTAATAGATGAAGAAACTGATGTTCAGAGAGGATATGAGTCCATTGGCAGGTAGATTAGAGAGGAGAAACTCAGAACCAGGTTTGCTGACCTCATGTCCAGGCTGTTTTCATCACACTGAGTGGTCTCCCTTTCCTCCCAGAAGAGGCCTTCACTGTGCTGTGCTACCACTGCCGCTAGCCTTCTCTGTTTGAAGGTGAACTGGCCTTAGTTGCTTCATGTGTTTCAACTTGTCTACTGCAACTCAAATGTGGTAATGCATGAGGGCTTGGTAGTAACATAATGCATGATGGCTGCATAGGTTTTCTGTCCATAGTGTCCAGCACTTGTGAGCATACGGTAGGTGCTCAATAAGTGCTGATGGTTCCAAATGCAGTTTCGCAAAATGTAGAGGTCCAAATCCCACCCTCCGAGTATGGATTAGGATTCTCTGCAGATTCGAAGAGCTCCCCTAGGAGTCTGATCACATTCCAGTTTGAAAATCACAGAGAGAAAGGATGCTTATCCAGCCCCCTCAACTCTCAAAAACATAGCCATGAACCAGGAAATTAGCAAAGATATGTAAACGAGCAACCAAACTGAACCTTATAAATTCCATGCATAAAAGCTGAAGCATCCGAGTCTTCAAGAAACTGCTGTTCCCTCTCTCTGTACCTATAAACCTTTACTTTATATGTAATTCTAAGGAGCTTGGTGAGTTGGTTTCTTAGTCCACAGTTCACTGGAAGCGTGCTTAGGAACAGCTATGAGAAACTGCAAGCTGAGGCCAGGCATGGTGGCTCACACCTGTAATCCCAGCACTTTGGGAGGCCGAGGTGGGTGGATTACCTGAGTTCAGGATTTCAAGACCAGCCTGGCCAACATGGTGAAACCTTGTCTCTACTAAAAATACAAAAATTAGCTGGGTGTAGTGGCACGTGCCTGTAATCCCAGCTACTTGGGAGGCCGAGGCACAAGAATCGCTTGAACCTGGGAAGCGGAGGTTGCACTGAGCTGAGATGGCACCACTGCACTCCAGCCCAGGTGACAGAGCAAGGCTCCATGTCAAAAAGAAAAAAGAAAAAAAGAAAATTAACTGTGTTGTCAAAAGGAGCCCAGCCTTCCCCTCAGTGCTCTGGCATCGCCAGCTGTGCTTGCAGTGATTGCTTCACCACACTCCACGGACAGGGTCCAACCTTCCAACTTGTGTGCTGCATAGTAGTTAACAGCACAGATTTTGAAGCCAGGCTTGCTGGGTTCAAATCCTGGCTCTGCCACCACTGAGTTGTGTTTATTATTCAATTCTGTATGCTATCAGGGTGTGGTGGTTCACATCTGTAATCCCAGCACTTTGGGAGGCTGGGGTGGGAGGATTGTTGGAGGCCAGGAGTTTGAGACTACCCTAGGCAACATAGTGAGACCCCGTCTCTACAAAAAAATATAACAACTAGCCAGCCATGATGGCACGTGCCTGTAGTCCCAGCTTCTCAGGAAGCTGAGGTGGGAGGATCACTTGAGCCTGGGAGGTCAAGGCTGCACTGAGCCATGACCGCACCACTCCCCTCCAGCCTGGGCAACAGAGTGAGACCCTGACTCAAAACAAAAACAAGGCCGGGCACGGTGACTCACGCCTGTAATCCCAGCACTTTGGGAGGCCGAGGTGGGTGGATCACGAGGTCAGAAGTTCAAGACCAGCCTGACCAATATGGTGAAACCCTGTCTCTACTAAAAATGCAAAAATTAGCCGGGTGTGGAGGCACTCACCTGCAATCCCAGCTACTCGGGAGGCTGGGGCAGGAGAATCGCTTGAACCTGGGAGGCGGAGGTTGCAGTGAGTGGAGGTTGCGCCACTGTACAACAGCCTGGGCGACAGAGAGAGACTCCGTCTCAAAAAAACAAAAACAAAAACAAAAACAAAACAAAAACTCTGTATGCTTACCTGTTCCCTTACCCCTTATTCCCCAAAGTGGGGTCCAACAGGACCTGGAAGCTTATTAGGGAGGCAGAATGTCAGACCCAGAGCAGGTGAATTAGGATCATTACTGTAAGACGTTTATGTGCACATTGGAGTGTGAGAAGCCCGCAATAAATAATGTTAAATGAATGAAATTGGGCATTCTAATACATGAAAGTCCCAGGAGCATCAACAGGATAGAGAAGGGTGTGGGAGCAGAGGGCTGGCCCTTGAGGGAAGGAGAGGAGCTTGATATAAAAAAAGAGAAAGTGCAGGAGGCTGAGCACTCAGAAGGACTTGGCTCAGCCACTTTCCCAGCTGGATTCCTTGGGATTCAGTGTCCTCATTGGTGCAATGGAGTGGCTGATGCCCACCTTGCAGAGCTGTGAATAGGAGGGGAGATAAGTACAGAAGGCACAGCACAGGAAGGGCCCTCAGGCTGTCACAGTGGCAGGCTCACACCCTCACCCAAAGCCCTGGGGCCAGAGCTTTGCGGTTTCAGAAAGTTCACCCGATGCATGTGCTGACACTACATAACACTCCAGCAGGGTCTGGGCAGTGCCCTTAATTAAACACAGCAAATTTCTGCAGGAAAATGCCTGAGCAGTGAGAGACAACGTAAAGATTTTTAAATAACCTCACACCAGGTCAGGTCAGGTTTGTGGCCAAATGAGTTTATATCAAACTTGTAGGGGGGAAAAGAAGTCTGCTTTTTTAGAGCTTTTGGTTTTTAGAATTGCAGATCAGGGAGTGTGAAGCTGAATGACAAAGGAGGAGGGGCAGCCTTCGATGGGGATGGTAAGGAGATCCCACCAAGCTTAGCAGGGGATGCAGGAAGGGCTGAGTGGTTTGCCTGCAGGGGCAAGTCCACATGTAGAAGGAGGGGGCAGAAAGCATGCCATCAGCAGGCCAGGTGCGGTGGCTCACGCCTGTAATCCCAGCACTTTGGGAGGCCAAGGCGGGCAGATCACCTGAGGTCGGGAGTTCGAGACCAGCCTGACCAATATGGACAAACCCCATCTCTACTAAAAATATAAAATTAGCCAGGCGTGGTGGCACATGCCTGTAATCCCAGCTACTCGGGAGGCTGAGGCAGGAGAATCGCTTAAAGCCAGGAGTCAGAGGTTGCAGTGACCAAGATCACGCCATTGTACTCCAGCCTGGGCAATAAGAGCGAAACTCAGTCTGAAAAAAAAGGGAAGGAAGGAAGGAAGGAAGGAAGGAAGGAAGGAAGGAAGGAAGGCAGGCAGGCAGGCAGGCAGGCCATCAGAGGCCTTTGAGACAGGAGGGACCCTGCCACACGAACAGTAGGAAGTCACCAAGGCTAGGGTCTGAACAGGAGTATGACCTAATCAAAGACAGAGAGCAACAGATTTGTCAGGCTTGCAAACAAACAGGAAGAGGGCATCCTAGAGTTACCCCATCCCCCGGCCCTACTTGAATTTCTGAGCCTGGGAGGAAGAGTGGATGCACCTCACATACACACGGCCCTCACCAAAAACACACATGAAAAAGGCTCTCATGTTCTATCAGACTGTCAGGGGCAGCCCATAGGGCCTTATCTACTACATAGGCACATGTAAAATTATAATGTATTATAGCAAAAAATTAACATAATTCAAATTTTGTGTGCCAGATGCCATGAACATGTTCTTTTTTTTTTTTTTTCTGGTCTCTAATTCTTACAGCAGCCCTGTGAGGTATGAATCCTTGTTCTATTTTACAGAGGAGGACATGAAGGCTCAGGTTGCCCAAGAAAGTCCAGGGTCACATGGTTGATTCATCTAAGGCCAGTGCCTGAGTGCCCTCCATTGAACAACACTGCTAGGCCAGAAGTCACTGAGGATGACTGAGGCCAAGGCAAGAAAGGGACAAGTCAGAGGGCTGAGATCTGGAAGACAGAGTGTGTCCTGCAGCCTCAAAAACCCCTGATTCACTCTTCGGCTCTCCCCTCAACCTTCCTGTACCCTTATGCTTTGGGTGTATCTCTTGTAAACCCCAGAGTTGGGATTTGTTCTTTATCCATTCTGACAATCTTTATATTTTAATAGGAGCATTTAGTCCATTTATATTTAATGTAATTACAGATATATATGGAATTAAATCTACTCTGTGCTTGCTATTGATTTCATCTGTCCTATGTTCGTTTTTCTCTCCTTTTTTCCCTTTCTTTTGGTATTAGGGTTTTTTTTTGTTGTTGTTTTTTATGTTTTTCTTTTTGCTATTGAATTTTCCCCTCTATTAGTTGGGAGGTTATATGTCCTTTTCTGTTTGACTTTGCCCTCAACTCAATTTTTTGAGAATTAAGTGAGTGTGTGTGTGTAAAGTGTCTTGTACCACTAGTCCTATAGCTTAGGATGGTGTTAGGCAGGCCTGGGTTAGAACCCTGACTCTGGCACGTTCTAGCTGTATATTCCTTTTAGCTGCTTTCCCCTAAGCCTCAGTTTCTGTATCTGTTAAACATGGATGATGGAACCCAATACACAGCTTATTGTGACACTTTAGTGAGCTTACAGGATACCAAGTGTTCTGCCTAAGAGCACAGAAAAAGGGCTCAACAAATGCTTGTCCCCTTCCCCTCTCCAGACTTTGCCTTTCTATGTCCAGGAAGAATTGGCCCTGGATGGAAGCTGCCCAAGAGCCTAGCTGCATAGCTTGGCTTGACCGCAGGAAACCTTCCCAGAAGAAATCTCTCTGGAATGAGATGTTCCCAGGGTACAAATGGTCTGTAGCATCATCAGTGGACAGCACAGCCTCAGTCTGGGAAGTGGGAGGTTGCTGGGAAATTCTGCTGAAATGGAGGAGGGATGGAGTGTAATGATTGGTATCCCACGGGAGACTAAAGAAGTGGAGAGGATTGCCCAACAGTGTGTGTGTCTCCAGCCCTGCCCGGGAAGAGGGGCCTGACTGGAGAGTGGCGGCCTCCTCTTCTTGGAGGCAGGTGTGTCCTCTTGGAGAGCAGAGCAGTGACTCACCAGACTGCCACAGCTTGTTATAAATATCCCCTGAGACACCTAACTCCCTCGGCCCTGGTTCTATATTAGCACAAGCTGCGCTCCATTATTCCATAATTAATTAGGTTTCCTAGGCACCTCAAGACTGGAAGAGGGTGTCCCAACCTGCTGTGGACACAAATATTACAAACTACATGGCAGCCGCGACCCCCAACTGTGAATCGAAAAACGAGTGCATGTGCGCTCCCTCTCTCTCACTTTCTCTCTCTCTCTCACTCTCGCTCTCATCTATTTACCTATTTACAAATCAGCTTTGGGTGAATTTTGCAAGATGAGGGCCAGCCAAATGTCCCCTGTTTGAATAATCCTAAAATTTCAGAGACAGATCCAGTAATCCAAACCAACCTCACTCTCATTTACTTAACCCCTTTGGGGAAACTGAGGCCCCAAGAGGGGATGAGGATCCATACCTCAGAATGAGACCAGCAGTGGCTGGGTGGGAACTCAAGGCTCCCTGCCTTCCCATTGCTTCAACTCTCAGAGCCCCGGTTTTCTATCTGTGCACAGGGGTAAGTAACAGTGCCTGCCCTGAAGGAAGACGGTCAGGAGCATTGAATGGAGGAGAGTGAAGGTGCTCCTGAGTGGCAGCCCAGCCCATGAAAGGCCTACAGAAGTACGAGGTGTCTTCATCTCATCCCTCCTCCATTTTTTCTCTTCCCTGACCAAGATCTTTCTCTGCATCCTTCCATTATACCTGGCAGTGGATACGCATGAAAGATTACGTTAGAAATTGGATTTCATCAGAAGCAACTCTAGGCTTCAGTAACAACAATAGACACCATCTACTGAACACCTACCATGTGCTGGTCAGTTCCCCATACATCATCTCATTTAATCCTCTAAACCCGGGCTGTCTAATATGGCAGTCACTAGCCATATGTGACTATCAAGCACTAGTACAACTGAGGAAATACATTTTTTTTTTTTTTGAGACAGAGTTTTGCTCTTGTTGCCCAGGCTGGAGTGCAATGGCACAATCTCGGCTCACCGCAACCTCCGCCTCCCAGGTTCAAGCGATTCTCCCGCCTCAGCCTCCCGAGTAGCTGGGATTACAGGCATGTGCCACCATGCCCGGGCTAATTTTGTATTTTTAGTAGAGACAGGGTTTCTCCATGTTGGTCAGGGTGGTCTCAAACTCCCGACCTCAGGTGATCCACCTGCCTCGGCCTCCCAAAGTGTTGGGATTACAGGCATGAACCGCTGCGCCCGGCCGGAAATGCATTTTTAAAATTTTATTTTAAATTTAAAAACTGATAATTCCATTATCAGAAGACTTTTAAAACTTTTAAGTATGTTTGGAACAACTTGGGTATGTGAAGCTACTGTTTCCACTCTACATTTTGTGAATGCCTAACTGCACATCAAGTATGTCCAGGGAAAATTTAGTGTCCAAATTGGGATGCGCTGTGAGCTTAAAATCCACACTGGTTTAGAAGACTTACCATTAAAAAAGAGAATGTGGGCTGGGTATGGTGGCTTATGCCTGTAATGCCAGCACTTTGGGAGGCCGAGGTAGGTGGATCATCTGAGGTCAGGCATTTGAGACCAGCCTGGCCAACATGGTGAAACTCCATCTCTACTAAAAATACAAAAATTAGCTGGGTGTGGTGGCGGGCACCTGTAATCCCAGCTACTTGGGAGGCTGAGGCAGGAGAATCACTTGAACCCAGGAGGTGGAGGTCGTAGTGAGCTGAGACCGCGCCATTGCACTCCAGCCTGGGCAACAGACTGAGACTCCATCTCAAAAAAACAACAACAAAAAAAGAGAACAAATGTGAAATATCTCATTCATTATGTTTTTCATATTGATTAATGCTGATGTGACAATAGTTTGGATATTTTTGGTTAAATAAAGTATATTATTAAAATTAATATCATTTGTTTCTCTTTACTTTTTTAAGTGTGCCTAATAGAAAAATTTAAATCACATATGTGTTGGAAAATCTGGTGAAATCTGAAAAAAGTCTGTAGTTTAATTAATAGTATTGTGCCAATGTTAATTTCTCAGTTTTGGCAAATGTGCCTTGGTTATGCAAGATGTCAACCTTAGGAGAAGCGGGTGAAGGGTTTACTGGAACCCACTGTACTATCTTTGTAGCTTTTCTGTAAATCTAAAATCATTCCAGAATGAAAAGTGTAAAATACCCCCCCATTACAAATATAATTACATTACATTTCTATTGGAGAAACATGTAACTCTATTATATTTCTTTTTTTTTCTTTTTTTTTTTTTTTTTTTTTGAGACGGAGTCTCACTCTGTCACCCAGGCTGGCATGATCTCAGCTCACTGCAACCTCTGCCTCCTGGGTTCGAGCGATTCTCCTGCCTCAGCCTCTTGAGTAGCTGTGATTACAGGCGCTCACCACCCTGCCTGGCTAATTTTCGTATTTTTAGTAGAGACGGGGTTTCACCATGTTGGCCAGCCTGGTCTCAAACTCCTGACCTCAGGTGATCTGCCCACCTCAGCCTCCCAAAATGCTGGGATTACACATGTGAGCCACCATGCCCAGCCCGACTCTATTATATTTCTATTACAGAACCTAAAATAGTTCTTTGTGTAAGAGGTATCCTCATCTTATTGATGAGGAAACTGGTGCTCAAAGAAGTTAAGTAGCTGGGTTTTGGACCCATCTGTTTACTGTGAAGCCCTTTTACTTTCTGCAATAGTCCCTTCACTTCTACCTCAGTGGCAGGCACCCACTAGATCTGAGAATTTTCTTGCTGTGGCCTCTTCAGAGGGCACTAGTGTGGGTACGTGGACCCCCTTGCTGTGGTGGGCAGGGGCTAAAGATGGAGAGCAGAGGCAGGAGAATCTGGTGGGTACCATTCATGTGGGACCAATTTGAGGTCTAAGGCTGTAGGATAAAGGGGAAGGGCTGGTAGATTCTTGCATTCGATCGACTAGTTGGTTTCTTTGATCTCTGCCTGACTTTGGAAAGGATCTTAGGAGCATCTGCTGTTGTCGCAAAGAAAAAATTGGCAGGGCTGACAAAGCCTTAGATTCACAGGCACCAAAGGGAAAAATAATGGTGCCACAGGGGTAGAGCCAGGGACCTGTGCATGTCCTCGTGTAGGAAAAAGGCAGGAGGCAGCAGGCAGCAGGCAAGCTCTGTTTCCAAGGTGCCTCATTACACTTCCACCCCTCTAACTTCATACATGGGAATTCTCCTTCCCGATGTAGAAAACCTGCCTCCTGACCTGCAGCCACACAGCTCGGTCACCACAGAGCTAGGCAACCCCATTCCTGTCTAGTCCTTCTTTTCAACATGGTCCTGAGACTGCTCCCAGTTCCAGCCCTCCCCAAGAGCAAGAGCACTGTGCTTGGAGTCCTGAGTACCTGTCTCTCTGCCAGACCTGCCCCCTTCAGCCTAAAAGGCCTCTGCCAGCCAGGGCACGACTCTGCTGCATCCAGAGGGGCCAGAGCCAGCCCCGCCAGCAAGCAGCACACCGTCTGCGGCCAGCCGCCCACCACCTTCCCACTTCCAGATGTCTCAGAGGAGCCCTGGCTGCCTTGGAGCCCGCATGGGCAGCCCTGTCCTGACATGCCCCTGCCCCTTTGCTGCCCTGCCTTGCACTCTGTCTCGCGGCGGCCAGATGTGCCGGCTTTGGTGCTGGCGGCTCTTAATGAGGTCCAGATGTGCAGCTTGGCCCGGGCCAGCAGCGGCTGCTACCAAAGGAGAGGGAGGCCCTGTGAGGGAGCAGCCAGGCTGCAGCTGGCCGCGGCGGTGCTGGAGGAGGAATGCTCTGGGAAGGATTCCCACTGGAATGTGGGCTCTCGGGATGTCTCTGCCTAAATAAGGACCTAGCTTCTTCTTGGAGCTGGAGGCCCCAGCTCCTCTAGGTGCAGCAGCACTATGAAAGTGTCTTCAGCTGTCCCTGGATCCTTTTCTTGACGGCTGGCTTTTTTTTTTCTTTTTTTACTAATTTTAAAAGTTATATAGAGCCGGGCGTGGTGGCACGTGCCTGTAATCCCAGCTACTTGGGAGGCTAGGGCAGGAAGATTGCTTGAGTCCAAGAGTTCCAGGCTGCAATGGTGCTATGACTGTGCCTGTGAATAGCCACTGAACTCCAGCATGGGCAACAGAGTGAGACCCCATCTCTTGAAAAAATAAAATAAAATGTTATATACAGTGATGAAAGGCAATTTAGAGATCCCAAATAACCTAAAAGACGAAAACAAAGAAGAAAATAAAAATCACCTATAATCCCATGGCCTCAACTACTATTAAAGTTCTGGCATGCATCCTGCTAGACGTTTTTCAAATACAAATATACATAAGTTTATTTGTTTAAATCATGCTGCAAAGACTCTCAAAATCTGCATTTTTCACTCAACTCTTTCCAGTTGTGTCTGCTACACAGGTATTTCCCAAATTGGCTCCACAGAACACTAGGACCATTTTGCTATTAATTGGGAGTCTTCCACGAACTGTTTGAGATGCATAGGCTTATGCCAACTTAAATGGGCTGCTTTGCTGAAGGACTTCTTGGAGTCTCTAATTTACTAATGTGTGTTCTGAATCATCAAGCAGAGACTGGCACTTCTTAAACACATTTCACCATGAAATCCCTTGAGGGATCCTCTTGGGGCTTGAGTCTATGGAACATCATGTAGGAAATGCATTATTCATCATGGCTGCAGAGAAGCCAATTGCATGCGTATGCCATGGTTTATTCCAGCATCCCTCAATGGATGAACATTATTATGGTTGTTTTCAACTTACTGCTATTATAAATAACCCTGTTATGATGAGCATTCTCATACTTCCATCTTTTTTTTTTTTTGAGACGGAGTCTCGCTCTGTCACGAGGTTGGAATGCGGTGACGCGCTCTTGGTGCACTGCAATCTTCACTTCTGGGGTTCAAGCCATTCTCCTGCCTCAGCTTCCCGAGTAGCTGGGACCGCAGGCGCCCACCACCACGCCCGGCTAATTTTTTATATTTTTAGTAGAGACAGGGTTTCACCATGTTGGCCAGGATGGTCTCAATCTCTTGACTTTGTGATCTGCCTGCCTTGGCCTCCGAAAGTGCTGGGATTACAGGCATGAGACACTGCGCCCGGCCACATACTTCCATCTTTGTTGTACAGAAACATTCCAAGGAATAGGACTGTTGCTCATGTTGAAGACCATTTTAAACTCTCAGGTTCTAGGCTACACATGGCTCTTGCCCCAGCTCCTTATTTAATCCTTGCATGCTAGGGAAGGGGTCTACCTCATTAGCACAAAAGGAGGCATTGAGGAGGATGGGAAGTGTGGTCTGTGAGTCTTTATCCATTTCTTGAGCACTTGTACTACACTGGGCTTGGGGATTGTAGTGAAAAATAACTTTTCTTGGCCTATCATAAACAACACTGTAATGAACAACTATTATTTTCCAAAGAACCATTGCAACCAGAGAGTGAAACCACATTTGGGGTGCAGAGAATCTGTTCCTGGGTCACCTATGAGGCCATACAGCCCTGTAGCGCCCCTAGGTGCCTAGCAGGGGGACGGAATCTGTACAATCCCTGAGGTGCTAAAGTGCAGAATGAAGCTTCCCTGTTTAAGTGGGAATACAGTAAGCACATCACAAGCATAGCTCAGACATGGGCAAGACTTACCACTTATGTCTTCCTCCATATTCTTCCCTTTGATCCTCACAACACCCTTGTGAAGCAGGGAGTATAGACTTAAGTTCATTCTACAGATAAGGAAACTAAGGCTCAGGGCAGGAGACTTGCCCAAGGTCGCACAACTAAGTAATGGGGAGAAACTAGACTCCAGTGACACCACTCCATGCCTCTAATCAACATTATCACCTGATGAACTGCACATTACTGTCAGCAAAGAATGCATTCCTTCCTTTACAAGGGGCTTTGTCAACATGGGATGTAGGACCCAGGTTTTTTATTTTTTATTTTTTTTAAGAGACAGGGTCGGCTGGGCGCAGTGGCTCACACCTGTAATCCAAGCACTTTGGGAGGCCGAGGCAAGTGAATCACCTGAGATCGGGAGTTCGAGGCCTGCCTGGCCAACATGGTGAAACCCCGTCTCTACTAAAAATACAAAACTTAGCTGGATGTGGTGTCCCGTGCCTGTAATCCTAGCTACTCAGGAGGCTGAGGCAGGAGAATTGCTTGAACCCAGGAGGAGGAGGTTGTGGTGGGCCAAGATTGAGCCTCTGCACTCCAGCCTGGGCGACAGAGCAAAAATCCGTCTGAAAACAACAACAACAACAACAAAAACAGGGTCTTGCTCTACCCATGCTGGAATGCAGAGGCATGATCATAGCTCACTGCAGCCTCAACCTCCTGGGCTCAAGCCATCCTCCCGCCTCAGCCTCCTGAGTAGGTGGAACTATAGGTGTGCTACCTCCACACCAGCTAATTTTTAAATTTTTGTGCTGGGCAAGGTGGCTTACGCCTATAATCCCAGCACTTTAGGAGGCAGAGGCGAGCAGATCACTTGAGGTCAGGAGTTCAAGACCAGCCTGACCAACATGGAGAAACCCCATCTCTACTAAAAATACAAAATTAGCCAAGCGTGATCTTGCATGCCTGTAATGCCAGCTACTCGGGAGGCTGAGGCAGGAGAATCACTTGAACCTGGGAGGCAGAGGTTGCAGTGAGCCAAGATCGTGCCATTGCATTCCAGCCTGGGCAACAAGAGGGAAACTCTGTCTCAAAAAAAAAAAAAGAAAGAAAGAAAGAAAAAATTTTTTGTAGAGATGGGGTCTCGCAATGTTGCCCAGGCTGGTCTCAAACTCCTGGCCTCACGTGATCCCCCGGACCCGGACACTTTGATTGGGAGTGGAGGAAAGAGCCCAAAAGGTCTGGAGCCTGTGGCCTGAACCTCAAGGCCACTCCTGGCTGTGTGTGTGTTTTCTTTGGTGGGGAGGTGGGGTGGAGAAGGGAGGGAGGAAATGAAAAGAGAGCTCTTCAGAGAGGAGCAATACAGTCATAAATAGGTATCACTGTCAGGGAGCAGCTCTTATTCATCTTTGCATCCCCAGCGCCTTGCACATAGTAGATGCTCCATGCAGGCTCCTAAACTGAAGACATAACCCCCAGCCCCTGGGATGATCTCTCCCGTGCTCAGTCCTGCATGGAGACCTGTGTGTATTCTCTTCTTGGCTCCCCTCACACTCATCCTAACTTCTCTTGCCCCATCTTTCTCCACACTCTCAATCTCCAATGTCTGCCCCTTCTCACTCCCCTCCCCTGCCAATCACTGAAACGTCAATTAATTGAGACTCATGTCCCTTAGAAACAAACTCAGGTCTATAACTGAGGGCTCTAGCTAAGCAATTCTTTGATCTCAAGGACTCTTTCTAGCTGGGGCTCTAGACCGTATTTAAGTATTAGGTTTCTTTTGAAAATCTAAGCAAAGGTAGAGATCCCAGGAAAATACCCACCCAGCAAAGATGTGCCTTCGGTGTCAGGAGTTCACGTCTGGACCTTCTGAGAGCTGTGGTTGGGAGAGGCTGTCCTGGTGGACAGTGCAGTCCATACCCCTGTGAGGCAGCGGGTTTCTGCAACCTTCCCTCTGCGTGGGAGACTACTCGGGATTTGTCTCCCACACAGCCAAAGGCTTGTCCAAAACTAACAGGTCCACCATCCCTTATTCTCAATTTCAAAATCCCTGAACTTCTGAAAACCATATGATAAAACAAGTTTTATCATAACACATTTGACTGCAGAACTTAACCTGACATGAACTTATTTGGCAACAAAATGGCCTCCAACTGACGCAAGGCTATTTACAGCCTTTATTTACACCATTTAGTGTGTGAATATTCATGGACTTTGCTTAAAAATATTTATGTGTTTACCAGGTGCTGCCCCAGATCCTGCGGTGGGTATTTCATAATATACAGTGTGCGCACCATGGCTTTTTTCTAAACGGTGAAAAAATCTGAATTCGGAAACCTATCTGGCCCCAAGGGTTTCAGGTAAAGGACTATGAATCTGTAGCTATAAAAATTTCTCCTAAAAAAGTTCACAGGCTGGCTGGGTGCGTTGGCTCACGCCTGTGATCCCTGCACTTTGAGGGGCCGAGGCAGAAGGATCGCTCGAGCCCAGGATTTCAAGATTGGCCTGGGTAACATAGTGAGACCCTGTCTCTACAAAAAAAAAAAAAAAGTTAACTGGGCGTGGTGGTGCGCACCTGTAGTCCCAGTTGCTCGGGAGGCTGAGGTGAGATCGCTTGAGCCTGGGAGGTTGAGGCTGAAGAGAGCTGTGATCATGCCACTGCACTCCAGCCTGGGTAACAAAGCGAGACCCTGTCTCAAAAAAAAGAAAGAAAGAAAGAAAGAAAATCATTCACAGGCTTATGAGCAAAAGAAGCCAGGGAACAAATGGGCACCCACCGTATGATTCCATTTATATGAAGTTCAAGAACAGGCAAAGCTGATTGTTGGTGGTAGATCAGAACAGCGATTACCTGTCGGGGGCGAGACTGATGGACAGGAGGGAGGTGAGGGAACATTTTAGGGTGCTGGAAATGTTCCGTATTCTGATCTGGGTGGAGATTGCATGGGTACATACATATGTAAAAATTTATCAAGCTGTACAGTAAAGATGAGTGTGCTTTGCTGTGAGTCTGTTATACCTCAAAATAAAAGTAAAAATAAAACTTACGGGAATACATTATCTCAAATTAAGCAATAAGAAGCTGCTCCCTTGGCACTCCAACCCACCCTGCGATATCTTCTAACTTCCCAACAAAGCTTAAATTAAAATGATCTTAATATAAGTTTGGCTTTTCTTTAATCCCCAGAAATGAGTTTAACACAAAGTCACTTTTAATGAATATTTTTTAAACTCTGACTTGCCCTCAAGAAGAATCCATCCCTGGAGCAGATCTTTGCTTTGAAAGTGCTGCAGGATAGCACCCAGGCCTGGTTCCCTTCACCCTCTCCACTCTCAGCACCGCCACCAGGAAGGATGTCTCCTGGCCCCACTGCCTCCAGGACGGCTGCTGAAAACATACCAGCCAGGCGGCATGCAGGGACCCAGGCCTGGCATCCTACCCGATGTGCTGCAAGTCAGAACTTGCACCCAACAATATCCTGTAATTGCATCTGATTAGCTGGAATTTGGAATCTGTACTTGAGAACAGCAGGGCACAGGAGACTCCTTGATTAAACAGGTCAGAGAACCATACGCTGCTAAGAGGAACGGGGGAGCCTCTTCCCGCAGCAGACTCATTGCTCAACATCTGATTGCACATGGCCTTGTCCTTTGACACTCACTCCCACAACAACCCTACCCCCACCTTCCTCCCATTTCCTATCTGGGTCCTGGAGCTCAGCCCACTGGGGCCTTGCTTCTCTCTGTGGCTCCACTCCTGACTGGGTTCAGCCCACACGCCAGCCTTCCCCCGCTCCAGCCACAGGGCTCTGGTCTGATGGCCTCAGGCTGTCCTCGCCTGCCTCAGATCCTTTGAGGAACAATTCAGGGTATAAACAAACCGACTTACTTGGACTTTTTCCTCATCTTTCTAGCACAGTGCTGTCCAACAGAACCTTCCATGCTGATGGAAAGATTCTATATCTGCTTTGTGCAATGTGGTGGCCACTATCAACATGTGGCTATTGGGCACTTGATGTATGGCTAAGTGTGAACGAGAACCATATTTTTTATTTTTATTTTTCATTTTTAATTATAGCTGGGCATGGTGGCTCACGGCTATAATCTCAGCACTTTAGGAGGCCGAGGAAGGCAGATCACCTGAGGTCAGGAGTTCAAGACCAGCCTGACCAACATGGCAAAACCTCGTCTCCACTAAGAAATACAAAAATTAGCCAGGTGTGGTGGTGTGCACCCGTAATCCCAGCTACTTAAGAGGCTGAGGCATGGAATTGCTTGAACTCAGGAGGAAGAGGTCACAGTGAGCTGAGATGGTGCCACTGCATTCCAGCCTGGGCGACAGAGTAAGACCCCTGTCTCAAAAAAATAAGATAAAATAATACAATGCAAATATTTGTGGCTATTGGCTACCACACCGAACAGTGCAGCTCTAGAGAGAGGAAAGGCATGGGACTTAACACTCCTTTAACCTAACCTAGTGGCCTGGTGTCTCAGGAAGGTGTTTTGTCTGCTCTTTGAAGATACCCAGCCCTCATCTCTCCAGCTCCCAGATCTGTCTTCTTGTAGAATAACTGAGCATTTTGTTAAGCTCCTAAAATGTGTCAGACATTTTGCAAATGGAACCCAGATGTACTGGACCACCTGGAGGCTCGTCCCAGCATTCAAAAAAGGCTGAGATTCCAACGCTGCTTAGAAAGCACCATAGTAAGTCTCTCCTAAGAGTCTCTTGGGGAAGCACAGAGAGGAAATTTTTTCACAAAACACAAGGGGCTTCTATCCCTGCCCAAGTCCCAGTCCTCAGCACAGCAGTTCAGCTTCTCTCCTCCCACACCCCAAACCTAGTTCTGTTGCTGTCTTCTTGCTCTGTCACTCAGGCTGGAGTGCAGTGGTGTGATCTCGGCTTACCACAACCTCTGCCTCCTGGGTTCAAGCAATTCTCTTGCCTCAGCCTCCCAAATAGCTGGGACTACCAGTGTGCACCACCGTGCCTGGCTCGTTTTTGTATTTTTAGTAGAGATGGGGTTTCACCATGTTGGCCAGGCTGGTCTTGAACTCCTGACCTCAACTGATCCGCCCAGACCAGGCTGGTCTTGAACTCCTGACCTCAACTGATCTGCCCGCCTCAGCCTCCCAAACTGCTGGGATTACAGGTGTGAGCCACCACGCCCTGCCTTCATCTTTTCTTATTCAAAGAAATTTGATCTACTCTGGATTTTGCTCTGCCTCACCTCTCTTGAAACAGCATACAAACACGCCAGCTGCCACCCTTCCTCCTTGGCAGGAGAAAGAAGACAGAAGTGGCAAATACTTAGTATGTAACTCTTTCTCCTTTTAACCCTGTTACACAAGGTCGTGATTATCCCCAGTTTACAGATGAGGAAACAGTGGCACTCACTAGTTTAGGGCACACTGCTAGGGAATGGAGAAATCACAACACAAGCCCAGAGCTGTCAGACTCCTGAACAATGTCCTATGCCATCTGTCCCCACTCTCTGATGATAAAACCCCTACCGATGGCTGATGACTAAACCAATCCGCATTAATTTAACCAGCTACCTTGGGCTGGGCGCGGTGGCTCACGCCTGTAATCCCAGCACTTTGGGAGGCCGAGGCGGGCAGATCACAAGGTCAGGAGTTCAAGACCAGCCTGGCCAACATGGTGAAACCCTGTCTCTACTAAAAATACAAAAATTAGCCAGGCATGGTGGCACATGTCTGTAATCCTAGCTACTTGGGAGGCTAAGGCAGGAGAATGGCTTAAACCCAGGAGGTGGAGGTTGCAATGAGCCAAGACTGCGCCACTGCACTCCAGCCTGGCGACAGAGCAAGACTCTGTCTCAAAAACAAACAAAGAAACAAAAACCTGCTACCTTTAGAGCTCCTGGATTACTCCACCCCAAGGAAATTGTTTTTTAACCAGGAGAAAAAGACTTGACCCAAGAAGTGACTCAGGATCTCAAACCCAAATTTCTCAATCTGGACTTCAAGGCTTAGCAGGGCATGCTTAGCCTCCTCGCCTGTCACCTCCCAGTTGTGACAAGGTGAGCCTGTTCTCCAACTCATACCAACTCAGCTGTCCACCCAACCCATAGCCAGGCCCTCCCTACTACTAAGCAGGATGATGCTTCTCTCCCCCTTTTAAAATCATGATAAGCTGGGTGTGGTGGCTCACTCCTGTAATCCCAGCACTTTGGGAGGCCAAGGGTGGGGGGTGGATCACCTGAGGTCAGGAGTTCGAGACCAGCCTGGCCAGCATGGTGAAACCCCATCTCTAGTAAAAATACAAAAAAATTAGCTGGGTGTGGTGGCAGTTTCCTGTAATCCTAGCTACTCAGGAGGCTGAGGCAAGAGAATCACTTGAACCTGGGAGGCGGAGGTTGCAGTGAGCTGAGATCGCGCCATGGCACTCCAGCCTGGGCAACCAGAGCGAAACTGTGTCTCAAAAAAGAAAGAAAGAAAGAAAGAATCATGATAAAATACACATAATATAAAATATGCCATTGATATCATTTTTTGGTGTACAGTTCCGCAGCATCCACATTGTTGTGCAACTATTGCCACCATTCATCTCCAGAACATTTAAGCTTCCCAAACTGAAATTCTACACCCATTAAACTGTAACTCCCCATTCCCTGTTTCCTCCGGCCCAGCCTCTGGCAGACACCATTCTACTTTCTGCTTCTATGGGTATGCGCCTCATATAAGTGGAATCATACAGTATGTTTTTGTCCTTTTGTGTCTGACTTATTTCACTTAACATAATATCTTCAAAGTTCGGAAGTTCTGTTTCTGCTTTCCAGGTGTGGTGGCTCACGCCTGTAATCCTAGCACTTTGGGAGGCCAAGACAGGCAGGTTGCTTGAGGTCAGGAGTTCGAGACCAGCCTGGCCAACATGATGAAATCCCCTCTCCACTAAAAATACAAAAATTAGTTGGGCGTGGTGGTGGGTGCCTGTAGTCCCAGCTACTTGGGAGGTTGAGGCATGAGAATCACTTGAACCCGGGAGGTGGAAGCTGCAGTGAACAAAGATCGTGCCACTGCACTCCAGCCTGGGCAACAGAGCAAGACTCCATCTCAAAACAAACAAACAAACAAAAAACATACCAAGTTTCTATTTTAAGCTGAATAATATTCCATTATGCAAATTCCTACTTTAAGCTGAATATTATTCCATTATGTGTATATGCCATATTTTGTTGATCCATTCATCTGTTGATGGACACTTGAGTTGCTTCTACCATTTGATTATCGTGAATGATGCTGCTATTAACATGAGCATATGAATATCTGTTTGTGTCCCTGCTTTTTTTTTTTTTTTTTGAGACGGAGTCACGCTGTCGCCCAGGCTGGAGTGCAGTGGCGTAATCTCGGCTCACTGCAAGCTCCCCCTCCGGGTTCACGCCATTCTCCTGCCTCAGCCTCCCGAGTAGTTGGGACTACAGGCGCCCGTCACCGCTCCTGGCTAATTTTTTTTTTTTTTTTTTTTTGTATTTTTAGTAGAGACGGGGTTTCACGGTGGTCTCAATCTCCTGACCTCATGATCCACCCGCCTCGGCCTCCCAAAGTGCTGGGATTACAGGCGTGAGCCACCGCACCCGGCCGTTCTTGCTTTCAATTCTTTGAGGTATATAACCAGAAACTGAATTGTTGGATCATATGGTAACTCTCTTTAAGTTTTTGAGGAACCACCATGCTGTTTACTACAGCTGTTGCTCCCCTTTCAAGCTCATCCCACACTCCTCTGCTGCTCCCCTTTCAAGCTCATCCCACACTCCTCTGACATCTCCTACATTAGCTGGCATATTAGCTGTCGCACTTTAAAATGTGATACTGAACTCATTTCTCCTAACCCAAGGGTCTGGAGGAGACTCAATGGTGACGTGCCATGGGGCAGGTTTTGACCTGGTCCATTTCAGTGTTTGTGCTAGAAATTCTAATAAAAAGCATGTAGGTCTGCTAATCAAATATAAAGATGTTGCAAGATGAGAGGTCTACCACACGCAGAATGAAGATTTTAAAATACTGTGACAGGCCAGAGTGATGAAGCTATAAAAATAGCTTTTTTTCATTGAGTGCCATGATAGACCAATTGCAATGCTAAGTTTATTTCCTTTATATACCATTCATTGAAAGATCACAACTCTTTAAGATCAGAATTTTTTTTTTTTTTTTTTTGAGACAGGGTGTCATTCTGTTGCCCAGGCTGGAGGACAATGGTATAATCACGACTCACTGCAGCCACAATTCCCGGGCTCCAGTGATCCTCCCACTGCAGCCTCTTGAGTAGCTGGGACTACAGGTGCACACCATGATGCCCGGCTAATCTTTTTTTTTTTTTTGTAAAGACAAGGTCTGGGTTGGGCATGGTGGCTCATACCTGTAATCCCAGCACACTGGGAGGCCGAGGCGGGTAGATCACCTGAGGTCAGAAGTTTGAGATCAGCCTGGCCAACATGGCAAAACCCCATCTCTACTAAAAATACAAAAATTAGCTGGGCGTGGTGGTGCACGCCTGTAATCCCAGCTGCTCAGCAGGCTGAGGCAGGAGAATCACTTAAACCTGGGAGGTGGAGGTTGCAGTGAGCCAAGGTCACACCACTGCACTCCAGCCTGGGAGACACAGAGTGAAACTCTGTCTCAAAAAAAAAAAGAGAGAGAGAGACAAGGTCTCACTATGATTGCTGGTCTTGAACTCCTGGGCTCAAGCAATCCTCCCACATCGACCTCCCAAGGTGCTGGGATTACAGATGTGAGGCCTAGTTTACAGTTTTTATAATTTCATATAAATGAAATCATACAGTATGGACTTGTTAATTTTCATCTGGCTTCTTTACTCAGCATAATTATTTTGAGATATATCAATATTGTTCATTGTCATCGTATCAATACCTGTTCAAGTGGATCAGCAGGTTTTGTTTTGCTCAAATTCTATGGCATGGATATACTATAGTCGATGTATTCACTGTTGATGGACATTGGCTATTTCAAATAAAGCTGCTAGGAGCATATGCCTTAGAATGGACATATGCTTTCATTTATCTTGAGTAAATATTTTGGAGTGGAATGGCTAGGTCACATGAAAGATATATCTTTAACTATTTTTTAGGAAACTGCCAACTGTTCCAAAGTGCCTGTTCCATTTCATACTCCCACCAGCAGTGCTGGAGAGTTTTAATGCTCCACATCCTGGTCAATACTTGGTGTGGTCAGTCTTTTTAATTGTAGCTATTCTAATAGATGTGTAATAGAACACTTTTTTTTTTTTTCTTTTGAGACAGAGTCTTACTCCGTCACCCAGGCTGGAGTGCAGTGGAGTGATCTTGGTTCACTGCAACCTCCGCCTCTTGGATTAAAGTGATTCTCGTGCCTCAACCTCCCAAGTAGCTGAAATGACAGGCATGTGCCACCACATCTGGCTAATTTTTGTATTTTCAGTAGACAGGGTTTCGCCACATTGGCCAGGCTGGTCTCGAACTCCTGACTTCAAGTGATCTGCCCACCTTGGCTTCCCAAAGTGCTGGGATTACAGGCATGAATCCCACCGCGCCCGGACAGAGATCACTTTTAAACGAATCATATTACAAATCAAAAAGTGTCTAGAGGAAAATGCTAGAAGGCACAGGATCTGGAACCAGAGCCCAAAGGAAAGGGGGGAGGGGAGGTTAGGGGGATGGGTATCTGGCTTAGAGAAAGGAGGTTATCTTAAATATCTGGAAGAGGGATTACATTTGTGTTTAGAAGATGCACTAGAACCCAGAGGGAAAAGCCAATGGGAAACAGACTTTGCTCCATCAAAGGACTGTCTGATACGGCCTTTCACAGGCAGAATGAGCTTTTCAAGAAGTGAGATCCCTGTTACTGGAAGTGTTCAAGCAGCAGAATTTGGAGGCATCCCCTCTCAAGGACTGTCAATTCACATTGGTTCTGTACCTACTATGCTCTGCAATAGGGGCAGGGCTGAGAAGATACAAAAGCAAAGTTATCACGCTTTTGCCTAAATAATATCATGTGATTAGGGCTCTGGCTAAGGTATGTGCAAGGGTGATGAGAGGGAGAGGAAGGTGGAGCTTCCCAGAGGAGGCGACACTGCAGCTGGGTCTCAGGCATGCAATCAGACACCATGAAAGAACTCCTTGGCAGGGTTGGGCACATCCCAGCACTTTGGGAGGGAGGCTGAGGCAGGAGGATAGCTTGAAGCCAGGAGTTCAAGATGAGCCTGGGCAACAAAGCAAGACCTCATCTCTACCAAAAAAAAAAAAAAAAAAAAACCTAGACAGGGTGGATGGGAGTTGGGGTTAAATGACCTTCTATTTTCTAAGATTCTAAAATTAGGCTACATTTATTGCTAGGCGCGGTGGCTCACGTCTGTAATCCCAGCACTTTGGGAGGCCGAGGCGGGCGGATCACGAGTTCAGGAGATCGAGACCATCCTGGCTAACACGGTGAAACCCCGTCTCTACTAAAAATACAAAAAAATTAGCCGGGCGTGGTGGCGGGCGTCTGTAGTCCCAGCTACTCGGGAGGCTGAGGCAAGAGAATGGTGTGAACCCGGGAGGCGGAGCTTGCAGTGAGCAGAGATCGTGCCACTGCACTCCAGCCTGGGTGACAGAGCGAGACTCCGTTTCAAAAAATAAATAAATAAATAAAATTAGGCTACATTTATTAAACAACCTAAAAGTCCAGCAGTAGGGTCCTGGCTATATAAATTGAGGTCTATCTTTAGAGTAGAATAATATTCATCTGAAATATAATCTAGGATGTTCTTTACATACTGATATAGAATGATCTACAAGACACACTAGGTGAGAAAAGTAAGGTTCATACACTGTGTGCCATGGGCCAAACTTTGAATTTTTTTATTTTTATTTTTTTCTATTTTTATTTTTATTTTTATTTTTTTTTTTTTTGAGACAGTCTCGCCCTGTCGCCCAGGCTGGAGTGCAGTGGCGTGATCTTGGCTCACTGCAACCTCTTCCTCCCGGGTTCAAGCAATTCTCTTGCCTCAGCCTCCCAAGTAGCTGGATTACAGGCATGTGCCACCACACCCTGCTAATTTTTTTGTATTTTTAGTAGACATGGGGTTTCACCATATTGGCCAGGCTGGTCTTGAACTCCTGACCTTGTGATCTGCCCACTTCTGCCTACCAAAGTGCTGGGATTACAGGCGTAAGCCACCCCACCCAGCCAACCTTTGAATTTTTAAAAGGGGTCTAGCGGGCTTTTCGGCTCTCAGCTCAGAGGAGGCCAAGGTGCAACTTTCTTCGGCGGTCCAGAATCTGTGTTCATCCAACACCAGCCGCCTCCACCATGTGGCCGAAGTTCAACCCCAGCGAGATCAAAGTCGTATACCTGAGGTGCACTGGGGGTGAAGTCAGTGCCACGTCTGCGCTGGGCCCCAAGATCGGCCCCCTGGACCTGTCTCCAAAAAAGGTTGGTGATGACATTGCCAAGGCAACGGGTGACTGGAAGGGCCTGAGGATTACAGTGAAACTGACCATTGAGAACAGACAGGCCCAGATTGAGGTGGTGCCTTCTGCTTCTGCCCTGATCATCAAAGCCCTTAAGGAACCAAGAGACAGAAAGAAACAGAAAAACATTAAACACAGTGGGAATATCACTTTTGATGAGATCGTCAACATTGCTCCACGGATGCGGCACCGATCTTTAGCCAGAGATCTCACTGGAACCATTAAAGAGATCCTGGGGACTGCCCAGTCTGTGGGCTGCAATGTTGATGGCCGCCACCCTCATGACATCATAGATGACATCAACAGTGGTGCTGTGGAATGCCCAGCTAGTTAAGCACAAAGGAAAATATTTCAATAAAGGATCATTTGACAAACAAAACAAAAATAAAAGGTCTAGTGACACACACACATGCACGCGCACGTGCATGTTTTTACTGGCGTAATCTAATGTCCCTGGGCCACATGGGTTGCCTTTGAGAGGGGAAGCAGCTAGGAAACAAGTCTGTGAAAGAAACTGTATTTTACATACCCTCCTGTGCCCTTAGAATTTTAACTGTGTGAGTGGGTTGCCTATTTAAAATAAAATGAAAATAAAACTAAAAGAAACCGTTTTGAAATAAATTAAGGCCGGGAGTGGTAACTCACGCCTGTAATCCCAGCACTTTGGGAGGTTGAGATGGGCAGATCACCTGAGGTCAGGAGTTTGAGACCAGCCTGGGCAACATGGTGAAACCCCGTCTCTACTGAAAATACAAAATTAGCCGGGCGTGGTGACGAGCGCCTGTAATCCCAGCTAGTTGGGAGGCTGAGGCAGGAGAATCGCTTGAACCCAGGAGGCAGAGGTTGCAGTGAGCTGAAATGGCATCATTGCACTCCAGCCTGGGCGACAAGAGCGAAACTCCATCTCAAAAAAAAAGAAAGAAAAGAAAAGAAAAGAAAGAAAGAAGGAAGGAAGGGAGGGAGGGAGGGAGGGAGGGAGAGAGGGAGGGAAGGAAGGGAAGACACCTCCCTAGTTCAGCACGCGGCCCCATCGTGCGTTCCTTTCCCAGTGTCCATCTCTCTCTGTTGAACCAGGCCTGTGGTGAGTCTCCCCCTCAGAGGGGCCTCCCCAGAGAGCTTCTATGGCATTCCCACCTCCCTAAGGCCTGCAGCATAACCGACTCCCAGGTGAGGCGGATGAGGCTGGTCATACACCACCCTTTGCGTAGGGAGGGTCTAGAGCTCTGAATGCTCTGTGATGAGGCTCACGGGTTAAGCATCATCAGGTCTGGAGAAGCTGCCCTGGTCCAGAAAAGAGGAGGGGATGCAACAGTGGAGGTTCTGCCAGAGAGCGAGGCACATCTCTCACTGATCTGACCTGGGCCCCTCAGCCCCTGGTTTCCATCCCCACCCACCACTGTTCTGGGGGCAGCACAGACTGGCTTCCCCAGCCGCCTGCCTGCACCGAAGAAAGGCCCAGACAGTAGTGGGACAAAACGGCACCCCATGAGGGCCCAAGGGGTGAGTGCGGAACATGGGCTGGGATGCAGTGGCCTAGACTTCACAGCTAAAGAAACGCCTTTCCTCTTTCTCACAGGCTAACGGTGGCTCGTGGCTGCGGGCCATCAGCCCTCCCTGAAAATTCAGAAGCCAAACCAAACCTCCTTCAGCCAACAAAACCAGACAGTGTCTGACACAGCCTCTTTCTCTCAGTAAAAAGCAGACGTCTTGGATCCAGGTGTGGCAGGACCACCTGCTCTGGCGGAAGGCCAGTGGCCCTCCAGTGGGGGTCTCCTCACCCACCCAGGACAAGAACTGACCTGAGAACCTAGAAATCAAGCTGCTAACACCTCCACCGCACCCCTCGCCCCAGGGGACAAGGTAGTTTTCCAGGCCACACACGTGGGTTTCCCTGATGAGGCATTTTTCTGTATGACAAAACCCTGCTCTTGGCCGCTGCCAGAGAGAAATGAATGTGGACTGTGGTGTGAGGGAAGCCAGCAGGTTTGTTCCCCTCAGGGCTGCCACCACCCCTGGCTGGAGCAGGTGGGGGCCTACAGTGACCACTGGAGGGGTGCCAGGAAAGGGACCCCTCCCCCTACATCATCCCCACACACCTGTGACCATTCCTGAAATTGCACCGTGCACATTCATTCTTGGAGGATGAGAAATTGCGTCTCTTAAAATGTTTCCACCCACAGGAGAGGTAATACATTAAGCTGTTATCAGTCATCTACACCTTAATGTGAATTAGTTGATCAGTCTTGGAATGCTACACCTGGAATGAGGCCTAGTTCAGCCCCTTTTTTACAAGTCAGGAAGCCCAGAGCAGGAGGTGACTGACTTAAGGTAAGGCAGCAAGGTGGTGACCAGGCCAAGGGCAGGAAGAGCCCAAAGGGATGGAAGGTAAACACGTGACTGGGGGATGAGGGAAACCGCAATGTGATCGAGACGAGTGGGGGCATCTTCAGGCATTCATTCCACAGACTAACACAGAGCTGTATCAAGGTTTCCCCCAAGAGAAGGGCCGCTCCCCACCCTAGAGCGTGAAATGTCTTTGAAGTCTCCTGTTTAATCTTAAAATTCATTCACATGCAACATTCTACTCCCTAATATATAGTAATTTGTTTTCACGTCAACATAATTGTGAGATTTATTGAGTGAGATACCACTTTCCATTTACCAGAAAGGCTGAGATCAAAGTTTGTGGTTCTGGGGACAGGACTGGGATGGCTGCGATGGGAATGTGGAGACCTCTCACTGCATGCCCTTCCCTACCTTTTTAAATTTTGTGTCATCTGCAAACATTACCTAGTCAAAAAATTAATAAAATACTTAAAAATATGAGTTGGTTAGGACATGGGGAAATAGGCATTCTTGTTCTGGCAGGAGGTGGTGTGGACAGAAACTTCTGTATGTTGGACAATAGTGATATTTATCCAAATGTTAAACAGGCACACCTTTTACCCAATGATATCTGGTCTAGTCTAGGAACTTCACCCACACCTGGGGGAAACGACACCCAAGTCTGTTCACCACTGCATGATTTGTGCTGATCCTGAGAGGCTGGCCTGAGCATCTAACCCTCTTTGAAGACTATGCTGACTCTGAACAAAGACCAGAAGCTAGACTTCCTGTCTGGCGATCTTCTCCAACCACCTCTTTTTTTTTTTTTTTTTTGAGACAGAGTCTTGCTCTGTCTCCCAGGCTGGAATGCAGTGGTGTAATTTGGGCTCACTGCAAGCTGCGCCTCCCAGTTCAAGCGATTCTCATGCCTCAGCCTCCCGAGTAGGTGGGATACAGGCACGTGCCACCACACCCAACTAATTTTTATGTTTTTAGTAGAAACAGGGTTTCGCCATGTTGGCCAGGCTGGTCTCAAACTCCTGGCCTCAGGTGATCCACCTGCCTCGGCCTCTCAAAGTGCTGGGATTACAGGCATGAGCCACCACGCCCAGCCACCAACCACCTCTTGTTACATAACAACTGGGCTGGGTGTGGTGGCTCCCCTGTAATCCCAGCACTTTGGGAGACTGAGGTGGGAGGATTGCTTGAGGCCAGGAGTTCAAGACCAGCCTCGGCAACATAGCAAGACCCCATCTCTACAAAAAAAAAATTTAAACTTAGCTGAGCATGGTGGCATGCACCTGTAGTCCCAGCTATTCAGGAAGCTGAGGTGGGAGGATCACTTGAGCCCAGGAGGTCGAGGCTGCAGTGAGCCATGATTGTGCCACTGCACTCACCCTGGGCGACAGATTGAGATCTTGTTGCAAAAAAAGACAAAAACAACAGATGCCTACAGAGTGCTCGATTCGTGCCCGGCTCTGTTACATAGACTAAACCCTTTCAGTTTTCACAACTTCATGAATTAACTACTACTATCATCAGCCATGTGTGATAGATGAGAATATTAGGGCCTATTAGTGCTAACCTTGCCCAAGGTCACACGTGCTAACCAAGCAAGTGGCAGAGAGTGGATTAATACCAGGGCCCATGCTCTACATCGCTGCACTACACTGCTTCTCCGCACAATGGATGGTACATGCGTGCATATTAACCACCATTTATTAAATACCTCTTATTTGCTAAGCCACTGTGCAAGTTACTTCACAGTGTTTTATACAAGGCCATCTCTATAGCCAGTCCTGTGTTGATTGCAGAATGGGGGTGGGGAGTGCCACTGAGGAAACTGAAGAAAACAGAAGAGACTATTCCCACCTTTAAGAAGCTGACAATATGTGGCCAAGTGCTCCAAGAGCACTTGGAATATTGTGGCTCCAAGAGCTACAATAGTGGCTCACACCTCTAATCCCAGCACTTTGGGAGGCCGAGGCGGGCTAATCGCCTGAGATCAGGAGTTCAAGACAAGCCTAGCCAACATGGTGAAACCCCATCTCTACTAAAAATCCAAAAATTAGCCGGGCATGGTGGTGCCCGTAATCCCAGCTACTCAGAAGGCTGAAGCAGGAGAATCATTTGAACCTGGGAGGCAGAGGTTGCAGTGAGCCGAGATCGCGGCACTGCACTCCAGCCTGGGCAACAGAGAGAGACTCCGTCTCAAAAAAAAAAAAAAAGAAGTTGACAATTTGTGTAAGATGACAACAAGCTTTCCATTTGTGCAACACCTCACAGTTTTCAAAGTCCTTTCATTATCTCATTTAATCTTCTTCACAATCCTGCCAAATAATTTTCATGATCTCTGCTCCAGAATGAGGAAACCAAAGCTTTCCAAGTCACAAGGGCCTGCCCCCAAGATCATCTAACCAGCCAGGGAAGAGCTGGAACTTGACCTCAGGTCTCATGATTCCCCCCCACCAAGGAGGAATGGCACACTACCAAGACAGCCCAGCTCAGTGGTTTGTAACCTGCCCCAGCATGAAGACCCCTTGTTCCCTTTGGAAATGACTGCAGCCCTGCAAAGGAGAGAAGCTGTTATTCTGGGCTTTGGTAAACGGGGAAAATTCATAGTGACAAAAAACAATCAGGCCTTCAGCACAGCTGAAAAGGAGTAGCACAGTTATACACCAGACATTACTTACACAGTTGGCAGATAGTATTTGGAGTTCAAATAGACATAGAGCTTCTTGGAATAATTCTGCAGCCCACAGGCAGTAACGACTGGCCGGGCCTATACTACCAAAGTAGTTCAGAGAAGGCACCATCTCTAAAATCTGTGTTCTTGACCAGGGCGTGGGGGTAGAGGGGTATGGGGGCATTTAAATTCAATGAGGTTGGCAAAAATCAGGACTGAAGAAATAGTGGGAGCAAAGGAGCTTGGCTGAGGGAGACAGGTGTATGGAGAGACCCAAAGGATATATGGATGTATGTGTATTTCTTTTGCAGAGAAGGGTTGATTCTAGATGCCCAATGGCCATTTGAACAGTTAGAGTAAGAGGGGGACTGGGAGTGGAGAGAGTGGTCTAGAGATGAGATAATGCTAGTCAAAATCCCTTACCTGATGCCTTTGGGTCAGATGTGTTTTGTAATGCAGAGTCTTTCGGATTTTAGAAAAGGAACACAGTGCCATGCCACATATTTTGCAAAGCCCCCAGCAGAATCTGGGATGTCATCAAATACTTTAAACAAATACTTTAATATTCCTGCAAAAAAGTACATGGAAAATTCACACTAGGTGGGAATAAAAAAAACTCAGGTTTTGTCTGGGTGCTGTGGCTCAAGCCTGTAATCCCAGCAGTTTGGGAGGCCGAGGCAGGCGGATCGCCTGAGGTCAGGAGTTCAAGACAAGCCTGGCCAACATGGTGAAACCCCATCTCTACAAAAATACAAAAATTAGCCAGGCATGATAGCGAGTGCCTGCAATCCCAGCTAGTCAGGAGGCTGAGGCAGGAGAATCGCTTAAACCCAGGAGGCGGAGGTTGCAGTAAGCCGAGATCGTGCCATTGCACTCTCCAGCCTGGGTGACAGAGTGAGACTCAAATCTCAGGTTTTGTTGCCAAATGTGTTTCGTTTTCAGAGCTTTTAGGTGTTTGGAGTTGTAGATGAGATATTGTGAACTTAAAAATTGAATAAATGTTACTTTTGGCTTGTTTGCATTCTAAGCTGATTGACATGCATTATCTCATTTAATCCTATGTCAGCACTATGAGGTTATTATTCTCAATTACCAGTGGAGAGAACCGAGGTTAAGAGATGTTGAGTGACTTGCCCAAAGTCACTCAGCTGGTCAGTGGCAGAGTGGGGACCAGAACCCAAGTCCCTGAGATTCCAAAGCAAATTCTATCTGCCTAGGGAGAAGCCCATTCTGCCAACCTTACAATTTTGTCTAGGTCAACCACTCTTAAGAAGTGAAATTATCCATCAAGGAACAAAGAGAACAACTGAAGTCCCAGCTTGTGGTACTGAGTTCTCACCTATCACTTTTAAGTATTTTGGATGGCCGCCCTCTACACCATACCATTTCCCAGTGCACCATGTGCCAGCTGAACAAAACAGGCAGCCACTCCATGCCCTGAGCCTGTAAAGATCCCTGGTGATCACTAATTTTTCACCTTCCAGAATCTGCTCAAGGCAGTGCAGTGCAGCAGTTAAGCACATGGATGTTAGAGTATGGAGGACACATCCCAGCTCTGCAACTCACCAGCTGTGCAACCCTGCAAGACATTACACCTCTCAGGGCTTTGGTTCCCTTACCTGTAAGATACGGTATTGGCTGGGCACAGTGGCTCACGCCTGTACCCCAGCACTTTGGGAGACTGAGGTGGGTAGATCATGAGGTCAAGAGTTTGAGACCAGCCTGGTCAATATGGTGAGACTCTGTCTGTACTAAAAATACAAAACTTAGCCAGGTTTGGTGGCGGGTGCCTGTAATCTCAGCTATTCGGGAGGCTGAGGAGAATTGCTTGAACCTGAGAGGTAGAGGTTGCCATGAGCTGAGATGCCACTGCACTCCAGCCTGGGCAACAGAGTGAGAATTTGTCTCAAAAAAAAAAAAAAAAAAAAGCCAGGCATGGTGGCTCACACCTGTAATCCCAGCACTTTGGGAGGTCGAGGTGGCGGTTCATGAGGTCAGGAGATCGAGAGTGAAACCCCGTCTCTACTAAAAATACAGAAAATTAGCCGGGCGTTGTGGCGGGCACCTGTGGTCCCAGCTACTCGGGAGGCTGAGACAGGAGAATGGCGTGAACCTGGGAGGCGGAACTTGCAGTGAGCTGAGATCACGCCACTGCACTCCAGCCTGGGCCACAGAGCAAGACTCCGTCTCAACAAAAAAACAAACAAACAAAAAAAAAAAAAAAAAAAAAACACCTGCCTTATTGCTGTTGTGAAGATTAAGTGAATGAATATACATTAAGTCCTGAGAAAAAAGCTGTCCTAGAATAAGCACTTGATGTTGTGCCTATGAAAGAGTCTTTTCTGCGCCCAACCAACCACTCCCTTCTCTACCCTGCACACTGGCCATCAGAGTGCTTGTACCACCTTTCCCCCACTTATTTGTCTGCTCCGACACCCAGGATAGAGTGCAGTGGCATGATCATGCTCACTGCAGTTTCAACCTCACGGGCTAAAGTGATCTTCTCACCTTAGCCTCCTGAGTGTCTGAGACTACAGGTGCACACCACCCCACCTGGCTAATTTTTTTATTTTTTGCAGAGACAAGGTCTCCCTGTACTGTCCAGGCTGCTCTCTAACTCCTGGGCTCAAGCAATCCTCAGGCCTCAGCCTCCCAAAATGTTGGGATACAGGCCTTAAGCCATGGCACCCAGCCTGTATCTGTTTTTTGCTAATAAACTAACATATTGTAAGGAGGAGTTGTGCTGTACTCAGTTCTGTCCCAGCACTCAACACAATGCCAGGCATACCATAGGCACTCATTTACTGCTGAAGGAATGAATGAATGAATGGGCTATGTCTGCAAGTGCTTATAATTTTATTATGGAGAAAGTCATCAATTTGAAAATAAATAATATGATTCTCATTTTCCACAGGCATATCATAAAATCCTATTTCTTGTAAAGCCGTAGGAAAGGGGGTTGGCAAAAATCACATAAGTTGCAATCCCAAGACACCATGGAGTTGACGGTATGCTGGGTGATGGGTTGTGCCCATGTGAAAAATAGCTGCACTGCACATGCCAGCCATGGGACAGTCAGTGCCTCTGGGAGTCTGGAGATGGGAGAGGGCAGAACAATATGAAATGAGTCACAAATGTGCATGTCATCCTTGCTCAAGGTAAAATAGGACTGTTGGGTAACAATAGGAACCATGTCACAAGGCAACACGAGGCAAGTGCATGCCTTTGAGTGATGGGCACAACCATGGGTGTGGGGTTCAGAGGATGGAAAGCCCCCTTCCCCAGGATGCTTTCTTCCTCAATTGCTTTCTTCCAAATCAAGATCTCATGTGAAGCCAGTGGTTCACACCTGTAAACCCAGCATTTTGGGAGGCCAATTTGGGCACAATCACTTGAGCTCAGGAGTTCGAGACCAGCCTGGGCAACATGGTGAAACCCCATCTCTACTAAAAATACAAAAAATTAGCTTGGCCTGGTGGTGCGCTCCTGTGGTCCCAGTTACTCAGGAGGCTGAGGTGGATCACTTGAGCCTGGGAGGCGGAGGTTGTGGTGAGCCAAGATTGTGCCACTTCACTCCAGCCTGGATGACAGAGTGAGACCCCATCTCAAAAAACAAAAAACAACTCATGTCGTTGGTGGTACACAACTGTAGAACTGTAGTCCTAGCTACTCGGGAGGCTCAGGATGGAGAATCGCTTGAGACCAGGAGTTCACGCAAGACCTTGTCTAAAAAAGGAAAAACAGGCCAGGTGTGGTGGCTCAAGCCTGTAATTCCAGCACTCTGGGAGGCTGAGGTGGGCAGATCACCTGAGGTCAGGAGTTCGAGACCAGCCTGGTCAACATGGTAAAACTCTGTCTCTACTGAAAATACAAAAATTAGCTAGGCGTAATGGTGCACAACTATCATCCCAGCTACTTGAGAGGCTGAGGCAGGAGACTTGCTTGAACCTAGGAGGTGGAGGTTGCAGTGAGCCGAGATTATGCCATTGCATTCTAGCCTGGGCGACAGAGCAAGACTCCATCTCAAAAAAAAAAAGACTGGGCGCAGTGGCTCACTCCTGTAATCCCAGCACTTTGGGAGGCTGAGGCGGGGGATCACGAGGTCAGGAGATCAAGACCATCCTGGCCAACATGGGGAAACCCCGTCTTTACTAAAAATACAAAAATTAGCCGGGTGTGGCAGCACGTGCCTGTAGTCCCAGCTACTCCGGAGATTGAGGCAGGAGAATTGATTGAACCCCAGAGGCGGAGGCTGCAGTGAGCCGAGATCGAGCCACTGCACTCCAGCCTGGGCGACACAGCGAGACTCCATCTCAAAAAAAAAAAAAGAAAAAGAAAATGAAAAAAAAATCTAATGTGGGTGCATCTGATCGGTGGAACTTAGGTCACCTGCTTACATGTTAGTTGCAAGGACATCTGGGAAGGTCAGTTTCTGGCCTTTACTTTGGGGAAGTGGGATTTATGATGTGGGAAAAACCCAAAATAGGAAAGTTGATCAAAAAATGCTGGTGACTGTAGGCAAGGCAAACGCCCCCTACATATGGTTTAGGATTTTTTTTTCTCATAAATACAGAATACTAATTTAATCATTCTCTGAACCTCCAGTGCCTAGCTCAGTGCCTGGCAGACAGCAGAACTCAATACACTAGAAAGGAAAGGAAGAGGGAGGAGAGAGAGATTGCACATTTACATGCTGCCTTACCAAGCAAGGTTGAATGAAGACTTGCTGTTTGGGTACATAAGACTCCCAAGGCCCTTTAGGAATTTGAAGGAAGGGGACTCCCTTGCACATACATGCTTAAGTCACACCTGTAAGCTCTGGCGTACAGCCTCCGGACCACATGAAACGCTCGATGTGTCCTGAGTAGTCGTCCACTTTCTCTGTAGCCCACCTGTTTGCTTACTGTCACTCAGGCTGTCACTGAATCTCCTCCCCTCCCTAGTCCCAGGAGAGGTTTTACTAGTCTCTGAAGGCCAATCTAAAACAGTTGTTGCAAAGGCAACGCCAGAGGCCTCCCAGGGTGATGACTATGTTGACAAAGATCACTGGCACCTAAATTCAAGCAGGTCTGTAAAACTCTGTCTTGTTCTTTTTTTTTTTTTTTCTTTTTGATATGGTGTCTCACTCTGTCGCCCAGGCTGGAGTGCAGTGGCGCGATCTCGGCTCACTGCAAGCTCTGCCTCCCGGGTTCACACCATTCTCCTGCCTCAGCCTCCTGAGTAACTGGGACTACAGGCGCCCGCCACTATGCTCAGCTAATTTTTTGGTATTTTTAATAGAGACGGGGTTTCACCGTGTTAGCCAAGATGGTCTCCATCTCCTGACCTCGTGATCCGCCCGCCTCGGCCTCCCAAAGTGCTGGGATTACAGGCGTGAGCCACTGCGCCTGGCCTGTCTCGTTCTTCATGGTCAAGGTGGGCCATGACAATGATAACATGGGTCCTGCCTCTTAAAGTTTATATTGTAGTTTAATTGGTGAGCACACACACGCTTAAATGATGAGCAGCTCTCTGGGTGCCAAATGAAATAGGAAAAAGCAAATGCTCCCAAGGTTTAAGGAAGACCAGGTTGGCATAGCTGAGCTGATGAGAAAAGGTGCTGGAAAGACGGGGGGCTGTTAAGGGATGAAGTAGTTAGAGTACGTGGGAGCTGTGGCAAACCTGCATTCTTCCCTAACCCTTCCAAACCAGGTCAGATCCCGGTAGCATCACCACGGTACCCTTCATATCAAGGCTGAATTTCATTTTGGTGATTATCTGATCCGGTGTCTGCCTCCTCCATTTTACAAAGATCTTGCCATTGTGCCCCAGGACAGCGATAGGTGGGCAGAGGCCAGTGAGGACCAGGTCAGGGCGAGGCTGCTGGGAGGGAGAGGCTGAGCCGATCACAAAGACAGTCTGCAGCTTTCCTCCTCCCCCTCCCCCAGGGAGGAGCAGCTGATGTGTTTCAGGAGTGTTCCAATCCAATTAGTGCCCTCCCTCCCCTCCACGGTGGCCCAAGCCACCACTCCCTTCCCCGAGGTGGAGACTGGGTGGGGAGGGGGTGCTGAGGAGGTCTGAACATCCTGACCCAGCTCCTCGTGGCAGCACAGCTGGCTCGCTGCTACTGAGCTCAAGGCTGCTATGACAGCGCTCGTTTCCAGGCGACTGTTCTGGGGAATGCTCTGTTTTGGCAACCAGAGGGCCCCCGGGTAAGGGGGGCCCGCAGGACGCCGCGTCATTTGCATGGCAACCTCCTCCCTCCCCGAGCTGCGCGCTGCTCTGCGGCAGGCGGGCAGCCTGGCCCGGCCGCCCCGGCCCCTCGCCCTCCGCCCAGGCCCGCCTTGCGGCTCCGGCGCGGCGCTGTCACCGCCTTCTCCACACCGGGAGGCGGAGGCTGCACGCAGAGCTAGGGCATTTCCGGAAAGGCTGGTGCCCTAGGGAAGTGGGGAAATGATGCTTGGGGACAAAACACTGAAATGGGGGAGGGGAAATGAAATAAAATCTTTCCAAGCCAGAGTCAAAGTCACATGGCTTGGTAGCATCAAAATGCATTCTGGATAGCAGGGTTGGCTCACAAAATGTTTATTTAGGTGAACTCACAGCTAAGCCCTAGGAGATACTCAGAAAATTTCTTTTGGATCATTACACTGCATGTGTGTGTGAATTTGGGAATGGGAAAAAATATTTCTTACCTAGGCAAATAAGGCAGTGATATTCTTAGGAAATATTTTCAAATTCTTGCAGGGGGACTTGGTGACATTGTATTTTCTGAATTTGTTGGAAGAAACCGAAAGAGAAAATAAATTCCTGGGAGCCTCCCTTCTCTCCTGCATATACCCACCCCACCCAAACCACACACACCAGCACAAGTCCATGATGCCAACTGGGATACCAGGGCTGTGACATGTGGACCAACATTAACTGCCCAAGGACACATGCCCTGGGCTGGAACCTGAGAGGGGGTTGGGCCGGGGCAGGTCACCCCAGCTGAGCGATCACATTTCCCTGGCAGCTGTCCAAGGGGCAGCTCCCAGCTGCACCTGTTTGTGGGGTGATTTGCTTTTATCAGTATTGACACAGCAGCAGGGCCAGGGAATAGCATAGTAATAAATAAATGAGAGAGGGAAAAAAAATAAAAAAAGGCCGGAGCCACCGAGGCGAGGCAAAAATGCTGAGGTCTTTTTTTGCTTGTATGTCAGCGCATTCAATCCAGTTTCCCCACCCCTGAAATCTCTGAGGATCACAGAGCAGGCTTGGCATGGGAACTCTGGGTCTTAAAGAGATAGAATTGCAGAATCAGAGGCATCTTAAGATCCTTTTGTGCCAGGCGTCCCTAACCAGCAGATCTCAGGGTTACTTGCTACCCTCACCTGCCCCTACTGTTTGTCAGGAACCTCAGCAGGAAGGGAGTTTCTTCCTCTCTCTGCCAACTTTAGCATCAGGGAAGTAGAATAATTCAAGTGGAGGGTCTGGAGTTAGTCAAACCTAGGATCAAATCCTGGCTCTGTCTAGCTGTGTGACTTGGGGTATATTAACTAACTACTCTGAGCCTCGATTCCTCTCCGGAAAAAATGGAGAAAATATCTTTCCTTTTTTGTTTTGTTTTGTTTTGTTTTTTGAGACAGAGTCTCGCTCTGTCGGCCAGGCTGGCATGCAGTGGCATGATCTCAGCTCACTGCAACCTCTGCCTCTCAAGTTCAAGCAATCCTTGTGCCTCAGCCTCCTGAGTAGCTGGGATTACAGGTGTCCGCCACCACACCCGGCTAATTTTTTGTATTTTTAGCTGAGATAGGGTTTCACTATGTGGCGCAATCTCGGCTCCGTGCAACCTCTGCCTCCCGGGTTCAAGCAATTCTCCTGCCTCAGCCTCCCAAGTAGCTGGGATTATAGGCGCCTGCCACCACGCCCAGCTAATTGTTGTATTTTTAGTAGAGGCGGTGTTTTACCATGTTGGCCAGGCTGGTCTCAAACTCCTGACCTCAAGTGATCCGCCCACCTCAGCCTCCCAAAGTGCTGGGCTGCCAGGCATGAGCCACCGCACCCAACCTCCCTCGGCTTTCTTTCCAGGATTGGAAAAAAATGCAGTACAAAACAAAAAGCAAAACAAATCTGTGGAATCTGATCTATTCCAGAAATGAGAGAGGGGAAGCAAGAGCCTGACGCTCTCTTCGTTCCTCAAATAGGGCCAAAGGTTGCCTCTTGGTTTTTCCAGCCTTGTTGTCACTCTTCAGGGGGCCGCAAGCTGACTCACCTATGCTCTAATACAATATGATACAGTAAGTCGGATGTAAACAAACCTGTTCACCAGAAGCCACCTGACCAAGCCTAGAGATAAAATGCACTTGTAAAAATTACTAGCAATAAAGTCACTACCATGTTTCAAACACGGAGGCAGGTCTCCAGGGTCAGGCTAGTGTATCAGCCATAAACATGGTTTCTGCTCAGACCGCTCAGCTCTAACCCCAGGCCTGACACCTACCAGTCACATGCCTGTGTCAGGTTATTTTACTTTCAGAAGCTTTGCTTTTCTTGTCAGTAAGATGGGGGCAAGAATACCCCATCAGCTTGTTGTGAGGACCAAATGCATGAAAAGCATGTAGTAAGAGCTTCACAGGGAGAAAATACTTGATCATGTTAGCACATGGGATCATTACTGTTAGATGAATGAGGCCAGACACTGTCATATTTATCTCTATATCCCCAGATCCTCAAGGCCTGGGATTTGGTAGGTACAGTAATGTTTGACGAATGAATGAATGCCAAGGCCCCTGCCCAAAAGAAGTCAAAATCTACTAGGGAAATATAAGACGTCAACTGCCCATGCCACTCACATGTGGGAGACAGCAGAGGGTTAAAAGCCATTCTGCCAGTCCCCAGGCCCCAGAGGAGGCAGTCCCTTTGATCCTTCAGTTTCATCTATCCAGGATGCTTTCAAGAGAGGAAAACAGGAAGTATCCCTGATAGCCCCTGCTTGCTCTTTTTTTTTTTTTTAAATGATGGGGAGTAGGAGGAGGATGGTCCTTTGGGTCACATTTTGTCAGGAAATCAGCCTCCTTCCTTTCAAATGCTGGAGCTTCCAAGGGGGCAGATAAATAGCTTCTTGCTCAATGCAAAGAGAAAGATGTGGTCCAGGGTAACGAGTTAGGGTTCCTTAGTTGACCACATTACTGTAACCAGATTGCAGGTGGTTTCAGACTATGTCGTCCTTCGCTTTCATTCACTCACTCACTCACTGTTGACTAAGTGCCTAGCCCTGGGCTGGACCTTGGGGTTATGGCTCAGTGTCTAACGTCCAGCATATAAATAGACCAAAAGATACAGGACAGTGAGATCAGAGAAGGTGGGGTGAACACAGAAAATTAAGAACTCTAAAGGAGAAAACAGCAACAGGAATGAGAAAGAGGTTATAGAAGAGAGAAACATAAAAGAAAAAAAGAAAAAACCTGGAGAAGGATAAATGTATAGGAAAGAAAAAAAAAAACAAGTTTATAAGAATTTGTAGCCAAGACAATAAAAGCCTCATAATAGAGGTGCATGCAGGAGAAAGCCATAAGCTCCAGGGACACACAAGGATGACAGCATGGGTAGAGGCAGGAAGGAAAATAATGACTTAAGACTGCAGATCTGGTGCTAACTTAGCCAGCCCCAAAAAGAGAGTATTTGCTAACCCCTAGTGTGCTAAAGTCATATTTAAATGTTTAATTTGTTAATAAATTCAGTTATATTAATACTTTGTACATCATATTATGTACTTTGTACATAATACAATGTACATCATTTGCCAATGATGGACATTGGTTACATGGGTGGTTCCATTTGTCAACATTACACAGTTAAGATTTCTGCATTTCAAGGTATGTAAATTTCACTAGAAGTTAAAAAAAAAGAACTATAAGAAATAACCAGGCTGGCCAGGCGTGGTGGCTCATGCCTGTAATTCCAGCACTTTGGGAGGCCAAGACAGGAGGATCACTTGAGGCCAGGAGTTTGAGACCAGGCTGGCCAACATGGCGAAACCCTGTCTCTATTAAAAATACAAAAATTAGTTGGGTGTGGTGGCATGCGCTTGCAGTCCCAACTACTCAGAAGGCTGAGGCACGAGAATCACTGGAACCTGGGAGGTGGAGGATGCAATGAGCCGAGATCGTGCCACTGCATTCTAGCCTGGGTGACAGAGTAAGACTCTGTCTCAAAAATAATAATAATCATTAAATAACCAGGCTGGGCGCGGTGGCAGGTGCCTGTAATTCTAACACTTTGAGAGGCCGAGGTGGGAGGATCGCTGGAGGCCAGGAGGTGGAGACCAGCCTGGGCAACAAAGCAAACCCTTCCCACCACATATAGAGGAAAAGAAATAACCATCACGTGGGCAAGGTGGTGGAGGTAGAGATGAAACAAGAAAGAATGCTGATGATTGCTGAATTTGGGGGATCTATACATGGAGGTTCATTATATTGTTCTGTTGACTTTGAATTTCTTTGAAATTTTCCATAATAAAAGTTTCTAAAAGTGGTCCATAATGTGTCACTGTTATCCTCAAGCAAATTCTTTTGTGTTATCAGGAAGTCAGCTGAGACATTATCTAATCCAGTGTTCCTGTTAGAGATGAGGAAACTGAGGTGCACCTTGCCTTGTTCGAGGTGTTCTCAGATATCAAGTGGCAGAGCCGACGCTGGACTCTCAGGAAGAGCACCACCCTTTTGACCTTTCCACCCTCCCCTGCTCATGGGAAGCCAGCTCAGAGCTGGTCTTTGGCTGCAGATGGAATTTACCCCTTACCTTAGGTTACCTTTCCAATCCCCAGGCCCAGGTCTTGATGTGCAGGGAAATCGAGTGGGATCGGGGAGTCTCGTGGAGGCAAACCACTTTTCTCCTCCCTGTTTGGGTTCTCAAAGATAATCCTGAGTTTGCAGAAAGTCCATGAGGTCCCCTAGCTACTATATGTCAAAGGTGGGAAAGGAAACCCACACAATTCATCAAAGATTTCCGGCAAGGAATCAACACTGAAAGAAGAGTCCCAGCTCCTCGGCTAACAGGGGTGTTGCCTTAGTGCAGTCAATTCACCTCTCTTACCTTGGTTTTCTCACTTGAAATAAGAGAATGAAGATTTCGGGTTCTATTTATCTTACAGGGTTGACGGGAGGATCCCAAGAGAGGGGAAGCACTTTGAAAAGTGAAAAGGGGGGAGCGGGGGAGGGATAGCATTAGGAGATATACCTAATGTTAAATGACGAGTTAATGGGTGCAGCACACCAACATGGCACATGTATACATATGTAACTAACCTGCACGTTGTGCACATGTACCCTAAAACTGAAAGTATAATAAAAAATAAAAAAAAAAGAAAAGTAAAAAGAGGGCTCGGCACAGTGGCTCACACCTGTAATTCCAGCACTTTGGGAGGCCGAGGCAGGTGGATCACCTGAGGTGGGGAGTTCAAGACCAGTCTGACCAACATGGAGAAACCCCGTCTCTACTAAAAATACAAAATTAGCCAGTGTGGAGGCACATGCCTGTAATCCCAGCTACTCGGGAGACTGAGGTAGGAGAATTGCTTGAACCCAGGAGGCAGAGGTTGCAGTGAGCCGAGATTGCACCATTGCACTCCAGCCTGGGGAACAAGAGCAAAACTCTGTCTAAAAAAAAAAAAAGAAAGAAAGAAAAGTAAAAAGAGGCTGGGCACAGTGGCTCACGCCTGTAATCTCAGCATTTTGGAAGGCTGAGGCGGAAGGATCACCTGAGGTTAGGAGTTCCAGACCAGCCCCTGGCCAACATGGTGAAACCCTGTCTCTATTAAAAAAATGCAAAAATTAGCCAGTTGTGGTTGCAGGCACCTGTAATCCCAGCTACTCAGGAGGCTGAGGCAGGAGAATCGCTTGAACCCAGGAGGTGGAGGTTGTAGTGAGCAGCGATCGCACCATTGTACTCCAGCCTCGGCAACAAGAGCAAAACTCCGTCTCAAAAAAAAAAAGAAAAGAAAAGAAAAGTAAAAAGAGATGTACAAATTATTATTATCATTGTTTTGTTTTTCACCCAGGCTGTAGTGCAGTGGCGTGATCTTGGCTCACTGCAACCTCTGCCTACTGGGTTCAAGCAACTCTCATGCCTCAGCCTCCAAAGTAGTTGGAATTACAGGCGTGCACCACTATGCCCAGCTAATTTTTGTATTTTTAGTAGAGATGGGGTTTTGCCATATTGGCCAGGCTGATCTCGAACTGCTGACCTCAAGTGATCTGCCTGCCTCGGCCTCCCAAAGTGCTGGGATTATGGGTATGAGCCACTGTGCCCCATCAGCCACTGTGCCTGGCCCGTCCAAATTTGATGTAGCATTATCACAAAGTGAGGGGTGGGGGAAGAGCAAGAAATGACAAGGAAGGAAATCAGGGAACCTTTTGTAAGATATATATATATATATATATATATATATATATTTTTTTTTTTTTTTTTTTTTTTTTTTTTTTGAGGCAGGGTCTCACTGTGACACTCAGGCTGGAGTGCAGTGGCACAATCTTGGCTCACTGTAGCCTCGAACTCCAGGGTCAGGATGCATGCTATCACACCCGGCTAAGTTTTGATTTTTGATTTTTGTTTTTTGTTTGAGATGGAGTTTTGCTCTTGTTGCCCAGGCTGGAGTGCAATGGCATAATCGCAGCTCACTGCAACCTCTGCCTCCCAGGTTCAAGTGATTCTCCTGCCTCAGCCTCCCGAGTATCTGGGATTACAGGCATGCATCACCATGCCCGGCCAATTTTGTACTTTTAGTAGAGATGGGGTTTCTCCATGTTGGTCAGGCTGGTCTCAAACTCCCGATGTAGGTGATCTGCCCACTTCGGCCTCCCAAAGTGCTGGGATTACAGGCGTGAGCCACCGCGCCAGGCCCATTTTGTAGTTTTTGTAGAGATGAGGTTTCGCCTTGTTGCCCAGGCTGGTCTCGAACTCCTGAACTCAGGCAATCCTCCTGCCTCATTCTCCCAAAGTGCTAGTGCTGGGATTACAGGCATGAGCCACGGTGCCTGGCCTGCAAGATTCTTGAGTATTCTCTTTTGGGTTGCGTCTTTGAGGAGAATAGGCTTTGGGGAGCGGGTAATATAGCATTTATTGATGCCTTGCACCATGCCAGACATTGTGTTTTGTTCTCTCTGTAATATCTTGTTTACTCCTCCAAATCACCCGACAGGGAGGTACTGTTATTTTGCTCATTTTGCAGACAAGGAAACAGAGGCATAGAGATGGTTTGGCAACTTGCCCAAGGTCAGACAGCTAGTTAGGGCAGAGGTGGGACTCAAACCCAGTCCATCCTGGGAGTGAAGCCCATGCTCTCACCCCAGGCCTCTCATCTGAGAGCCAAGGGGGCTGAGGAGGCAGCTGAGCCGCCGAGGAATGGCTGGCTGACACCTGGGCATTCGACTCACAGTCAGGAGACCTGGACTCGAGCTCCAGCTCAACTGCTTATTAGCCATGTGACCTGGGCCAAGTCATGCCACCTCTTGGGGCCTCAGTCTCTTCAGCTGCAAAACAGTGATAATAAAACCTGCTCCACCTACTTCGTGGGGCGATGTGAGGATTCCATGAAATCAGTGATAATGCAAATGCTTCGAAAACAACTGCAAAGGGCTGCAGAAATGAAGAGATCATGGTAATTTCTTCAGAGAAGCGTCTCCTGGATTATCTCTTGGTGACATTCTAGCTCATCTCCTCCACCTATCCTCAACAGCCTGAGTGTTGGAAGTCAGAACCCTGACCTTGTGGGTCTCTTCCAATACCGCTTTGGTGCAGAGGCAGAAGACAGCTGTTACAGACCGTACCCACTTAAGAATTCTCCAAACAAACATATTAGAGCATTGGCTTAAGGTTCAATCCTACACCAGGAATTTCAGCAAGGGCCCCTGTCTCCTGTTTGTCGTAAAACAAACAGGCTTTCAGCTACTTGGGCAGGATTTAACTAGCGATCAGCCCTAGAGATAAGTGGATCACGCTCAACAAGCTCACATGGGAATAATTTGTACCCAATAGCAGTTTATAATTTATATCTTTGAATCCACAGTCAGGGAGTTAGTTATCTTTGCAGTGACTAGAGACACAGACTCCCCCCATATTACACGCCCCCTCTGTCCAACACAGAGCTAAATGAGAAGCAGAATGAGTAATCGGGAGACTGAGTAGTGGGCATGAAATCACAGTCCAATGTGTGAATCGCTCATTCTTACTAGAAGCCTGTAAAAATTGGAAGGTGGGACCTCCTTCAGTTTATCTGTTCTGTATACCACCCCCCACCTCTCGCTTACCCGTCATACCTATAGCACTAAGCACAGTGCCTCGCACAACAGCTCAGAGAATGTTTCGAAATGAGTGGAATTAGGGGAAAGAGAATGCAGTGGTTTCACAAGTTTCCTGGAGGTCAAGGTGAAATCTGGTGTTTGGCTCCTTCATGGGACCAGCTTGTTTGTGCCTCTTTTGTTGCGGCCTCTCCCTTCTGGAAACTCATCATCCAGTCCTGAATAGAGTAGCAGCATTCAACTCCATCTAAGCTTAAAGGGACTATGTTTCCAAACCCCACATCAGGAAACAAAGCTTGATGGAACATTTGAAACCAGGAATCTATATCCCAGAAGGATCCACGCCCTTCTGTTTGCACTTGGATTTACACTATCCTCTTTCTGCATTTTGACAGATTTTTCTGAGTCCAGTTTACCAGTTTATAGCTTTCCTTACAATGACTCAGTTACTCCTAAATACATCTAGGGAGATCCCTTAGACTCATCAGTAGACTTTCAAATCACCTAACCCAATGGCTTATTGATCCTATTCTGAAGTTTGCTCGGTTCTACACTTTCTTCTTCCAATGTCTTCTTGGAGGCCCCTACACTATGCATCTACTACCCAGAGCACAGGTGGGGCGGGTAGAACATCTGAGCACAGAGAGAACCCTAATGTGCTAGGTGGTGCAAGAAAGGTCTTGGATTCTGTTTCCAGCTCTGCCTCTAATAATGACTAGCCTGGCCAATCCCTTTAGTAGAGATGGGTGAAACCCCATCTCTACTAAAAATACAAAAAATTAGCCAGGCATGGCTGGGCACGGTGGCTCATGCCTGGAATCCCAGCACTTTGGGAGGCCGAGGCAGGCGAATCATGAGGTCAGGAGTTCAAGACCAGCCTGGCCAACATGGTGAAACCCCATCTTTACTAAAAAATACAAAAAGTTAGCTGGGCATGGTGGCAGGCACCTGTAATCCCAGCTCAGGAAAATCGCTTGAACCCGGGAAGCGGAGGTTACAGTGAGCTGAGATCGCACCACTGCACTCCAGCCTGGGCAACAGTGCAAGACTCCGTCTCAAAAAAAAAAAAATTAGCCAGACATGGTGGCGGGTGCCTGTAATCCCAGCTACTTGGGAGGCTGAGGCAGGAGAATCATTTGAACCCAGGAGGCAAAGGTTACAATGAGCCAAGGTCGCATCATTGCACTCCAGCCGGGACAACAAGAGCGAAACTCCGTCTCAAAAACAAACAAAACAAATAATCATTGGTGCACACATGACAATCATTGGTGTGTCCTTTGGTAAGTCAGTTCCCTCTAGGTCTCATCTGCAAAATGGAGAGGAAGGTTAGGCAGCACAGACTCAAGGTCTTAATGATCTCTTGCAAGTCAAGCACTCAATAAGTCATGAGATGGGAGAATTTGCCCACATGCTCGGCTTTCCCTTCTGTAGTTTAGGGATAAATGGTCTATGCTCCTATCTAAGGCATACACCTTCACTGAGCACGAGATCCCATCCCCTCACTCCAGCCATTCTCCCTCCTCTCTCCTGCGTCATGTTTTTTCTTCTTTGCTGAATCATTTTCATCAGCACATAAATATGTGTAATTTCACTCATCTTTTTAAAAAAAGTTGCTCTTGACCCTATGTCTTAGTCTGCTTTGTGCTGCTATAACAGAATACCAGAGGCTGGATAATTTATAAAGAAAAAACATTCATTTGGTTCACAGTTCTAGATGCTGGGAAGTCCAAGGTCAAGGGGCTGGCATCTGGCGAGGGCCTTTTTGCCACATCATAACATGGCATAAGGCATCATAGGGGCAACATAGAGGGGAATGAGGCGGGAGAAGGAAGGGGGCCAAGCTCAAGCTCATCCTTCAATGAGAAAACCACTCCCACAACAATGGCATTAATCCATCTGTGAGGACAGAGCCTTCATGGCCTAGTCACCTCTTTTTTTTTCTTTTTTTTAGATGGAGTATCGCTCTGTCGCCCAGGCTGGAGTGCAGTGGCGCGATCTCAGCTCACTGCAAGCTGGGCCTCCCAGGTTCACGCCATTCTCCCGCCTTAGCCTCCCCAGTAGCTGGGACTACAGGCATGCACCACCACGCCCTGCTAATTTTTTGTATTTTTAGTAGAGACGGGGTTTCACCATGTTAGCCAGGATAGTCTTGATCTCCTGACCTCGTTATCTGCCCGCCTCAGCCTCCCAAAGTGCTGGGATTATAGGCGTGAACTACGGCGCCCAGCCGGCCTAGTCACCTCTCAAAGGTTCCACCTCAAAACACTGTTGCATTGGGGATTACGCTTCTAACACATGAACTTTGGGGGACACATTCAAACCATAGCATCCTCTCCAGCTTGCATCCCCTTTCTCCACTCACCTTCATAGGAAAACGCCATAAAATAATTATTTATGTGGTCGGCCCTCCATATCCGTGGGTTCTGCATCCATGGCTTCCACCAACCAAAGGTCAAAACTATTTGAAAAAGGCCGGGAGCGGTGGCTCACGCCTGTAATCTCAACACTTTGGGAGGCCGAGGCAGGTGGATCACCTGAGATCAGGAGTTCGAGACCAGCCTGGCCAACACAGTGAAACCTCATCTCTACTAATAATACAAAAATTAGCCAGGCATGGTGGCGTGTGCCTGTAGTCCTAGCTACTCGGGAGGCTAAGGCAGGAGACTCGCTGGAACTGGGAGGTGGAGGCTGCAGTGAGCTGAGATTGCACCACTGCACTCCAGCCTTGGCAACAGAGCAAGACTCTGTCTCAAAACAAACAAAAAAATTGAAAGAAAGAAAAAAAAAGAAGCCAACAATAAAAACAAAATAGTGCAAATAGGGCCAGGTGCAGTGGCTCACACCTGTAATCCCAACACTTTGGGATGCCGAGGCTGGCGAATCATCTGAGATCAGGAGTTCGAGACCAGCCTAGCCAACATGGTAAAACCCCGTCTCTACTAAAAATACAAAACTTAGCTGGGTGTGGTGGCGCGCACCTGTAATCCCAGCTGCTCGGGAGGCTGAGGCAGGAGAATCGCTTGAACCTGGGAGGCGGAAGTTGCAGTGAGCTGAGATCATGCCACTGCACTCCAGCCTGGGTGACACAGTGAGACTCCGTCACAAACAAAATAAAAAAACCAACAAAAAGCATTCAAACATTATACAGCAGGAGTTGGCAAATTAAAGCCCACAGATCAAATCCTGCTACTTCAAATAATAATGATAATAATAATACAAATAGGCTGGGCATGGTGACTCAAGCCTGTAATCCCAGTATTTTGGGAGGCCAAGGTGGGCAGACAGCTTGTGCCCAGGAGCTCAAGACCAGCCCAGGCAACGTGGTGGAAACCCGCCTCTACAAAGACAAAAGTTAGCCTGGTGTGGTGGCATATGCCTGTGGTCTCAGCTACCTGGGAGGCTGAGACAGGAGGATCGCCTGAGCCCAGGGAGGTCAAGGCTGCAGTGAGTCATGATTGTGCCACTGCACTCCCCCCTCGGTGGCAAACAGAGGCCCTGTCTCAAAAAATAGTAATAAAACAAACAAAAACATACAGTATAACACTATTTACACTATTTACAGAGCATTTACATTGTCCTAGTTATTAAATTAATCTAGAGAAGATTTAAAGTATATGGGAGGATGTGTAGGTTATATGCAAATATTACACCATTTTATTTATTTATTTTTGAGATGGCGCCTTACTCTGCTGCCCAAGCTGGAGTGCAGTGGCACAATCTCTGCTCACTGCAACCTCCGCCTCCTGGGTTCAAGAGATTCTCCTGCCTCAGCCTCCTGAGTAGCTACGACTACACGTACCCCCCACCACACCCGGCTAATTTTTTAATTTTTTTAGTATTTTTAGTAGAGAGGGGTTTCACCATGTTAGTCAGGCTGGTCTGGAACTCCTGACCTCAAGTGATCCATCTGCCTCGGCCTCCCAAAGTACTGGGATTACAGGTGTGAGCCACCGCACCCAGCTATTACACCATTTTACATAAGAGACTTGCACACCCAAGGATTTAGGGGCCAGGAACCTTGGCTCACTCCTGTAATCCCAGTGATTTGAGAGGTGGGAGGATTTTTGAGGTGGGAGGATTGCTTGAACCCAGGAGTTCAAGAACAGCCTGGACAACATAGTAAGACCCCATCTTTAAAAAAAAACAACGGATTTTGGAGTCTTCAGGGACCTTCTGAAACCAATCCCCAGCAGATACTGAGGGATGGATAAGGGACAATTGTACTTTCTCCCCTTCCATTCTCTCTTTAACCCATTTGAATCATTCCGTAACTCCACCCAAGCTGCTCTTTATTAAGATTGTCAGTCCCCTCTAGCGTGGTTAAACCTACAGGCTATCACTTAATCGTCACCTTCCTTGACTGTTCAGCAAGGATCAGCTGAGCATTCCTCCTTCCTTGAGACATTTTTTTTTCTCTTGGCTTCCAAGACACTATATTCTCTTGATTATTTCATTAAGGTCCCCTTTGCTAGGTTCTCCTCATCTCCTTCACCTCTAAATGTTAGAGAGAGCCAGACATGGTGGCAGGCGCCCATAGTCCCAGCTATTCAGAAGGCTGCGACAGGAAGGAGCCCAGGAGGTCGAGGCTGCAGTGAGCTATGATCACGTCATTGCACTCCAGCCTGGGCAACAGCACAAGACCCTTTCTCTAAAAACAAAACAGATGTTGGAGGGTTGCAGAGTTCAGTCCTTGGATCTGTTCCCTATCTTACTCTGTTGCTGATCTCATTTAGTCTCATAGCATTGAACGTCACATGGCATAACCCACGTTCCCCTAGGAGGGGAACCTTAATAAACAGTTTGCATGTAGGTAGCTTATATAGGAATGAAATTCCAGAGAGCAGAAAAGAGGGACAGGAGAAGCTAAACAGCAAAAAAAGGAACACAATTCAAGAGAGCATTCTTGAGCTGCTCACCACTATGGGAGACAGATGCCTGACCCCAAAGGACCATCTAAGGAGATTCCGAAATGTTTGTCAAGGGATGAAAAGGGGAAGGCATTTGTCTCTCAGGTTTCATTCACTGTTGGAGGAGGAAGTGAATATTTCAGCCGGGCGGGATGGCTCATGCCTGTAATCCCAACACTTTGGGAGGTCAAGGTGGGTGGATCACAAGATCAGGGGTTCGAGACCAGCCTGGCCAATATGGTGAAACCCCATCTCTACTGAAAATACAAAAATTAGCCGGGCATGGTGGTGCACGCCTGTAGTCCCAGCTACTCGGGAGGCTGAGAATCGCTTGAACCCGGGAGGCAGAGGTTGCAGCGAACCGAGATCGTGCCACTGCACCCCAACCTGGATGACAGAGTGAGACTCCGTCTCAAAAAAAAAAAAAAAAAAAGGAAAGAAAGAAAGTGACTCTCTACTAAAATTAGCCGGGCATGGTGGCGCGTGCCTGTAATCACAGCTACTAGCGCGGCTGAGGCAGGATTGCTTGTACCCGAGAGGCGGAGGTTGTGGTGAGCCAAGATCGCACCACTGCACTCCAGCCTGGGCAACAGAGCGAGATTCCGCCTCAAAAAAAAAAAAAAAAAAAGGAAAAAAAAGTGAATATTTCAGGTGTGGGAGCAGCAAGAATGAAGGGAGAAAATCACTAACCCCTAACCTCTGCTCTTTCCTTCCTATCATCTCAGTGGAGTGGAAGGGGAATAGTAGGATGACTCTGGGCTTGACCAGGGGGCCGAGTTCTACTCAGCCTTATTCCAGCTGTAGGATTTAGGCAAGTTATTTGAACTTTCTGAACCTTGGTGTCTTCATCTACAAAATGAGGAAGATGACACCTACCATAATGAGATGTGAAGATTACATAAAATAACACAATAAAGTCCTTAGCGGAGGGCCACAGACAGGCAATGAGTAGTACCATGGTTACTACTGTGATTCTTTGACTATATGATAGGAAGCTGTGTGAAAAATACCTGCACCAATTGGGAGGCAGCTGCAACTGGCACAGAAGGTCATCCTGTGGAACAGTGAGATGCAGGGGCCAGACAGTGGAGAACACTGAATCCCAAGCTGAACTCTTGGTGCTGTAACATCGCTAAAGGATCTTGACCAGTGGACGCATAGAACATTGAGTGCCTGTGACAGGAGAGAACCCGAAGGCCTGAAGACCAACAGGAAGGAACACCCTGCCGCCACCTGGCCCTCCTCAGGCCCCTGCACATCTCCCCATCAATGCCCTTTTCGTGCCCTGTTGTAGTGACCTGTTTCAGACCTCTATATGGCCATTTCCCTGGAAAGCCCTTGAGGGCAGGGAGAAGGATGTAGTCAGCCCGATCCTCAAGCCTGGCACAGGCCTGACACATAGTAAGGCTCCATGAGTATTTGCTGAAGTCTTCTCTCTTTTTTTTTTTTTTTTGAGACAGAGTTTTGCTCTTGTTGCCCAGGCTGGAGTACAGTGGTGTAATCTCGGCGCACTGCAACCTCTGCCTCCTGGGTTCAAGCGATTCTCCTGCCTCAGCCTCCCGAGTACCTGGGATTACAGGCACGCGCCACAACGTCCAGCTAATTTTTTTGTATTTTTAGTAGAGGCGGGGTTTCACCATGTTGGTCAGACTGGTCTCGAACTCCTGACCTCAGGTGATCCACCCACCTCGGCCTCCCAAAGTGCTGGGATTACAGGCGTGAGACACTGCGCCCGGCCTGCTGAAGTCTTAATAACCTGAGTGACTGCCATGCAATAATTCACATGTGAGGATGAAAACTTGGGTGAGGATGATGGCAGCGAGAATGAGCATGGTCAAAATCGTAGAATATCTGGAGGAAGAGGAAGAAAACTGTTGCAATGATAATTTTTACATGGAAAGTCAAGAAGATATGTGATCCTTGGCTGGGTGTGGTGGCTCACACCTGTAATCCCAACACTTTGGGAAGCCAAGGCAGGCGGATCGTTTGAGGTCGGAGTTCGAGACCAGCCTGGCAAACATGGTGAAACTCCATCTCTACTACAATACAAAACTTAGCTGGGCATGGTGGCATGCGCCTTTAATCCCAGCTACTTGGGAGGCTGACGTGGGAGGATCACTTGAGACCAGGGGGTGGAGGTTGCAGTGAGCCGAGATCATACCACTGCACTCCAGCCTGGGCGACAGAGTGAGACCCTGTTTAAAAAAAAGAAAAAAGAAAAAAAGAAGACATGAGACCCAGTCTAAGAGGGAAAATACAGGTCTCAGTCCCAAGTCTGCTCCCAACTCTGGGTCCTTGAGTAATTTTTCATAACGTGGGCAAATGTGGTGTGCATGTCGGGGATGGCGACAGATAGCACGTGAGGCAAAAGATGTGGACTCATGATGAGCATTTAAAAGCTTTGAGCTGGGCGTGGTGGCTCACACCTGTAATCCCAGCACTTTGGGAGGCTGAGGCAGGCGGATCACCTGAGGTCAGGAGTTCGAGACCAGCCTGACCAACATGGTGAAACCCTGTCTCTACTAAAAATACAAAAATTAGCCAGGTGTGGTGGTGGGCGCCTGTAATCCTAACTACTCAGGAGACTGAGGCAGGAGAATTGCTTGAACCTGGGAGGCAGAGGTTGCAGTGAGTCAAGATCATGCCATTGCACTCCCTGAGTGAGAGAGCAAGACTCCATCTTGAAAATAAATAAACAAATAAATAAATATTATAATAAATTCTTTGAGCCAGGCCAGGCATGGTGGCTCACACCTGTAATCCCAGCACTTTGGGAGGCTGAGGCAGGCAGATCACCTGAGGTCAGGAGTTCGAGACCAGCCTGACCAACACAGTGAAACCCTGTCTCCACTAAAAATACGAAAATTAGCCCAGCGTGGTGGCGCGCGCACCTGTAGTCCCAGCTACTTGGGAGCCTAAGGCAGGATAATCGCTTGAACCTGGGAGGCAGAGGTTGTGGTAAGCCAAGATTGAGCCACTGCACTCCAGCCTGGGTGACAGAGAAAGACTCCGTCTGAAAAAAAAAATACATAAATAAATACATAAATAAAAGCTTTGAACCAGCCAAGCACGGTGGCTCACGCCTGTAATCCCAACACTTTAGGAGGCTGAGGTGGGCGGATCATGAGGTCAGGAGTTCAAGACCATCCCGGCCAACATGGTAAAACCCTGTCTCTATTAAAAATATAAAAATTGGACCCGGCGCAGTGACTCATACCTGTAATCCCAGCACTTTGAGAGGCCGAGGTGGGCGGATCACCTGAGGTCAGGAGTTCGAGACCAGCCTGGCCAACATAGTGAAACCTTGTCTTTACTAAAAATACAAAAATTAGCCAGGCGTGGTGGTGCATGCCTGTAGTCCCAGCTACTGGGGAAGCTGAGTCGGGGGAATAACTTGAACCCGGTAGGTGGAGGTTGCAGTCAGCAGAGATCACACCACTGCACTCCAGCCTGGGCAACAGAGTGAGACTCCGTCTCAGAAAAAAAAAAAAATTATTTTTGGGGGGCGTTGTGGTGCACACCTGTAGTCCCAGCTACTCAGGAGGCTGAGGCAGAAGAATTGCTTGAACCCAGGAGGCAAAGGTTGCACTGAGCTGAGATCGCACCACTGCACTCCAGCCTGGCGACAGAGCGAGACTCCGTCTCAAAAAAAAAAAAAAAAAAAGCTTTAACCAAACTTTACCCACTAGTAGCTAGTTGAGCCTGGATATATCATTTGCCCTCTCTCTGAGGCTCAGTTTTATCTAGTAAATGGGGATTATAAGGGGATAATAATGCCTGCTCTGCCTTCCAGGGTTGTTGAAAAGATCTAAAAGATTATAGATGTTCAGATGCTCTGAAAACTGTCAAGTGTTTTTAAAATGTAAGACAACTTTAGTAATATGGTGGTGATTAATTCCTCCATCTATAGTCTACTCAATTACTCATTTAAAGTTATGGAGGGGCTGACTTTGAAGGCTCAAGCTAAGTCATTTCACAAATACTTAGATAGGTTTTGTTTTTCTTCCTCTGTAGAAAGAGGAAACAAAGATTTCAGATAAGCTGAGATTTCCAGTTTTAGGTAAAAGTGCAGGGTGAGGCACGTCGGGGTGGCTCAAGCCTGTAATCCCAGCACTTTGGGAGGCCAAGGTGGGTGGATCACCTGAGGTCAGGAGGTTGAGACCAGCCTGGCCAACACAGTGAAACCCCGTCTCTAGTAAAAATACCAAAATTAGCCAGGCGTGGTGGCGTGGGCCTATAATCCCAACTACTCAGGAGGCTAAGGCAGAAGAATTGCTTGAACCTGGGAGGCAGAGGTTGCAGTGAGCCGAGATCACCCCACTGCACTCCAGCCTGGGCGACAGAGCGAGACTCTGTCTCAAAAAAAAAGGGCAGGGTGAGTGGTTAGTCTGTAGTTCCTGGGCATGGGGAGATAGCATGAAAGTGGGACCCTCAGGCCTTCAACTCCAGGTGAAGCTCGCACCTCCTCAGGGATCTCTCTCCTGCTGCATTAGGGAACTACTGCAAAGGTCCCCTCTCACCCAGGTGACTCCTCAACTAGTAACTAAAACAGAAAATTTCCCACCTGAGTATTATTGCATTGGTGCAAAAGTAAAGGGGGTAGCAAAAACCACCATTACTTTTGCACCACCCTAATAAAATTTTTTTTTTTTTTTTTTTTTTTTTGAGAAAGGAGTCTCGCTTTGTCACCCAGGCTGGAGTGCAGTGGCGCAATCTCGGCTCACTGCAAGCTCCACCTCCCGGGTTCACGCCATTCTCTTGCCTCAGCCTCCTGAGTAGCTGGGATTACAGGCATCCGCCACCACGCCCAGCTAACTTTTTGTATTTTTTAGTAGAGATGGGGTTTCTTTTTTTGCTTTTTTTTTTGAGATGGTGTCTTGCTCTGTCGCCCAGGCTGGAGTGCAGTGGTGCGATCTTGGCTCACTGCAAGCTCCGCCTCCCGGGTTCACGCCATTCTCCTGCCTCAGCCTCCCGAGTAGCTGGGACTACAGGCGTCCACCACCTCCCCCGGCTAATTTTTTATATATTTAGTACAGACAGGGTTTCACCATGTTAGCCAGGATGATCTCAATCTCCTGACCTCGTGATCCGCCTGCCTCGGCCTCCCAAAGTGCTGGGATTACAGGCGTGAGCCACCGTGCCTGGCCCACCCTAATAAATTGTAAAGCAACCACCTCATGGAGATTAGAGCAGAGATAAACATTGTTTTAAAGAGACTCAGCAGCTCCAGAAGACTCCATTGCATATTGCTTGAACACATTTTGGTATCTGCTGAGGCATATTTAGAATGCAGGCTCTTGCTGGGTGCAGTGGCTCATGCCTGTAATCCCAGCACTTTGGGAGGCCAAGGTGGGCAGATCACCTGAGGTTGAGAGTTTGAGACCAGTCTGACCAACACAGAGAAACCCCGTCTCTACTGAAAATAAAAATCAGCCGGGTGTGGTTGCACATGCCTGTAATCCCAGCTACACGGGAGGCTGAGGCAGAGGAATCGCTTGAACCCGGAAGGTAGAGGTTGCAGTGGGCCGAGATGATGGCATTGCACTCCAGCCTGGGCAACAAGAGCGAAACTCTGTCTCAACAAAAAAAAAAAAAAAAAGAAAAGAAAAGAAAGAAAAAAAGAAAAAAGCCAGGTATGGTGGCATGCACCTGTAGTCCTAGTTACTCGAGAGGCTGAGGCAAGAGGATCACTTAAGCACAGGAGTTCAAGGCTGCAGTAAGCTATGACTGTGCTACTGCACTCCAGCATGGGCAAAAGAGTGAGACTCTGTCTCTAAAAATAAAAATAAAGTAGGCTCTCAGGCCCCACTCAGATCCATAGTATCAGAATCTGCATTTAGCAAGATCCCCAGGTGATTCCCATGCAGATGAAAGTTGCAAAGCATCCTTTAAATGCAGGGTCAAAGGCTGGGAAAAGGTGGAGTTACTCCAGGTGACAGTGCTTATAGAGCACTATCCAGAGCGTAGAGAAGGGAGTTTTGGCCAACAGGCTTGGAATATTTATTAGCATCCCATAAGACGGGCAAGGCAATCCCTACTGTGGAGATGGCTGAGTCTGCCTGTAAAGCTTGATGTCCTTAAAGCTTTCAATCATCTGACCATTCCTTGCAATGAAACTGAGCTTCCCCAAACAATGTTCCTGTTATCACTGGGCTTCCACTTGATGCAAAGATTCAGGTCCACATAACATTAGAATAGACATTATTTTTTCTACTCGTAAACGAAACAATTGGCATTCTTATTTTATATACTAATCAAACAAAACCAGACAAAAATCAGACAAAATCAGGCAAGGGTCTGATTTTTTTTATTTACTCTGGTAAATAAATTAGCCACAGTGATAAATGCCACTTTAGACGGCTCTGTCCTGAGAGTGCAGACAGCCAGCAAGTCTCTTTCCAACCAACCATTTCTCATCTATCTTTGAATTAATTTCTTTCTTTCTTTTTTCTCTTTCTTTCTTCTTCTTTTTTTTTTTTTTTTCGAGGCAGAGTCTCGCTCTGTCGCCCAGGCTGGAGTACAGTGGCGCGATCTTAGCTCACTGAAGCCTCCGCCTAGCAGGTTCCAGCGATTCTTCTGTCTCAGCCTCCCGAGTAGCTGGGACTACACGCGCGTGTCACCATGCCTGGCTAATTTTTTTGTATTTTTAGTAGAGACAGGGTTTCACCATGTTGGCCAAGATGGCCTTGATCTCCTGGCCTCGTGATCTGCCCATCTCAGCCTCCCAAAGTGCTGAGATTACAGGCATCAGCATGAGTCACCACGCCCAGCCTCTTTCTTTCCTTTCTTTCCTTCCTTCTTTCCTTCTTTCTTTCTTTTTGACGGAGTCTTGCTCTGTTGCCCAGGCTGGAGTGCAGTGGCACAATCTCAGCTCACTGCAACCTCCACCTACCAGGTTCAAGCAATTCTCCTGCTTCAGCCTCCCAAGTAGCTGGGACTACAGGTGTGTGCCACCATGCCCTACTAATTTTCATATTTTTAATGGAGATGGGGTTTCACCATTTGGCCAGGCTGGTCTCGAAATCCTGACCTCAAGTGATCCGCCTGCCTCAGCCTCCCAAAGTGCTGGGATTACAGGCGTGAGCCACCGTGCCTGGCCTATCTTTGAATTTCTAATCATCTCATGTAATTGTACTCCATTGTTGCTCTAACAATGTGTCTCAATTTTGTCCTGTCAACTGGTAAGTTTCCTGAGGGCAGCAAAGGATCACAGCTGAAAACATACCTGTAGAAAGGACCAATCACCTACTGTGAACTTAAACCCAGACAGGAAAGAAAGTTCAGGCAAGGAGTATTTCACTGAGGTTTTCATACAGAAAAAAATGAGGCCAATTGAATGTGGACCCACAAGGGAATGGTTAACTGAATTATGGTATATATGCTCAACACAATGCTATGCAGCTATGGTCCACACAGATTACATGTGGTAATGTGGAAAATACCAATGATGTATATCCCGTGACAGTCAGACTCCCTGCAGGAAACAGATGGCACGCTCAAAATTGGGAAAATTGAGAAGGGTCTAATAAAGGGGCTATTTACAAAGGTGTGGGCGGCTCTGGAAAAGCGACAGAGCAGAGGGGCGCTGTTTCCATGGCTAGGCCAGGTGTCAAGGGGGAAGGGGGGCCCTGCTGGAACATGAGGGGAGAACTACCTGGAGAGGGTTCAAGGGCCCCCAGACAGGAGCTGCAGGCTTTGATGGAGGGACTCTGTTAGTCTTCGGTGATCTGGAAGGGAGGAAGAAGGGGAAGGAATATCCCTCAAACCCAACCAGAAGCCAGAGGAGGACAGGGGAGCAGCACACAGAAGCCTCCTGGAGCACCCAGCAGGGTGCAGGCGGATGGGGGGCAATCTGCAGGGGCAAACAGGAGATGTTGCTAGTGCTCCAAAACAACACTCCAAAGCGTGGCACTTTGGCATGAACTAAAGGAGGCTGGAAGGCCTCCAAAGCAGCCTCAGAAGTCAGTTCTCTCTGACCTCCTGCCCTCCTGTTTCTCGCCCTTGCTTCTTCCACCCAAAATCCTAGAAAACAAAATTCCCCTTCCCCAAAGCGGGTTATAGAAACTAGAATCCCAAGGCTGAGCACGGTGGCTCAGGCCTGTAATCCCAGCATTTTGGGAGGCCGAGCCGGGGGGGATCACTTGAGGCCAGGAGTTCGAGACCAGCCTGGCCAACAGGGCAACATGGTGAAACCCCGCCTCTATTAAAAATACAAAAATTAGCCGGGCGTGGTGGCGGGCGCCTGTGATCCCAGCTATTTGGGAGCCTGAGGCAGGAGAATTGCTTGAACCTGGGAGGCGGAGGTTGCAGTGAGCTGAGATCGTGCCACTGCACTGCAGCCTGGGTGACAGAGTAAGACTCCGCCTATTAAAAAAAAAAAAAAAGAAAGAAAGAAAAGGATGGGGGAGGAGGGGAGGGGAGGGGGGAAGGGAGGGGAGCAGAGGGGAAGGGGAGCAGAGGGGAAGGGGAGCAGAGGGAGAGGGGAAGGGAGTGGAAGGGGAGGAGAGGGGAGGAGAGGGGAAAGAAAGGAAACTAGGATCCCTCTCCCCAATAGCAAGCCCTAAAACCTAAAAAGGTCACTCTCTCTCCCTTCTCCCTTCTTTTATTTTTCTTGAGACAGGGTCTCTCGCTCTGTCGCCCAGGCTGGAGTGCGGCATCGCGATCTCGGCTCACTGCAACCTCCGCCTCCTGGGTTCAAGCAATTCTCCTGTCTCAACCTCCAAGTAGCTGGGATTACAGGCACACACCATCAAGCCCAACTAATTTTTATATTTTTAGTAGAGATGGGGTTTCACCATGTTGGCCAGGCTAGTCTCAAACTCCTGACCTCAACTGATCCGCCCGCCTCAGCCTCCCAAAGTTCTAGGATTACCAGCGTGAGCCACCGCGCTCAGCCTCCATTCTCCCTTGAAGACCTTCATTCCAGAAGGTCCTGCCCCAGACCCTGGAGGAAGGAATGCTACACAGGGAGACCAAGGCGAATCTGCACAGAAGGCCTTGCTGGGCCTCCCTCTCAGTCTGTTACCACTAGATCATCCCCTTTTGTCCAATCCTGTTTCTACACAGCTGTCCATTCTTCACCCAGCCTAAGCAAAAAAAGAGACCATTTTCCCTGGGTCTTTGGACCTTCATTTCTGAAGGCTCCTACATCAAGCAAAACTTGGATTAAATGAATTTGTTGGGCCGGGTGCAGTGGGTCACACCTATAATCCCAGCACTTTGGGAGGCTAAGACGGGAGGATCGCCTGAGCCCAGGCATTCGAGACCAGCCGGGGCAAAATGGCGAGACCCTGTCTCTACAAAAAATTTAAAAATAAGTCGGCCATGGTGGCACATGCGTGCCTGTAGTCCCAGCTACTAGGCAGGCTGAGGTGGGAGGATCCCTTCAGCCCAGGAAATCGAGGCAGCAGTGAGCTATGATGGTGCCACTACACTCCAGCCTGGGGCAGAGCAAGACCCCAGTCTCTAGAAAAAAAAAAATAAGTAAATAAATAAGTTTGTTGCCAGGCCCAGCTTTCTAGGAGTCTGAGGCAGGAGGATCGCTTGAGCCCAAGAGTTCAAGGCTGTAGAAAGCTGTCATTGAGCCTGTGAATTGCCATTGCACTCCAGCCTGGGCAACATAGCAAGACCCCCATCTCTATAAATAAATAAACAAACAATGAAATGTGTGTTATGCTTTTCCCTTTTTTTTTTTTTTTTTTTGAGACGGAGTCTCGCTCTGTCGCCCAGGCTGGAGTGCAGTGGCGCGATCTCGGCTCACTGCAACCTCCGCCTCCCGGGTTCACGCTATTCTCTTGCCTCAGACTCCCGAGTAGCTGGGACTACAGGCGCCCGCCACCACGCCCGGCTAATTTTTTTTTTTTTTTTTTTTTGGTATTTTTAGTAGAGACGGGGTTTCACTCTGTTAGCCAGGATGGTCTCGATCTCCTTACCTCGTGATCCGCCGCCTCGGCCTCCCAAAGTGCTGGGATTACAGGCGGGAGCCACCGCGCCGGGCCGACGGGCTGTGTTGCTTTTCTAATAAAACACAGTCAATGAGGCAAGTTAGGGGAAAGGGTATGGGGGAGGAGGTGGAGCAGCACAAGTCTTCCCCTCCCCTTAGTCCAAGGCAGCCCCTTGAGGCACCTTCTGGTATCCTTCCAATCCCTTCATTTTGCAAAAGGAAGAAGTGACTTGCTCAAAGTGTAAAGCAGGTTAGCGGCAAGATGGGAGGAAATCCGGATCTTCCCCCTCCCCCACAGATTTCCAAATTGTCCTTGCCTGCCGTCCGTCTCCACACCACCCGACCTCCCTTCCCCCGCCACTTGCCCCCTTCCCTTTCTCTCTTTCGCGGCAAATCCAAGAGCTTCCCTGATTTGAAGCAGCTAAACAGTCTCACACCCTTAATCTCACTGTCTGAATGATAAATCCTGTAGGGCAGCTCATTCCATTCAAGCCCTTCACACCCTCCTCTGAGTAGCTGGGTGGTCTCTTCCGCCCAAGTGGGGGCTGCTGGCCCTTCCTTCCACTTAGCATTCCCCCAGGAGTCGAGGACTTCCCGGGAGCCCGGCATTCGCCTCCAAAACAATATCCAGATAAGACACGGCCCTCCCAGCCCCCTTTCAGGGCCACACCATAAAATAAAGCCGCGTGGGCTTTGCACCCCTGGACAGAATCCTTTGTCTGGGTTGGAAACAGCCTGAAAAGATGAAAGGGGCTCCCACTCTGACCTCTTCACCTCTTGTTATCTTGGGCCCACTCCCCTTAGACTCTCTGAAGCAGACAGCGGCGTTTTCCCATGGTCACTGGGGTTAACGACGTCTTAGCAGCTAACTGGGAGAGGAATGTGAGGAATGTACCTGCCTAAGGGGCGATTATTTTCATCAAGGACAGGCTGAAATGGATAATGAGGTCAAAAACAAACGCCATCTCTTTCTCAAAGGACTCTCTAAAGGGAGGCTATTAGATATAGTTCATTAGTTGAGGGTGGGGGGCTAGGGAGCTACTTTTTGACCGTTGCCTGAAGAGAGATGGAGGCATTTTGCCAAGTTTAGATTCTTCTCCAAGTCAGTAGGGGGCTAAGTTTAGGCTCCGATTCAAGCTTCCAGATATCTGAGTTTCATTCGGGTACAGGCAACAAGTGGCATTCTGGGCTGAAAATATTTGCAAGAGAATGTATTGTAACTGTTCAAGTGGGGTCCATAGTAAAAAAAAACAAAAAAACAAAAAAACTAATATCCAAAAATCAAATAATCAATTGTGGAAAACTGATGAACCAGAGTTTCTGTTTAAAAAGATATTTGTCGGTTCAATTCAGTATAACTACTATAACTACATTAATTTTATTAAAATCACACATACTTTATATAGTTAAAGCCTTTATACATTTTCTCTCCAAAAACCTTAAGAATAATTTCACTGTAAAAAAACATTTATCACATATTAGCATATTTATATAAAATGTCCCAGGGCCAGGGCTGGCCACGGTGGCTCATGCCTGTGATCCCAGTGCTTTGGGAGGCTGAGGTGGGAAGATTGCCTGAGGCAAGGAGTTTGAGACTAGCCTGGGCAACATACTGAAATCTTGTCTCCAAAAGACAAAACAAAACAAAAATGGATAAAATTAAATATTCCCTTTTTATTCCATTGCCATCACTGTAATTTAGGCTCTAACTCTCTACTCTTCACCAGTGGATTTTCACATAACTTACAAACTGGAACCCCACTTGTAAACTCCTTCACTTCCATTCATCCTGCATCCCATACAGTTTACCTTCTTCAAATGTATCTGTGCTGTGTTCAAAACCTTCATTGCTCACCAAGGCTGAATGTGATAAGGTATGTGCTACTTCAGTGCCCAGGCAGAACAGACATTCCTTTCCCCTCCATTTTTCTTTATACCATTACAAAATGAAGTTCAAACTCTCCAGTCTGGCATTTATAGCCCTCCAAATCTAAATCTGATTAACTTTCAATCCTAACATCCCCACTGCATGTCCTCCCCATATTTAAAAGCCCACCCTCTGGCCAGGTGCAGTGGCTCACGCCTATAATTCCAGCACTTTGGGAGGCTGAGGCAGGTGGAGCACTTGAGGTCAGGAGTTCAAGACCAGCCTGGCCAACATGGCAAAACCCCGTCTCCACTGAAAATACAAAAATTAGCTTGGTGTGGTGGGGCACCTGTAATCCCAGCTACTTGGGAGGCTGAGGCAGGAGAATCGCTTGAACCCGGGAGGCAGAGGTTGCAGTGAGCCGAGATCGTGCCATTGCACTCCAGCCCGGGCAATAGTGTGAGACTCTATCTCAAAAAAAAAATAAATAAATAAATAATAAAAATAAAACAGGATGTGAGTAAAGCACTTTGCAGTGTCTGGCACAGAATCAATTCTATAAATGTAAGCTTTGACGATAATGATGATATAGACTGATACCTGTAAAAGTTCTTTGCATAAAAAGACAAGCCAGCTCTCTGTAGAACATGCTGGACTCCAAGTTCCCTGATCAGGCTGTGGTCACGCAGGCCTTTGTACCTTTGCTCTAGCTTCTGTCTGGGTTTGGAATGTACTCTCCCCTCCTTCTCTTATCTCCATACTCAGCTCAAAGGACACCTTCCCAGGGAGGCCTTCCGAGACCAGCACTTCACCCCTGGCCCAGCAAAACTAATTCCTCCCTCCCCCAAGGGCTCATAGCTCTAAGATAGCAAGTCTCACATTGTATAATAATAGCTTGCTTATATGTTGATAGCATATTAACATAGTTTCAGAATTTTCAGGGTCCAACATAGTCTTGGGTCTAACCTGCCTTTATGGGTGCTCAGTAAGAGTATGTGGAAGGAATGAACAAAGGAATGGCTTGTCCCTGAGGGTACCTGCATGGCTTCACACCAAGTCCCACCCACCTGGCCTCTCAACCCTCAGACCTTTGATGGCACCTCTTCGAGAATTGTCTTTCCTGGCAGATCCCTGGAATCTACGAAAACAGGGTATGATTGCATTTTCAGCTACTATCTCCACGCCACTTTGTGTGACTTGCTGACCAGCTGGAGGTGCCACGAGAACATGACTCAGGGTAACCGAAATGTACTTTAGTGCCAAAACTACAGGATTCAGTTATAGGATAGTATTTAAACTGCTGCACTAGGAAGTGTCTGCAAACAGATCTGTATAATGTAGTGTGGCAATGTTAACAACTTGGTGGGCTTGTATCCTTTTTAGCTACTAGAAAACTCAGCATAACAAAATGATACCTGATCACTTCAAATTTTTGTCCAGTAGTCATGAAAGACACAAACGATCCTCCTTCTTTTCCCTATGCCGAGCCCCAATCCTGCGTATTCATTGTGAGATAAGGGGGTCACATTCAAGGGTGCAGTCTCTGGCCTCGAGTTAGGACAAATACACTGGGCCCTCACAGTCTCATTAGCACCTACTACATCCAACCCAACTAATAGACCATAGCCAGAGCTTCAGGGCTGCCAGAGAGGCAATCCAGGGCAGTGGTTAAGAACTACAGCTAGGCCAGGCGCAGTGGCTCACACCTGTAATCCCAGCACTTTAGGAGGCCAAGGTGGGTGGATCACCTGAGGTCAGAAGTTCAAGACCAGCCTGGCCAACATGTTGAAACCCCTCTCTACTAAAAATACAAAAAAATTAGCTGGGCGTGGTGGCGGATGCACCTGTAGTCCCAGCTACTCGGGAAGCTGAGGCAGGGAAAATCACTTGAACCCGGGAGGCAGAGGTCGCAGTGAGCCAAGATCGTGCCATTGCACTCCAGCCTGGGGGACAGAGCGAGACTCCATCTCAAAAAAAAAGAAAAAAGAACTAGGTGTGTGGTGGCTCACATCTGTAATCCCAGCACTTTGGGAGACTGAGGCGGGAGGATCTCTTGAGCTCAGGAGTTCAAGACCGGTCTGGGCAATATGGCAAGACCTCATTTCTACAAAAAAAAAATCAAAAAATTAGCCTGGTATGGTGGTGCATTCCTGTAGTCCCAGCTACTCTGGAGGCTAAGGCAAGAGGATCGCTTGAGCCCAGGAGGTTGAGACTGCAGTGAGCTGAGATCACGCCCCTGCACTCCAGCATAGGCAACAAAGTGAGACTCTGTCTCACAAAAAAAAAAAAAAAAAAAAAAAAAGGAACTAGAGCTCAGCGCCAGGCATGATGGCATCATGAGGCTGAGGAGGGAGGATCGCTTGAGTTTAGGAGTTCGAGCCCAGGCAAAATAGCAAGACCCCCATCTTAAAATAAGGATAAATAAATAAAAAAAAAATGCCCTTAGTCTCCAGCCAAATTTGGGTCACTTTAGGGATTCCCCACTTATTAACTATAAGAACATGCAAATATGTAAGTCTCTGAGCCTCGGTTTCTTTTCTTTCTTTTTTATAGAGACAAGTTTTCACTATGTTACTCAGACTGACCTTGAACTCCTAGGTTCAAGCGATCCTCTGGCTTTGGCCTCCTAAAGTGTTGGGATTACTGGTGTAAGTCACAGCACTCAACCTAGCCTGGGTTTCTTTATCTACATACTGAGGATAATATAGCCTAACTCAGAGGATGGAGGTAGGAGGATTAAATGTGATAATGTAAAGTACTTAGTACCTGGCACACTGAGTGATTCCTAGATGAGTGTTACCGGAAAGCTATAAATATATAAGCTAGAGTAATAGCGGCCCAGTAAATAATCAGAAATTAGGGAATATATACATCTGTGGGTTGGGAAGAAGGGAAAAGAGGGAAGATGGCTGTTCTGGGATGAATGCTTTTCTCCAAGGGCAAGGGCAGGGGGAGAGACTGAGGTGAAGAGGCAGCTAGCCAAGGTAATGAATCGTCTGTCCCAAGATCCTGGAGTTACTTGTTCATCAAACAGTCCCCACCTTCTTTACCATATATCCTGCCTTCTCCAGAGTTCTGCTCCCCTGGATCCTCTAGGATCCCTCAGGGAGCCTGAGAGAGTCACTCAATTACGGTTCTGTATTTTGAGATCTGGAGATAAATCTTGCGCATCATCAAACCCCACCGTGTCACTTTATCAATGAAGGAACGAAGCTCAGAGAGAAAAGCTAACCTGCCCAAGGTAATCAGTTCTGGTCCTGCCTCTGCCTCTAACTTGTGGTGAGACCTTGGGCAAGTCACTTCCCCTCTCTGAGCTGGAAGTTTTCTCCTCTGTAAAATGAGGGGCTTGGAGTATTTAGAGATCTAATTTCCCTTTCAACTTTGCCCTTTGCTGCAATAAAATAATGGTTCCTTCTGCCACCGTCAAGTTTAGGGAAAAGAGTGTGTGTGTGAGTGTGTGTGTGTGTTTGTGTGTGTCATGGAGTCTTGCTCTGTCACCCGGGCTGGAGTGCAGTGGCGCAATCTTGACTCACTGCAGCCTCTCTTCCTTCCACTCCACCTGCCCCACATACAAAAGTCAAGACAAACATGTTTGGATAACTTTTGAGCTCACTTAATTTTAAATTGAGTGCTGGTTTTCACCAGGGGTAAAGACAAGAAGGTAGAGAGGGGCCAGGCAGAGGAAACTGCTGGAGGAAGCTGGTGACTCCCAGGCGCCAGCTGATGGGACCAGCCCTCCCCCCCGCCCCCCCATGATCCCTTCCTTGCAGGGCTTCTAAGAGCTGGCAGCGCCACAGGGATAAATAAGGCCAACAACCGCACCTTACATGGCCATCCCAGCAGCCGCCCGGAATCCCGAGGATTACGCAGACTTCTGGAGGACTTGGAACAAGTGCACATCACCTGCTGCCACCACAAGTGTTGCCCGGGCTTCTGCAGCCTCTGTCCTGTGACTGAGGAATTTTTAAATGGAAGCTCTGAGCTCACAAAGAAGAAAATGTCTCCCTGATGTCACACAGTTGCTGCCAATTCATCAGCTCCAGCTAAAGGTCAGCGAGGGGGAAGCCACTGCCGGAGGGTCTGGCTGCCCCTCCCTGAGATGGGGCTTCCCTCCTGCAGGCTTGCTGCCAGCCATCCAGGCCAGCCACAGAAGCTGAGGGCTGCTTGCATTTCCAGGGCACACACAGAGCAGTACGAACACCGCTTAGCTGCTTCTGCCCTCCTCTGTGCAGATATTAACAGATTCAACCTCCCAGCCCTATCCTCCCCAGCTCTCCCTTCTGTAGACAGTCAGAGCAAACCCTGGAGTCTTGATCTAACGTGTCCTGAGGGTCCTTCCCTGGGATCACTTCAGGAGTAACACTAAATCACAGAGAGGTTGTCTTGGGTTTTTAATGACGAAATGCAGTGGTCAAAAGCTAGGAATCCCACTGCCTGGGGTCACAGCCTGGTTCTGCCACTTCCTAGTAGTGTGATATTTGCAAGTTAAGCCTCTCTGAGCCTGCTTCCTGACCTGAAAAATGAGGACAATAAGAATATTATCTCACATAGTGTGGTCCTGAGGACCCATTGTGAAGCACTGGTATAGATCCTGGCAGGTAGTAAGTGCTCAATAAATGTCAGCTTGGAATCAGACAAGACAAAAAAATAGAATAAAATAAAAGGAATCAACATGCAACTACTGCTGGGCAAGTCACTTAATCCCTGAGTCTTAATTTTCTCATCTGTCCAACAGGGATAGGCATATGTGACAGACAGTCACTGAGAGGACTCAATGAGAATGAATACAAGGCCATCAACACAGCACCTAGCAATGGAAAAATACATGGTGGCTGCTGGGACTATTATCTCTATCTATCAAAACTTGATCTGGGCCAGGCGCGGTGGCTCATGCCTGTAATCCCAACACTTTGGGAGGCTGAGGAGGGCAGATCCCGAGGTCAGGAGTTCGAGACCAGCCTGGCCAACATGGTGAAACCCCGTCTCTACTAAAAATACAAAAATTAGCCGGGTATGGTGGCAGGAGCCTGTAATCCCAGCTACTCGGGAGGCTGAGGCAGGAGAATCGCTTGAACCCAGGAGGCAGAGGTTGCAGTGAGCCGAGATCGCGCCACTGCACTCCAGCCTAGGCAACAGAGCAAGATTCAGCCTGGAAAAAAAAAAAGAGACTCTGTATCCAAAAAAATATATATGCATGGTCACACATGAACACAAGAACATTTTTTTCAATTACTTTTAAGAGTTTTTCTCTCTTTGGGGGACTCTTTCCTGTTCTGGCCTAAATTGCTAAGGAGATAAGAGAGGTGAAAAAGAAAAGTAGACCTGCCGGGCGCGGTGGCTCACGCCTGCGATCCCAGCACTTTGGGAGGCCGAGGCGGGCGGATCACGAGGTCAGGAGATCGAGACCATCCTGGCTAACACGGTGAAACCCCATCTCTACTAAAAATACAAAAAAAAATAGCCAGGCGTGGTGGCAGGCGCCTGTAGTCCCAGCTACTGGGGAGGCTGAGGCAGGAGAATGGCGTGAACCCGGGAGCGGAGGTTGCAGTGAGCTGAGATCGCGCCACTGCACTCCAGCCTGGGGGACAGAGCGAGACTCTGTCTTAAAAAAAAAGAAAAAGAAAAAGAAAAAGAAAAAGGTACATGGAGGCCGGGCGCAGTGGCTCATGCCTGTAATCCCAGCACTTTGGGAGGCCGAGGCGGGCCTCCCAAACCTCATTCCCGGGTTTCCCCTGGGTCTTCTTTCTCTTAAGACAAAGGTGTACAAGGCTCACTGTGGCTCTTGGTTTTATCCTTCCATGGGACATTAATATTTTATTTATTTATTTGTTTATTTTGAGATGGAGTCTTGCTTTGTCACCCAGGTTGGAGTGCAGTGGCGTGATCTTGGCTCACTGCAACCTCCATCTCCTGGGTTCATGCAATTCTCCTGCCTCAGCCTCCCAAATAGCTGGGATTACAGGCATATACCACCACGCCTGGCTAATTTTTGTATTTTTAGTAGAGACAGGGTTTCACCATATTGATTAGGCTGGTCTTGAACTCCTGACCTCAAGTGATCCACCCACCTCATCCTCCCAAAGTGCTGGGACTACAGGCGTGAGCCACCACTCCCAACCTATTTTATTTTATTTTATTTATTTTTGTGGGGCTGGGCTTGGTGGCTCATGCCTGTAATCCCAGCACTTTGGGAGGCCAAGGCAGGCAGATGGTTTGAGTTCAGGAGTTCGAGACCAGCCTGGCCAACATGGCAAAACCCTGTCTCTACAAAAATAGAAAAATTAGCCAGGCATGGTGTGGCGCATCTATAGTCCCAGCTACTGAATCTGAGGAGAGAACATGGCTTCACCCTAGGAGGTTGAGGCTACATGAGCTGAGACTGTGCCACTGCACTCCAGCTTGGATGACAGAGCCATATCCTGTCTCAAAAAAACCCAAACCCAAAAAACCCACATTATTTATTTTTATTTTTTCGAGACAGGGCCTCACTCTGTCACCCAGGCTGGAGTGCAGTGGCAGGATCCCGGCTCACTGCAGCCTCGACCTTCCCCAGCTCAAGCAATCATTCTGTCTTGGCCTCCCAAAGTGCTGGGATTACAGGCGTGAGCCATAGTGGCCGGCCAGGCATTAACATTTTAATGACTAGATCTAGAGGTTTGATATAAATATACCTCCTCCTGTAAACATTTGTTGAGCCTATTCCCAATTGCCAGGCACGAGGCCAGGCTCTTCCACTGCCTCACAAGCACCCTGGTCCCGTCCTTGAGTCATCAGCTTCCCAGATGCTTCATATGGGAACCTTGGAGAATCGCGGTGTGCGACTCTCCTCACCCCATTCCTCTCAAATCCAGGCAATGACCAAGTGTCCTGAGATTCATCTTCTGTCTCCCATTCACGCTTCACTTCCATTTCCACAGGGCACCCCCCTCAGCCCTTCCTTGGGTCACTTGTGTCACTGCAATAGCTCATTGACAGAGGCCCCTGCCTCCAGCCTTACCTCCTTCTAATCTATCCCCCTTCATCACGTTATCCCCCAACTCCAAATCCTTCAAGAGTTTCCCAAGTTTCCTTCAAGATCCTCCGTAATCCTGCCCAGACTCTCCGTGGTGGGATGTATTTTATAGAGACCTGCCTGATCCTTGACAGGGGTTTCAGTGAGGGAAGGAGGTGAGGGTCCCAGGGTGCCAGCCTGAGCGGAGGGGTGTGGACACAGGAGGGCCTGGTGCAATGTGGCTGGGGCGAAAATCTGAATCATAGTCAGTGAGGGCAGCCAAATTCCTATCTGGGAAATCAGGGCAGTCTGAAGGGTGAGGCCAAGCTGTAAACAGAATGAGTAATGAGGTCAGAAGCTGGTGGGGACCAGAATCACGTCTAGATGCAGTTCAAGGAAACGGAAATGGTACAAGGCTGAGGCTGTGAATTGAATTATAAGAAGGTATTGAAGTAACCCAAACATGCTGCTCTATGCAGGGATGGGGGTGGGAGGAACAGCCCGAGAAATCTCCCGTTCCTCTCGCTCCCTAAAAGGGTACCAAATACATGCTCTTTGCTTTTTCATGTGTGTGTAAAGGCCCTGTCTCCCCTGCCGCCTACAGTTTCATACCCCTCATATGCCTCCTAGCAATGCCAAGTGATTTGTTCAAAGTTGCATGCAGGCAGATGTGGAAACAGGGCTATATCCCTCCAGCCAACTGGGGATATGCTAGGGCAGTGAGCTGAAACTCAGGTTCATAGGTTGGCAAATTACATCTCAGATTCTTCATCTGTAAAATGAGGATAATAACAACATACTTCATAATAGTGTTATATTACAATAACACCACTATGAGGATTAGCCAAGCAAATATTTCTAAAATACTTAGAACAGTGCTTGGTACCTCGTATATGTTGTATAAGTGTTCGTTAAATAAAAATAAGGTACTCAGCTGGTAGGTAGGGCCAGTACTGAAAGTCAGTTCTAATTTTAACATTTGAGTCCTTAGCTCTTCCAAAACTAAGGTCAACAGCAGGCTACGGTGGACTAGGCTGACTACAGGACTTTCAAAAATTAATTTTCCCAGCCAGGCATGGTGGCTCACGCCTGTAATCCCAGCACTTTGGGAGGCTGAGGCGGGCGGATCTTGAGGTCAGGAGATCGAGACCATCCTGGCCAACATGGTGAAACCCCGTCTCTACTAAAAATACAAAAATCAGTTGGGCGTGATGGTGAGTGCATATAATCCCAGCTACTTGGGAGGCTGAGGCAGGAGAATCACTTGAACCAGGGAGCTGGAGGTTGCAGTGAGCAGAGATTGTGCCACTGCACTCCAGACTGGCGACAGAGCGAGACTCCGTCTCAAAAATAATAATTTTCCACTGTGTGCGATGGCTCACGCCTGTAATCCCAGCACTTTGGGAGGCCAAGGTGGGTGGATCACTTGAATCTGGGACTTTAAGACCAGCCTGGGCAACATGGCAAAACCTCGTCTCTACAAAAAATACCTGCCCCCCCGCAAAAAAAAAAAAAAAAAAAAAAAAAATTAACCAGGCATGGTGGTGCGCACCTATAGTACCAGCCACTCAGGAGGCTGAGGTGGGAGGATTGCTTGAACCCGGAAGGTCAAGGTGAGCTGTAATCTCACCACTGCACTCTAGCCTGAGCGACAGAGCAAAACCCTATCTCAAAAAAAAATATTAATTTTCATTTCAACTTAGAAAAACATGCTGTTGACTTATTTCACTGGGGCACACAGGAAATACCACTCAAGTTACTACCCTTACCTGTTCTTAGGAAACCACTCAGAAATCCAGAAGGACCAGTTCAAATATACTACCTATCCCAAATTTAATAGGCCTCACGAAAAAAAAAAAAAAAAGAAAAAAAAAGCCAGTCTTAGAAAATGACTGTGGGTGTCAAAACCAGCAAGGATTAGGCAATGGAGTTGAGTCCAGCAAGGTTCAAGGCTACAGCTCGTGTTGGAAAGGGAGCTGTGAGGAGTTAATGCAAAGAGGAGGAAATATTCTATTTATTTTTCTCAAAACTATTGGAGGTGGTAGTGTTTGGAAAGGGAGGGAGGAGGGGAAAATATGAGTGTATGGTTTGTAAAGTGATAAAATATGGACTCAGTGTATTGTAATAACTCAGTAGCAATTCAGAGAAGATAGTGCAAAAGTCTGTTTGCTCTAGCCATCTATCAACCAGAAACCTTTATTAACTGAACCTCTCACGCGACTACAATATGGCACTAATAGATGTTTGAAAATGATGACCCTGATATACTGCAAAATCCTAAACAGCTTTCTGAAACAGGAGAAAAAAGATGAAATGAAGCTTGCTATGGTTTGTGACAAGCGTATTTTATTGTATTCTAATTTTTTCAAAACAAGCAATATTTTTGTCATGTGTAGTATGTGATGATTTATATGCCATCTAATAACTTTCTATTCGTCATAATATTAGAACAATACATTACCCGACTGTGGTTGGTATCAGGGTTTAATAAACATTCTTTTTCTCCTAACACGCCACCACCAGCCCAGTTGCTTGGTTCCATTTTCCCTCCCGTTGTCCTTTATTTAATTTTAGGCCCAAACTTGACCCCAGTGGTCTTCCACTGTTTTTATTCTTCCCTAAGGAGGGTGTACCTGGCCTCAGGAGCCACTTACCCGGCCTCGCAGAAGTTTCACACTTCTGTTTCACACCCAGGGTGGAGCTTTCTTTCTCATAACAGAAAATAAGGAGGGACAGCCGCCTGGGTACACTTAAAAAATAAACGCATCTCTGGGGAGGTAAGGTCCTCGGAGAGCCAGGCAGTGACAACTGAGTGGTGTGGAGCACGTGGATTAAGTAGAACAGAAACAGATCCTGCCAGGACCGCCCCAGGGACGCCAGAGACACAAAGCAGAAACTGATTGTGCCCGGAGGGCCCTGCATCCCTTACCCACGCTGGAGGTTCTCCCGCCTTTTCTAATTACCTTCCCATTTCTTTTGCTCCCCTTCTCAGCCCGAGTGTTCAGGACTCTGCATACCACAGAGGTCAGACACAAATAAAATCCATACATGGACTCCATTCTCGGGTCACAGAATTTGGTGAACAACTCAGATTGAAGATGGCTCCCGCTCCCACCTCCCAACCCCACCACCAAAGCTTTGCTTGTAAACACCAGTCACTTAGTAACACCCTCCATCAGTCGCCTTTGGGCTATTATTCATCACCGACTAACCTTAAACCAACTTCATCTTCACAGGGCTCCCCCTAGAAGAGAGGAAATTCCACAGCTCTGATGTGATGTGAAACGTGATCTGACCGCCCCAGCACTCTTTCTTTCTCACTCTCCCCAGCCAGTTCTCAAACTGGGTTTCCCTGGCCCCTCTCGGGGAGGCCTTCTCCCGCCCCACTCTCCACCCCCTACTTCTTTCCCTCTCCATTTTCCACGCTGTAACCTGATAGGCTGGAAATGCAGCTTCTTTCATCTTATATTTCCCACATCCTGAAAGTTTGGAGAGAAGGAGCCCACCCAGATGAAGGAATTCCAAGTATGTGCAGCCCCCTCCTCCTTTAACTCCATTCACAAAGCAGATTACTAATGGCCCGAGGCTCCAGGGAGGCCCCATCCCCTCCCCACCCCCCACCTCCCAGGGAGTTTACTCATTCCACATCCTTACTCCTCGCCGGTACAGAAACCTAAGTCCACATGCCGAGAACCAAAAATTAACTTTTCCCTGGACTCTGAGCCTAAGAAAAGCTTTCAAACCTCACTCTGATTGGGACTGCAGTGGCCAGGAGATTCTGCTTACCAATCATTTGTCCCCTCTTTAGCATTTTTAGATAAAAGGGTTCAGGGAATATGAGTCATTGGATCAAGGGGAAAGGATATAACTGTAAATGCGATGCATGTCAAGGAGGCATGCTCAGGTCTTTAGGAAAGATCACAGGGCGTTCTAACTCAGAGTCATTTCAGCAGAAATTGTTTCAAGACCAGAGTAAGAGATGCTTCAAGATAGGCAGAGAATGTGTGGGGGAGGCCGGGTGCGGTGGCTCAAGCCTGTAATCCCAGCACTTTGGGAGGCCGAGGCGGATGGATCACGACGTCAGGAGTTCGAGACCATCTTGGTCAACATGGTGAAACCCCGTCTCTACTAAAAATACGAAAAAATTAGCCGGGCGTGGTGGCGGGCGCCTGTAGTCCCAGCTACTTGGGAGGCTGAGCCAGGAGAATGGGATGAACCCGGGAGGCGGAGCTTGCAGTGAGCTGAGATCGCGCCACTGCACTCCAGCCTGGGGGACAGAGCCAGACTCCGACTCAAAAAAAAAAGAATGTGTGGGGGAGTATGGGGGGTGCGGCGGTTCTGGTAATGTTTTTTGTTAAGAAATGTCTTGAGTCTTCACTACCTGGAAATTAGTGATCACGAAACGTGCCCCTGGGTCAGTTCTTTGGTCCTCCTGTCTTGAGTTCTGTCACTGACAGGGAAACAGGACAGGGACAGCTTCTTTGACTCAACCTCAACCTCTTCCTCAAAGGTTAGGAAGTACCCCCCCAAGCATCCTTTTTCATTAAGGATGCTTAACTATCTTATCTATCCTTCAAGGAGGGTGAGAAAGCAAAGCAGTTTTGAATCTGTACCCGCCTGGGATAATCAGTTCCCTGAGCTTACAAGCTTTGTGTGACATGGAATTTCCTGTATCAAGGAGTTCACTCCTGTCCCAATATTAGGAAGTACATTTAATAGATGTCTACCCATGTTGTCTTTGCAACTCAGGATAGAGTTGCAAAACTTGCTCAATGCAATAGCATTTAACAACAACAACAATATATATATATGAGATAAATCTGGGCATATGTTAGTGCATAGGGTTATGCATTCAATAGGTCTAATGATTGCCAAAGAACTCTCATAGAATTCAAGAGACCAGACCTGGAAGATGCAGTAACAGTGATAAGAAATAACAGACTGTGGCAGAACAGCCACATTGCAACTCCTTGGACCATTCCCAAGGTGCTGAGAAGAAATCTGTACTGCAGCTCAGCCCCAGGTTTGCAATCTTTATGTTTAAAGTGCCGCCTGCTCATGACATCCAACTGGTAATAGGCTCCTACCAAGGCTCAGCATCCTTAGGAGATAGCAGCACAAAATGATAGAATCAATGCCTGCAACAACAGAGCAAGTATTCATCTCTCTAGGCCTCAGTTTCTTATCTGTAAAATACTAAGGCTACCCCAACCCTTGCTTATCAAAGTGCAATCCCCAGACCAGCAGCAATGCATCAGCGGCTAACTTGGGAGATAACTAGAAATGCAGGCTCTCAATCCCCACTCTAACCTGTTGCATTTTCACAAGCTCCCAGGTGATTCCTGTGTACATTACAATTTAAGATGCCTTGGCCTAGACTCAGGCTCTGCAAAGGTCCTCTACATAGTACTGAAATTGTCTGATCTCATTAAGTGGCTTCCAAGGAAGTTTTTCTTCTCTGATAAATAGTTTTCCGGCCAGGCACGGTGGCTCACGCCTATAATCCCAGCACTTTGGGAGGTTGAGGTGGGCGAATCACAGGGTCAGGAGTTCAAGACCAGCCTGGCCAACATAGTGAAACCCCATCTCTACTAAAAAATACAAAAAATAAGCCAGGCGTGGTGGCGGGCACCTGTAATCCCAGCTACTCTGGAGGCTGAGGCAGGAGAATCGCCTGAACCCGGGAGGCGGAGGCTGCAGTGAGCTAAGATTATGTCATTGCACTCCAGCCCGGGCAATAGTGTGAGACTCTGTCTCAAAAAAAAAAAAAAAAAGTTTTCCTTCTTTCTTCTGCCTCCAGTCTTGGAATGTACTGTGTCCTCTGCCAAGGAACTCAAATTTTAGTAGGCATAGGACTCATACAAAGACCTTATTTACAATGCAGATTCCTGAACCCCATCAAGAAGCTGACTAGGACCGTGGTGGGGCCAGAGAATCTGTGTTTCAATCAGTCTCTTCCATGCGGTTCTACAGATTATGGCCCCAGATTACATATTTTTTTCTTAACTTTTCTGTTATGTAAAATTTCAAACATGGAAAAAAGAGACAAAATAGTAATATTAAACTATCATGTTTCAATCCCCAGCTTCAACAATTATCAATCAACTCAAGGCCAATTTTGTTTTCCTCAGATCATATTTTTGAAAAACTCATAGCTAGACCCTCCAGACCTTCCAGATTCCCTTCACCTACCTTTAGTGTTCAGCGTGTTCTCACTGAGGGCAAGAGTTATATCCTATTATCTTAAAATCCCCAGTATCTAACACAGTACCTGGCACATGTGGTACTCAATAAATTTGTCATAAAAATAACAAATTAAAAATAATTTTAGGCCAGTGATGGTGGCTTATGTCTGTAATCCCAGTATTTTGGGAAGGCAAGGTGAGAAGATCACTTGAAGCCAGGAGTTCGAGACCAGCCTGGCCAACATGGAGAAACCCCATCTCTACTAAAAATACAAAAAATTAGCTGGGCATAGTGGCGGGCACCTGTAATCCCAGCTACTCGGGAGGCTGGGGCAGAATTGCTTGAACCTGGGAGGTGGAGGTTGAGGTAAGCCGAGATTGCGCCAGCGCACTCCAGCCTGGGCAACGAGAGCGAAACTCCATCTCAAAACAAAAAAGAAAGAAAGAAAGAAAGAAAAACAACTTTAAAGTAAAACATAAATTATCATCTGCCTGGATGGTTTACACTGCAGGTAGATGGCATTAGTTGTGTTCTGATTTTTCAATTATTTGGCTGTGACTCCTTTTGCAGTTAGGGAAACGAAGGCATTCAAATGCATTGTACCAAGTGAAAGAATTAGAAAAAAGATTCCAAAAGCCCCAGTTTACACCCCCTTCCTTCCTGGTTTCATCATTTTGTAAAAGATCTTGTGCCTGTGTGTGTGGTAAGAGAGAAGGTAGGAAAATACCTCTGGGGAATGAGGATATCATCTCAGGGCCTTTGTTTCACTCTTTAACCTAGTAATAAATCTCTTAAAGCTCCCGTGGTATTCAGAATATCCTGTCTATGGCAAGGTCTTCCCACAGTTGTGAAAGGAATTCAAGTTTACTAAGTGGACAGAGCCCTGATATTCCAAAGGCACAGTCCAGCCCTTTTCACCTATTTGCTAATTAGAATGGCTAAATCTCAGTCCTGGGTATGCTAAATAATAGGAGGGAGGGTAAGAGAAGGCAGAACCGAAGCTGAGAAAAGAACTCTGCAGTTCCAAAACTCAGCACAACAATCAAGGGATAAAGTGGTAATTAGGCCTGATTATCATGCAAGGCAGCCCTGGTTAAATTGGAATGTAGCCGGAGAGACGAAAGGCTGGATGGAGAGTTTGCTATGCTGGAGACATGCTTTGATGTCTGCAGGGAAGGTTGTGTTTCATTCAGCCATCCAACTAACCAAAAAAAAAAAAAAAAAAAAAAAAATTGTTGCAGAAGCAATATGAAACCTTCCAAAATGCAGCATACGGGAAGCAGAAGCAGAGAGCAAGTGGCTGGGTCTGAGCTCTCCTTCTGAGTGAGTGTGTGTGTGTGTGTGTGTGTGTGTACTTAGATGCAGCTTTTCTCAGATTTACTACTCCAGCTTCTTGGATCTGTCAGAAGACAAGAGAGAAGAAAGAGTGCGCGCACCAACTATTAACTCACTATCCTTGGTTGAGCAAATTCTTATAACAAGGGAGAATGTGTCTAAGCTCGGGGCAGACTTTTTACCTGCTGTGGGGAGGAGGCAAAAGAAATAAGAGGTAAACTACTCTGTGTGTCCCTGAGAGGCCCAAAACTAAGATAACAGATGCTGATGGAGTCATCTGAGGCTGCCAGCTACCACAGCTTTTATACCAGCTGATGTAGGAAGAAGAAAATGAGCCAAGAAAGTAGGCTAATCTCCTAGAGAAACACAAAATAGGTAGCAAGTAGCATTTTTACACCTTTCACTCTTTAATTGCTTTAGACCCAGAGCTGTGAGGCACAAGGAATTCCTTTGGTGTCCTTACTTTACCTTTCTTACCGTTTTAGTGGTATTCTCTGTTCTAACATAATTGTTTTGTATGGGAGCTCACTACTTAGCTAGGGGCATGCCCCAAACCAACCCACAACTTTCAACTTCCATGCAAGAGACTTTTAATGTGACTTGGTATTGGGAGACAATCAACTTTCTACTAAATCACTGACAGAAAAACAATACCCAGGTGTGTGGTGAGATGTTATTATTTTACTTATTCACAGGGTGCTCACCATAGGAAGTAAAATGTACAATCCTGGCTTAGCATTAAGAAAGTTCACAAAGGCCAGGCGCAGTGGCTCATGCCTGTAATCCCAGCACTTGGGGAGGCTGAAGCGGGCGGATCATGAGGTCAGGAGTTCGAGACCAGTCTGACCAGAATGGTGAAACCCTGCCTCTACTAAAAATACAAAAATTAGCCAGGCGTGGTGGCGCATGCCTATAATCTCAGCTACTCAGGAGGCTGAGGCAGGAGAATCGCTTGAACCCAGGAGGCGGAGGTTGCAGCGAGCTGAGATAGAGCCAGTGCACTCCAGCCTGGGAGACAGAGCAAGACTCCGTCTCAAAAGAAAATAATAATAATAGTAATAAGTTCATGAAAATACAAAAATCGGCCAGGTGTGGTGGCTCACGCCTGTAATCCCAGCACTTTGGGAGGCTGAGGTGGGCAGATCACCTGAGGTCAGGAGTTCGAGATCAGCCTGGGCAACACGGTGAAACTCCATCTCTACTAAAAATACAAAATTAGCCGGGCGTGGTGACACATGCCTGTAATCCCAGCTACTCAGGAGGCTGAGGCAGGAGAATCGCTTGAACCTGGGAGGCGGAGGATGCGGTGAGCTGAGATCGCACCATTGCACTCCAGCCTGGGCAACAAGAGTAAATCTCCGTCTCACCAAAAAAAAAAAAAAAGGAAAAAAAAAGAAAAAAGGAAAGAAAAGAAAATACAAAAATCCTACATGGGAGACTACATGGAATTTCTATTCCTTAAGGATCGCCAAAATAAGACCCACTCATCACTATGTTCTATCATCCAGGCACATAGTTTAATTTTATTTTAAAAAGGAATAAAGTAAGTTGTTGATCAGATTATCTTGAAGGAATTAGAAGAGCATTTAATATATGTACAACACGTGGCTTCTTGGGTTTATCACAACTTTTTCCTCTCTGCATTTGCAATGAATGGACCATCCACAGAATCTGCTGTCTTTTGCTGTGATTTCTTCTGTTACCCCAGTTTACTTTTAAGACTGGTGTAAAATAATAATGACGTATATTTGCCATAAAGAGCTTGTACAATAACTACAGATACAAACCTTTTGTAACACCTGTCACTACCGATATTGAAACTATACTTCAGAAATTGTATGAGTGAAGAGTGATGCATTCATATAATAGACTGTTTCCCCCCAAAACAGTGCCACTTGATTTAGGAGAAACTCTAGTTAATCTCTTTTATAAAATTCCCTGAAATTACTCTTGTAACCTGCAGCATGAATTTAGGATAAATAAATTGCACAAGATTGAAAATACCCTTTCAGATATTTTGTACACTCTGGAAATAAATTGTGGGGTTTTGTTTTTACTCATCTTTTAAAAAGAAAAAAGATAGAGGGCCGAGTGCGGTGGCTCGCGCCTGTAATCCCAGCACTTTGGGAGGCCAAGGGGGGCAGATCATGAGGTCAAGAGTTTGAGACCATCCTGGCTAACAAGGCGAAACTCTGTCTTTACTAAAAATACAAAAAATTAGCTGGGCGTGGTGGCGGGCGCCTGTAGTCCCAGCTACTCAGGAGGCTGAGGCAGGAGAATCGCTTGAACCTGGGAGGCAGAGGTTGCAGTGAGCCAAGATGGTGCCACTGCACTCCAGCCTGGGCTACAGAGCATGACTCCGTCTCAAAAAAAAAAAAGAGAGAGAGGAGAGGAAAGGAAAATGAGCCTTAGCAGCTGTGTATTTTTTAAACAATAAGAAAATAGCATTCCCCAGAATTTCCAGTAAAACCCATAAGATTTAGGCAGTTCATCCCTGAAGTATGTGTGGGATGCTGGGAGCTCCCTGGCTTTTCCAGGCAACCCCACCCCCAAAAAACTCCCCACAAAAAAACAAAAGCAGATGGGCTGCATCTGAACGAATCAAACTCCCCAGGGGCCAGAGCTCTCTGCTCTAAATGCTAATAGAGTGAGTAATCAGAAACCTACATTTGGTAAATTATTTATCTTATCTCTGGAACTCAGCAAAGCATCGAAGACAGCAACTTCTGTAGAAAGATGTTGTTGGTCAAGAGCTCCAGCTGGAATTCGTACTTTTACTAGAAAAGGGAAAAGTTCAGAGACCAGTGTGTCTCATGAAGCAATAATTTTTTTTTTTTTAAATGACCAAAAGCAAAGCCAAGGAAAACTGACTTCACAGTTCCATGGAACAGGTCTGGTTCATGTTTTGTCTAATGAGCCTTACGTTCCATCCGTATTAGGGTAATGGCAAAACAAACCAATAGACAATATAGATCCCCAAAGAGATGGGAATAGGTTCTGTAGTCCCCATCTCCACTCTACTTTTCCTTGCAGAGGGCCATAAGAGATACGACTAACCTGGGGCCGGGCTCTGTGGCGCATGTCTGTAATCCCAGCACTTTGGGAGGCCGAGGCGGGTGGATCACGAGCTCAAGAGTTTGAGACCAGCCTGACCAACATGGTGAAACCCCATCTTTACTAAAAATACAAAAATTAGCTGGGCGTGGTGGCGCCTGTCTGTAATCTCAGCTACTCGGGAGGCTGAGGCAGAAGAATCACTTGAATCCGGGAGACAGAGGTTGCAGTGAGCTGAGATCGCACCACTGCACTCCAGCCTGGGCAACAGAGCAAGACTGCGTCTCAAAAAAAAAAAAAGAAAAGAAAAGAAAAAGAGTAACCTGGAACAGTGGTTCTTTTTTTTTTTTTTTTTTTTTGAAACGTAGTCTCACTCTTTCACCCAGGCTGGAATACAGTGGAGAAATCTCGGCTCACTGCAACCTCTGCCACCTGGGTTCAAGCGATTCTCTTGCCTCAGCCTCCAGAGCGGCTAGGATTACAGGTGCGAGCCATCACACCTGGCTAATTTTTGTATTTTTAATAGAGACGGGGTTTCGCCATGTTGTTCAGGCTAGTCTTGAACCCACCTCAGCCTCCCAAAGTGCTGGGATAACAGGCATGAGTCACCGCATCCGGCCTGGGAACAGCGATTCTTGAACTTGAGCATCCAGCATCAGAGGGCTTGTGAACATTCAGGATGCTGGGCTCCAACTCCTGCGTTTCTGATTCTATTGGCTTGCTGGCGTAGGGCCTGTGAATTTTCATTTCCACCTTTGCTGGTGCAAGGGCTACATTTTGAGAAGCACTGGTCTAGAGAATGGGGTGTTTTCACAATCTGGTTTGGTGTCTGTAGAATCTAGGCACCCACCCTCAGAGAATATAAGGAGATTTGTAGGTTTAAGGTCTTTGACTGGGATATTGACAGAGGAATTAGCCCTACTAATGAATCTTATCACTTTCCCCTATTTTACAAAACACTTTAACTTTGTAACTCAATCTATCCATGATTAACCTTTTTTTTTTTTTTTTTTTTTGAGACTGAGTCTTGCTGTGTTGCCCAGGCTGGAGTGCAGTGGTGCAGTCTCGGCTTGCTGCAATCTCTGCCTCCCGGGTTCAAGCAATTCTCCTGCCTCAGCCTCCCGAGTAGCTGGGATTACAAGCGCCCACCACCACGCCCAGCTAATTTTTTTGTATTTTTAGTAGAGATGGGGTTTCACCATGTTGCCTAGGCTGGTTTCGAGCTCCTAATCTCAAGTGAGCCACCTGTCTTGGCCTCCCAAAGTGCTAGGATTACAGGCATGAGCCACCATGCCCAGCCGATTAACAGTATATTTATAAACTTTTAGCACTCCCACTTGCTTTGTGTCCCCCATAGTCCTAGGCGCTTTTGAGTTCAATAGAATTAAGCAGATAGGAAGGTAAAGGTTTCATTTGAATAAATAACGGTTGTATAAGTCACATTCACATTTATAAATACATTAAGAATTTTGTTTTGCCACCGGGTGCGGTGGCTCACGCATGCAATCCCAGCACTTTGGGAGGCCAAGGCGGGCAGATCACAAGGTCAGGAGATCAAGACCATCCTGGCCAACATGGTGAAACCCCATCTCTACTAAAAATACAAAAATTAGCCGGGTGTGGTGGCGTGTGCCTGTAATCCCAGCTACTCAGGAGGCTGAGGCAGGAGAATCACTTGAACCAGGGAGTCGGAGGTTGCAGTGAGCAGAGATCGCACCACTGCACTCCAGCCTGGTGACAGAGCCAGAATCCGTCCCCCACAAAAAAGAATTTTGTTTTGCCTCTACAAAACTTTATCAGTTCATCCACCTGGTGAACTCAACTCTGACTGATTGAATTGTGAAATAAGAGGAATTCAAATGATTCCTTTCCCTTTGCTTCTTTCCTTCAAACAACAAATATATTTGCAGTGCATATTTGTTTGTTTTAGAGACAGAGTCTCATCTGTCTCCCAGGCTTTGTTGCAGTGGCACCATCATAGCTCACTGCAGCCTGGAACTCCTGGACTCAAGCGATCATCTTCCTACTTTAACCTCCTGAGTAAATGGGATGACAGGGTTGCACCACTATGTCTGGTTAATTTTTTTTTTTTTTTCGAGACGGAGTCTCGCCCTGTCGCCCAGGCTGGAGTACAGTGATGTGATCACGGCTCACTGCAACCTCCACCTCCCGGGTTCAAGTGATTCTTCTGTCGCAGTAGCTGGGACCACAGGCACGTGCCACCATACCAGCTAATCTTTGTAGTTTTTAGTAGAGACAGGATTTCACCATGTTGGCGAGGCTGGTCTTGAACTCCTGACCTCGTGATCCACCCACCTCGGCCTCCCAAAGTGCTGGGATTACAGGTGTGAGCCACTGCGCCCAGCCAAGAAAAGGTCTTTCTATGTTGCCCAGGCTGGTCCTGATCTCCTGGCCTCAAGTGATCCTCCTGCCTCAGCCTCCCAAAGTGCTGGGATTACAGACATGAGCCACTGTGCCCAGCCTAGGAATGCATATTGTATATATGGATAATAACAATTAAAAAATGTAAGTCAGACTATTGAATCTAAGGGGATATGAGTGCAAGTAACTACACACATGGTGGTGGCTCGGGAAAGCTTTTACAGCAGGTGGGCCTGCTGAAAATCCTTCCACGGCCTTCTACCACTCTTCAGATAAAATTCATACTCCTCAGAAAGGCACACACAGGCTGGGCACGGTGGCACACACCTGTAATCCCAGCACTTTGGGAGGCCGAGGCGGGTGGATTGCCTGAGATCAGGCGTTCGAGGTCAGCCTGGCCAACATGGTGAAACCCCGTCTCTACTAAAAATACAAAAAGTAGGAGAGTGTGGTGGTGCATGCCTGTAGTCCCAGCTACTTGGGAGGCTGAGGCAGGAGAATCACTTGAACCTGGGAGGCAGAGGTTGCAATGAGCCAAGATTACACCACTGCACTCCACACTCCAGCCTAGGTGACAGAGTGAGATTCCATCTCAAAAAAAAAAAAAAAGAAAGAAAGAAAGGCATACACAGCTCTTCATGATCACCTGTGGCTGCTTGTTCAGTTGAATTTCTCTCCACTCCCTTTTCACTCCAGGGACCATACTCAGCAGCAAGGTAAAAGTCTGTGATAATGTGAATTTCAGATGTAGCTGCAACTGATAATTTGTTCTCTATCAAGCTCCCACTCCCCTTCTCAAATGGGGGTAAAATGTTGGAGGTGGGGCAGCTGAGAAGTGACTGCCTCATGATCATCTGGACTTTCTCACTTCAGTGAGCCTTGGTTGTGTACATAAGGAATTTCACTATCTTTACCTTGTGTGCTTTTCCTGATAGCACAGATCCTACTGAAAAATAACCATTTTTCTTTAACTTCACAATGATAATGCAACCTTTTCCTCTATTTTGTGCTTATAAAATTTTTGGATTAGCTGGGTGTGGTGGCACATGCCTGTAATCCCAGCTACTCCGGAGGCTGAGGCAGGAGAATCGCTTGAACCTGGGAGGCGGAGGTTGCGGTGAGCCGAGATTGCGCCATTGCACTCCAATCTGGGCAACAAGAGCGAAACTCCGTCTCAAAAATAAATACATAAATAAAAATGTTTGCACCCTACTTACTACAGCATGACTTTTTTTTTTCTGTTCATGCAAATTCATGCCTCTGGATGTTTGCACATGCTTTTTCTTATTGCTGAAATTTGAGTTTTCCCATCCTATCCTTCCACTAGCTGATTCTTCCATTTATTTTCATGTTTCAGGACCCATGGGCTGCCTCTGCGCTGAAGCCTTACCTGATCCTGGAGATCAGATTTAAAGGGTTTCATTGCTTTTTTTTTTTTTTTTTTTTTGAGACGGAGTTTCGCTCTTGTCGCCCAGGCTGGAGTGCAATGGTGTGATCTCGGCTCACTGCAACCTCTGCCTCCCGGGTTCAAGCGATTCTCCTGCCTCAGCCTCCCGAGTATCTGGTGCCTGGGACTACAGGCGCCACCATGCCCAGCTAATTTTGTATTTTTAGTAGAGATGGGGTTTCTCCATGTTGGTCAGGCTGGTCTAGAACTTCTAACCTCAGGTGACCTGCCCGCCTCAGCCTCCCAAAGTGCTGAGATTAAGGTGTGAGCCACCATGCCTGGCCAAAAGGCAACTATTTTTATGATCAGGTTCAATAGTCCCTCATGTGCGTATCTGTATAAATTCATATTGATGTCTAGGATCTTCTCACTTGTGAATCTTATTTTTATTATTTTTGAGACAGAATCTTGCTCTTGTTGCCCAGGCTGGAGTGCAATGGTGTGATCTCAGCTCATGGCAACCTCCACCTCCTGGGTTCACGCGATTCTCGTGCCTCAGCCTCCCGAGTAGCTGGGATTACAGAGGCGCACCACCATGCCCGGCTAATTTTTGTATTTTTAGTAGAGACGGGGTTTTACCATGTTGTCTAGGCTGGTCTCGAACTCCTGACCTGGTGATCCGCCCGCCTTGGCCTCCCAAAGTGCTGGGATTACAGGGGTGAGCCACCGCGCCTGGCAGCGAAGCTTATTTTAACCAGTCCCACGTTAGTGTTTGCCTGTCCCAGCTCACTCATTTTGGTTGATCTAGGCTCTAGTCACTCAGCCATTCCCAGAGAAGGTCCTAAATCTCTGAAAACTTTAGTATTGTTTTCAGAGTTTATTTTGCAGCAAATCATAGGGGCATTAATAGTTTCTGATTTGAATTTTTCCCTGTTCTTACAATTCTAGGTAGAGAAAGGTCTTCTCTAAGCCTAGGGGATGTGTGCTTTCTGGGTGGGTTCCAGAGTAAATGCCTTTTTCCTTAAGTGATATAAATAGTCTAGTCACTACTTCCAAGCCCTATTAAGAAGAGGAACAGAACTGTTTCCTCTAGTGTCCCCTGAGAGCTGATAACTGGATGCCAAGAAGTTGGCCAGATCATGCAGGATAGACAGCTGTCTACATGGTGTAATTTGAGGGGTTTGAGGAAATCCCCCATCTTAAAATATCTTTCCCAATGGCCCTACACATGCCTGAAATGTATGACTTATGTCTCAGAGTAAGGTGCTGCTGAAATGCAATTGTTATCCATGAGTAGACTCATATTCAGCCATTATCACTCATTAGCATCCCAGTTTAAATTAATTTATCAGATTAGTTGGCTGAGTAGAGTCCCAAAGACATGCAGGCACAAGACAATAAGTTTTAATGAGAACGCTGATCCCAAAGGGTCTGAAGTATGGGGTACTGGGCCAGTCAGGTGAAGGGTGGCAAGGATGGTCAGAACAGTTTGAGGGCAGCTGGGAAGGTCTGGTCAAAACTCCGGAGGGGAGATGTAGAATGTGGGTTGGGGAGGCTCTGAAGACAATCCCAGGATTTCTCTATTTTGAATATCACCACAGTAAAGACTCTTTAAAAACAAACGAGCAAACAAAAAACCACAACACTCTTTTTCCTTTGGGGTTATTTTATTAGGTTATTTCCCCAAAGTGGAATTTCCAGGTTAAAATTAAAGTTTTGATTGCACAACGTCAAAATGCTACAGAGCCACTGATCCTGTGTAAGTATAGTTGGGTTGAAATGTCTTTGTATAATTAGAATAATCATCTTTGTAGAAGGCCACTCATTCTTTCATTCAACCAAAAGCTGTTGAACTTATAGTAAATGCCAGGTGCCATATTAGGATCTGGGGCTACAAAGACAAAATCAATACTCTCTACTTTTTTGTGGTTGTTTTTTTGAGACAGGGTCTCCTCTGTCACCCAGGCTGGAGTGCAGTGGCACAATCACAGCTCATGGCAGCCTCAGCTTCCCCAGCTCAGGTCGTTCTCCCGCCTCAACCTCCCAAATAACTGGGACCACAAGCATGCACTTCCATGCCCAGCTAATTTTTACATTTTTGTAGAGATGGAGTTTCACCTGGGTTCAAGCAGTCCACATGCCTCTGCCTCTGAAAGTGCTGGGATCACAGGCATGAGCCATGGCACCTGGCCAGTAATCCCTACTTATACTCCTCAGTTTGAGATAATTCAATTATTCTTGGTTGTTCTTTCTTTCTTTTTTTTTTTTCTTTTTTACTTTTTTTTTTGAGATGAAGTCTCGCTCTTGTCCCCCAAGCTGGAGTGCAATGGCGCTATCATGGCTCACTGCAACCTCTGCCTCCCGGGTTCAAGCAATTCTCCTCCTTCAGCCTCCCGAGTAGCTGGGATTACAGGCGCCTGCCACCACGCCCGGCTAATTTTTGTATTTTTAGTAGAGATGGGGTTTCACCATGTTGGCCAGGCTGGTCTCAAACTCCTGACCTCAGGTGATCTGCCCACCTCGGCTTACCAAAGTGCTGGGATTACAGGTGTGAGCCACGCACCCGGCCGAACCTTCCCTTTCCCTTCCCTTCCCTTTCCCTTCTTCTCTCTCTCTCTCTCTCTCTCCCTCTCTCCCTCCCTCTCTCTCTCTCTCTTTCCTTTTCTTTCTGATGGAGCCTCACTCTGTCACCCAGGCTGGAGTGCAGTGGCGCAATCTCAGCTCACTCCTGCCTCCCAGGTTCTCCCTACCTCAGCCTCCCAAGTAGCTGGGATTACAGGTGCACGCCATCACACCCGGTTAATTTTTGTATTATTATGATTTTTTTTAAAAGAGACAGGTTTTCACCATATTAGTCAGGCTAGTCTCAAACTTCTGACCTCAAGTGATCCGCCCACCTAAGACTCCCAAAGTACTGGGATTAGAAGCATGAGCCACTGCTCCTGGCCAGTGTCATATCTTTCTATTACATTTCCGACATTCTTTTTTTTGTTTTGAGATACGGTCTTGCTCTGTCGCCCAGGCTGGAGTGCAGTGGTGCAATCTTGGGTCACTGCAGCCTCAACCTCCAAGGCTCAAGCAATCCTCCCACCTCAGCCTCCTGAGTAGCCAAGACTATAGGTGTGTGCCACCATGCCTGGCTAATTTTTGTATTTTTTGTAGAGACAGGGTTTCGCCATGTTGGCCAGGCTGGTCTCGAACTCCTGGCCTCAAGTGATCTACCTGCCTTGGCCTCCCAGAGTTTTGGGATTACAGGCATGAGCCACTGGGCTTGGCCCCTGACATTCTTTTTTTTTTTTTTTTTTTTTGAGATGAGTTTTGCTCTTGTTGCCCAGGCTGGAGTGCAGCGGTGCAATCTCGGCTCACTGCAACCTCAGCCTCTCAGGTTCAAGCAATCCTCCTGCTTCAGTCTCCTGCGTAGCTGGGATTACAGGCGCCTACCACCACGCGACGGCTAATTTTTTGTATTTTTAGTAGAGATGGGGTTTCACCGTGTTGGTCAGGCTGGTCTTGAACTCCTGACCTCAGGTGATTCACCGGCTTCAGCCTCCCAAAGTGCAGGGATTACAGGCATAAACCACTGCACCTGGCCGGGCTCTGACATTCTTATTTTGATTTATATTATCCTGGAGTCTTCAATTTTTTTTGCCTTGAAAACTATTGCCATTTTGTATGGTCTTTTAAAAAGTCACCATAGTACTATATGTGTGTTGAATTGATTCAAATATTACAGTAAAATTTCACAGTAATCCCATCTCCCAGAGAGGACCAATATAAGTAATTTAGTTAATTATCGTTTTTAAATCACCCCGTACTGAGTGCCTATGATATAATTGCCAATTATTGAGCTATATCTAGGAGAGAGCTGTTATTAGCCTCAAATTACAATGAGGAAACTGAGTCTTTAGAATTTAAAATTACACAACTCCTAAGTGGCCAAGTCAGGATTGAAACCCACCTCTGTCTGACTCCAAAACCGGTACTCATGTTGAGCATGAAAGAGTCATTTCTGGCCCCGTGCGGTGGCTCATGCCTGTAATCCCAGCACTATGGGAGGCCGAGGTGGGTGGATCACCTGAGGTCAAAAGTTTGAGACCAGCCTGGCCATCATGATGAAACCCTGTCTCTACTAAAAATACAGAAAATGAGCTGGGCATCGTGGCGGGTGCCTGTAATCCCGGCTACTCGGGAGGCTGAGGCAGGAGAATCGCTTGAACCCGGGAGGCAGAGGTTGCAGTGAACTGAAATTGCACCATTGCACCCAGCCTGAGCAACAAGAGTGAAACTCTGTCTCAAAAAAAAAAACAAAAGAGAGTAATTTCTTGAACACTTTAATAGCTAATATCTAAAGACTATTAACACTCACCCAAAAATAAGATTTTCTTGTCATAGGCTGGGCTTGGATGGGAGTTATTGGATTTCAGAGTCAGTATTTTTGTAAAATCTTTCTTTTTTCTTGAGATGGAGTTTTGCTCTTGTTGCCCAGGCTGGAGTACAACGGCGTGATCTTGGTTCACTGCAACCTCTGCCTCCCAGGTTCAAGCGATTCTCCTGCTTCGGCCTCCCACATAGCTGGGATTACAGGTGCCCGCCACCACATCCAGCTAATTTTTTTTATTTTTAGTAGAGACGGGGTTTCACCATGTTGACCAGGCTGGTCTCGAACTCCTGGCCTCATGATCCATCCACCTCAGCCTCCGAAAGTGCTGGGATTACAGGCATGAGCCACCGCGCCTGGCTCACTCCTTCCTTCCTTCCTTCATCTTTCCTTCCTTCCTTCTCTTTCCTTCCTTTTCTTTCTTTCTCTCTTTTTCTTTCTTTCTTTTTTCTTCCTCTCTCGCTTTCTTTCTTTTTTTTTTTTTTTTGACAGAGTCTTAGCCAGGCACAGTTACTCATGCTTGTAACCCCAGCACTTTGGGAGCCTGAGGCAGGCGGTCACTTGAACTTAGGAGTTTGAGATCAGCCTTGGAAACATGGTGAAACCCCATCTCTACAAAAAATACAAAAATTAGCCAGGCATGGTGGCACATGCCTGGAGCCCCTGCTACTTGGAAGGCTGAGGCAGGAGGATCACTTGAGCCTGGGGAGGTGGAGGCTGCAGTGAGCTGTGATCGCATGCCACCGCACCCCAGCTTGGGCGACAGACTGAGAATCTGTCTTAAAAAAAAAAAAAGTGAAAAACAGAGAATCTTGCTCTGTTGTCCATGCTGGAGTACAGTGGCACAATCTCAGCTCCCTGCAAATTCCACCTCCTGGGCTCAAGTGATCCTCCCTTCTCAGCTTCCAGAGTAGCTAGGACTATAGGTATGTGCCATCAGCCTGGCTAATTTTTGTATTTTTTTATAGAGACAGGGTTTTACCATGTTGCCCAGGCTGGCCTTGAACTCCTGGGCTCAAGCGATCTACCTGTCTTGGCCTCCCAAAGTGCTGGGATTACAGGTGTGAGCCACTGTGCCTGGTGTAAAATTTTTCATAAAGTGTATTAGTCTGCTAGAGCTGTCATAACAAAGGACTACACAATCTGGATGCCTTAAACAACAGAAATTAAATTTTGATCCAATTCTGGAGATTAGAAGTCCAAGGTCCTGATGTCTGTAGGGTCAGTTTCTTTTGAAGCCACTCTCCTGGGCTTGTAGACAGGTGTCTTCTCAGGGGTAGAGCATTTGACTGCAGATGGCTGTCTTCTCCTCCCTGTATTTTCTTTTTTTTTTTTTTCCCCTTTGTTATTGTTGTTGGAGACAGGGTCTTACTCTATCCCAGGCTGGAGTGCGGTGGTACAATCATGACTCACTACACTCTCGAACTCCTAGGCTCAAGCAATCCTCCCACTTCAGCCTCCTGAGTAGCTGGGACTACAGGTGCATACCACCATGCCTGGTTATTTTAAAAAATATCTATTTTTTGGTAGAGACCGGGGTCTCACTATGTTCCCCAGGATGGTCTTGAACTCCTGGCCTCAAGCAATTTTTTTTTTTTTTTTTTTTTTTTTTTAGACAGAGTCTTGCTCTGTCGCCCAGGCTGGAGTGTAGTGGTGTGATCTCGGCTCACTGCAACCTCTGCCTCCTGGGTTCAAGTGATTCTCCTGCCTCAGCCTCCCAAGTAGCTGGGATTATAGGTGCCCACCACAACATCCAGCTAATTTTTTTGTATTTTTAGTAAAGATGGGCTTTTACCATGTTGGCCAGGCTGGTCTCGAACCCCTGTCCTCACGTGATCCGCCCGTCTTGGCCTCCCAAAGTGCTGGGATTACAGGCATAATCCACCACACCCAGCCTCATCTCCTCTTCTTATAAGGATACCAGTCATATTGCATTAGGGTCTACACATATGACCTCATTTTACCCTAATTACTTCTTAAAGGCCCTATCTCCAAATACAGTTATATTTTCTGAGGTACTAGGGAGTTAGGACTTTTACATGAATTTTGGGGGACACAATTCAATCCGTTACATAAAGTAAACCTAAAAGTATTAATCATCATATGAAAAGAGTAGGATAATGGGATGTTGGTTTTCTGCCGAGCCATATTCACTCCTGTGGTTCAGTTTTAGAAATATTTATTAATATCCACTGTGTTCAAGTCTTGATGCTAGGGAAACAAAAACTGCAAGGACACAGGCTCTGCCTTCCAGGAGTTCACAGACTCTCTGGAGAGCCATGAGACAGACCATGGGTTCTGAAACCCCAAGGTACACTGGAGTCGCCTGGAGTGCTTATCAAAACACAGATCGCTGGGCTCCACCCCCGGAGTTTCTGATTCAGTGGGCAGGCAGTGGGCCCGATAATTTGCATTTCTGACAAGTTTCCAGGTGCTGCTGGTCCGAAGACCACACACTTTCAGAACTACCGAACTAGACATATCAAGAGCACGTGTGATGTGTATGATTGAGGTGGCACAGGTGCACAGAGACGAGACCATTTTCTGTTTTCATGCTAAAGCAGTTGAGGAGACAACTGGGAAAGTCCCTCTGCACCTGAAAATTCCCCAGGAAAAGTTCTAGTTAGCATTTAGACCTTGAACTTGTAAACATATTACAGCAAAAAATATGCATTGCCTATGCCATTAATTTGCCACTTGGTAAATACTACCTTTCGTTACTAATTATATCTCTATAAGAACCTAGGGTAACAATAAAGTCTGAGTTCACTATCCTTGTTCTGCAAATGCTATGAGAACTTTGGCAAATTACTTCCTGTCTCTGAGATTTGGTTTTGGTCATCTGTAAAATAGAGATTAGGACAGTCAAGGTGGTTTGCACCTGTAGTTCTAGCACTTTGGGAGGCCAAGGTGGGAGGATTGCTTGATGCCAGGATTTTGAGACTAGCCTGGGCAACAGAACAAGACCCCCATCTCAAATTATATTTAAAAATGTTTTTGAGACAGGTTCTCACTCTGTTGCCCAGGCTGGAGTGCAGTGGTGTGATCATAGCTCACTGCAACCTCAAGCAATCCTCCCACCTCAGCCTCCTGAGAGGCTGGGACCACAGTCGCATGCCACTACGCCTTGCTAATTTTTAAAAAATTTTGGGGGCTGGATGTGTTGGTTCAGGCCTGTAATCGTAGTACTTTGGGAAGCTGAGGCTGGTGGATCACTTGAGCTCAGGAATTTGAGACCAGCCTGGGCCACATGGCAAAACTCTGTCTCTACAAAAAATACAAAAATTAGCTGGTCATTGTGGCATGTGCCTGTAGTCCCAGCTACTTGGAAGGCTGAGGTGAGAGGATCACTCGTGCCCGAGAGGTTGAGACTGCAATGAGCCGAGGTTGTGCCACTGCACTCCAGCCTGGGCGACAGAGTGAGACTGTCTCAAAAAAACAACACACATACCCACACACCAACTCCACACACAAATTTTAGGTAGATACAGGGTCTCACTCTTGCCCAGGCTGGTCTCAAACTCCTGGGTTCAGCATTCCTCCTGCCTCGGCCTCCCAAAGTGCCGGGATTACAAGTGTGAGCCACTATGCCTGGCCTATATGTGATTCCTTAAGCAGGAATTAGGACCATATCTTTTGCCTCTGTATATAACTCCATGTATTTAGCACAGTACTTTAAACATAGTAGCTGTTCAGTAAAGGTTTATTAATTAATTGACCAAATCAGTCAGTATCACTGCAAGATACAAAAGATTCTTATGGGCCAGGTGAAGTGGCTCACGCCTATAATCCCAACACCTTGGGAGGTCGAGGCGGGCGGATCACGAGGTCAGGAGTTAGAGACCAGCCTGACCAACATGGTGAAACCCCATCTCTACTAAAAATACAAAAATTAGCTGGGCGTGGTGGCAGGTGCCTGTAATGCCAGCTACTCAGGAGGCTGAGGCAGGAGAATAGCTTAAACCCGGGAGGTGGAGGTTGCAGTGAGCCAAGATTGCGCCACTGCACTCCAGCCTGGGCGACAGATTGAGACTCCAACTCAAGAAAAAAAAAAAAAGATTCTTATCTTACTGCTATAAAGATTGTAGTTTCCCTTTAAGCTAAGGCTAACCCTTACCCCATATGCCTGGCCACTAAAAGCTCTCATTTTTAGCAGCCATTCTTCTTTGACACTACTCACCTACATGGTCAACTTTTAACATTGTTCCAATCACCATTCATTTCTTTTGCACACATATTGAAGGAAATTATCCATGAACTCTATTGTCTTTCCATTCATTACCTTACATCCTGATTGTATTTAATCTGGCTCAGAGCCCTCCATGCTCTGAGTGTGAACTCTAACACACAAAGAGCTACCCCATACATTGTCCCCCAATTAGGGCTTGTGTCTGTCTGATCTGTAGACCTTGGGCAAGTTATTTACCTTCTTGGGTAAAATAATAAGATAACTAAAGAAAAAAAGTGTCATACAGATATAAATAACATGTACAAATGTGTATGTGCCATATATATGCCCCATAAAGTGATTAGTTAGAATAGTTCTTAGCACATAGTAATTGCTCAGTTAATATTATATATTATCTCTACAAATTAGACTATATCTATTTCTCTAGGTCTTTGACTTAGGAATCTGGCAATCTTAATTTATAGAAGCACTTTTCTGAAAGAGGTAAAAATTTTCTTTGAAATCTCTCTATATATTTTTTATTTATTTTATTTTTTTGAGACGGAGGGAGCCCCAGGCTGGAGTGCAGTGGTGCAATCTCTGCTCACTGCAAGCTCTGCCTCCCGGGCTCACGCCATTCTCCTGCCTCAGCCTCCCCAGTAGCTGGGACTACAGGCGCCCGCCACCACGCCCGGCTAATTTTTTGTCCTTTTAGTTGAGACGGGGTTTCACTGTGTTAGCCAGGATGGTCTCGATCTCCTGACCTCGTGATCCGCCCGCCTCGGCCTCCCAAAGTGCTGGGATTACAGGCATGAGCCACTGCACCCTGCCTATTTTTTTATTTTTTATTTTTTTGAGACGGAGTCTCGCTCTGTGGCTCAGGCTGGAGTGCAGTGGCGCGATCTCGGCTTACTGCAAGCTCTGCCTCCCAGGCTCACGCCATTCTCCTGCCTCAGCCTCCCCAGTAGCTGGGACTACAGGCGCCCGCCACCACGCCCGGCTAATTTTTTGTCTTTTTAGTTGAGACGGGGTTTCACTGTGTTAGCCAGGATGGTCTCAATCTCCTGACCTCCTGATCCGCCCACCTCGGCCTCCCAAAGTGCTGGGATTATAGGCGTGAGCCACCACGCCCGGCTATTTTTTATTTTATATGTACTTTCTGAGACAGGGTCTTGTTCCATCACCTAGGTTGGAATGCACTGGCATGATCATAGTTTACTGCAGCTTCGACCTTCTGGGCTCAAGTAATCCTCCCACCTCAATCTCCCGAGTAGCTGGGACAAAAGACAAGTGCCACCATGCCTAGCTAATCTTTAAATTTTTTTGTAGAGATGGGGTCTTACTATGCTGCCCAGGCTGCTCCTGAACTCCTGGTCTCAACCAGTCCTCCCACCTTGGCCTCTCAAAGTGTTGGGATTACAGGCAGGAGCCACCATACCTGGTGAAGTCTATATTTTTATTTTTATTTTTTATTTTTTTTGAGATGGAGTCTTGCTCTGTCTACCAGGCTAGAGTGCAGTGGCGCAATCTCGGCTCACTGCAACCTCCGCCTTCCGGTTTCAAGTGATTCTCCTGCCTCAGCCTCCCAAGTCACTGGGATTACAGGCACCTGCCACCAGGCGCAGCTAATTTTTTTGTATTTTTACTAGAGACAGGGTTTCACCATGTTGATCAGGCTGGTCTCAAACTGCTGACCTCGTGATCCACCTGCCTCCGCCTCCCAAAGTGCTGGGATTACAGTCATGAGCCACTACGCCCGGCTATGAAGTCTATATTTTTAAAAGAGCAAACAGCTATCCATCTTTTCATTATAATATACAATAAAAGTGGGCCCGGTGCGGTGGCTCACGCTTATAATCCCAGCTCTTTGGGAGGCTGAGGTGGGCGGATCACCTGAGGTCAGGAGTTCAAGACCACCCTGGCCAACATGGTGAAACCCAATCTCTACTAAAAAATACAAAAATTAACCAGGCATGTGGCGGGTGCTTGTAATTCCAGCTACTCAGGAGACTGAGGTGGGAGAATTGCTTGAACCCAGAGGCAGAGGTTGCAGTGAGCCCAGATCGTGCCACCTGGGATCATCCTGGGAGACAGAGTGAGACTCCATCTCAAAAAATAAAAAATAAATAAATAAATAAAAGTGGCAGGGGCAAGATTGAGGCAGGGGAAATTCAGTCTCTTAGATGTGTTCTCTTTGGGGTTTAATTCAATTGTTTTAAAAGGTATCTGTTTAGCACCTCTCAAAGGGAACTATGTGGTCTTTAAAAATGTGCAATACAAGCTAGACACCATGGCATGCCTCTGTAGTCCAAGCTACTTGGGAGGCTGAGGCGGGAGGATCACTGAGCCCAGGAGTTCAAGGCCAACCTAGACAATATAGTGAGACCCCTGTCTCTCTTTTTTTTTTTTTTTGAGATGGAGTCTCGCTGTGTCGCCAGGCTGGAGTGCAGTGGCGCGATCTCGGCTCACTGCAACCTCCACCTCCCGGGTTCAAGCCATTCTCCTGCCTCAGCCTCCCGAGTAGCTGGGACTACAGGTGCATGCCACCATGCCCAGTTAATTTTTGTATTTTTTAGTAGAGACGGGGTTTCACCATGTTGGCCAGGATGGTCTCAGTCTCCTGACCTTGTGATCCACCTGCCTCAGCCTCCCAAAGTGCTGGGATTACAGGCATGAGCCACCGCGCCAGGCTGAGACCCGTCTCTTTTTTTTTTTTTTTTTGAGATGGAGTTTCGCTCTTGTTGCCCAGGCTGGAGTGCAATGGTGCAATCTCTGCTCACTGCAACCTCCGCCTCCTGGGTTCAAGCAATTCTCCTGCCTCAGCCTCCTGAGTAGCTAGGATTACAGGCATGCACCACCACGCCCGGCTAATTTTGTATTTTTAGTAGAGATGGGGTTTCTCCACATTGGTCAGGCTGGTCTCGATCTCCCGACCTCAGATGATCTGCCCGCCTCGGCCTCCCAAAGTGCTGGGATTACAGGCATGAGCCACCGTGCCTTGCCAACCCGTCTCTTTAAAAAAAATTTTTTTTACGGCCAGGCACGGTGGCTCACGCCTGTAATCCCAGCACTTTGGAAGGCCGAAGCAAGTGGATCACTTGAGGTCAGGCGTTCGAGGCCAGCCTGGCCAACGTGGTGAAACCCTGTCTCTACTAAAAATACAAAAATTAGCCAGGTGTGGTGGTATGCGCCTGTAATCTCAGCTACTCGGGAGGCTGAGGCAGAAGAATTGCTTGAACCAGGGAGGCGGGGGTTGCAGTGAGCCAAGATCATGCCATTGCACTCCAGCCTGGGCGACAGAGAAGACTCCATCTGAAAAAAAAAATTTTTTTTTTTTACAATATGATCTCTGCACTTGAAGAGCTGATGGTCTCATTGGGGAAACATGAGTCCTTTCAAAGTGGGTATTAAATTAATGCTTGCTGCTCCTTAAAATGATGCTATAATGACAGTAACTACTTAGATAACAAAAGAATATGATTGTATCAGATTAGTATTACAAGTAACTGCTGTGAGTTTAAAAACTATTGGCTGGAGTGGTCAGGGAAAGCTGTAAGAAGTCCAAATGGCCTTCAGTTGGTCTGAAAGGACAGACAGAATTTGGGGATGTGTGTGCAATTTGGGTTAAAGAATGTAATCTGTGTTGTCTTTAAGCCCTGCATCAGAGGACCAGCTATTTGCCAACATAACTCCCATTTACAAGAGTAACTTCAGATAAAACCCTGATGACTGCCAAGTCTGACTTTCTCATCTAGTGAGTGGGTGTCTCTCTAATAAAGTAGCATCACTGAACACAGAAGCAAGCTTAACCTATCCAGGGAAAAGTGACACCATTTCTATAAAGGGAACAGCACAGCTCCCTAGTTCTCCAGAGTGAGCAAGATTGTATTTAGACATGCAAAGAATCTCTGACAAAGTAATACATTGAAGGCCATAAAAAACAGCTCTGTATCTGTAGTATAGTTGTTCTAGTTCTGGCTGTGGTGAGCTGTCATGTTTGTTTTAGCAGCATGCCACCTAAAAAGAGAAGTAAAACAGAGTTGGAAAAGAGGAAGTATATGTTGAAAATGTAAGTTTCTCCAAATTATTGAGTAGATTTCGTCCAATAATGTTACTACATGTCTTTTTTATCATTTGGAACTTGGAACACTCTGTGTATTAACCACGATATAAGCAAATATTCCTAAACTATAAGCTTCAAAGGATTATTTGAATAGAGAATCTTCCTAGTTTCTTCTTCAGTAGACTGAAATAGCCAGGCACAGTGGCTGACGCCTGTAATCCCAGCACTTTTGGAGGCCGAGGTGGGCAGATCACGAGGTCAGGAGTTCGAGACCAGCCTGGCCAACATAGTGAAACCCTGTCTCTACTAAAATCACAAAAAGTAGCTGGGCATGGTGGCGCGTGCCTGTAGTCCCAGCAACTGGGGAGGCTGAGGCAGGAGAATCGCTTGAACCTGAGAGGTGGAGGTTGTGGTGAGCCGTGATCGTGCCACTGCACTCCAGCCTGGGCAACAGAGGGAGACTCTGTCTCAAAAAAAAAAAAAAAAGACTGAAATAAAATATCTGTCATCTTTTGCAACATGACATCAGGAGCTCCTACTAATTCTCTCTGGCTTCTTGCTTTTGATTTAAAAACTTTTGAGGCCGGGAGCGGTGGCTCACGCCTGTAATCCCAGCATTTTGGGAGGCTGAGGTGGGTGGATCACAAAGTGAGGAGTTCAAGACCAGCCTGGCCAAGATGGTGAAACCCTGTCTCTACCAAAAATACAACAATTAGCTGGGTGTGGTGGTGCACACCTGTAATCCCAGCTACTAGGGAGGCTGAAGCAGAAGAATCGCTTGAACCCATGAGGCAGATGTTGCAGTGAGCCGAGATCGCGCCACTGCACTCCAGCCTGGGTGACAGAGCGAGACTCCGTCTCAAAAAAAAAAAAAAAAAAAAAGAAACTTTTATTCATTCATTTCATGCGTATTGGGGAATACAAAAAAACAACACAAAGCATCTTTTGCTTCACTTCCTGACTCTACTCACCGTGTTCTCTCTCTCCTTCCTACTTACTCGTATTTTACTCATTAAGACCTGAGTTAAGATCTACATCCTCCATGGAGCCTCCCCGGACCTCTTCAGCCTCCTCTGAACCTTGACTTTGTGGATGATGCTATCAGAACTTAATCACAGAAGACCTTGTTAAATCTCTTTTTTTGTTTGTATGTTAGAGACAGGGTCTGACTCTGTCGCCCTGGTTGGAGTGTAGTGGCACGATCAAGGCTCACAGCAACCTCTGCTACCTGGGCTCAAGCAGATCCTCCTCCCGAGCTCAGCCTCCCGAGCAGCTGGGACTACAGGTATATGCCATCACATCCAGCTAATTTTTGTATTTTTTGTAGAGACGGGGTTTCACCATATTGGCCCACCTGGTCTTTAACTCCTGGGCTCAAGTGATCCACCAGCCTCAGCCTCCCAAAGTGCTGGGATTACAGTCATGAGCCACTGTGCCCGGCCGTTAAATCTCTTAAACTCATTTTGTGTTCCTTGGAAAGGCAGAATGGCATGGTGGGTAGGAGATTGCTCTGCCACTTAACAGTGTAGCCTTGGGCAAATTACTTATCTCTGTTCCGTTTATTTATCTGTAAACCAATGAAGATAGTAAAAATGCCCACCTCATAGGATTTATATGGGGATATAAATAGAACAATGCCTAGCACATCATTGATGCTCAATATTGGCTTTTAGTACCCTATCTCTTTTGCCCCTCCCGCCAATGATTTTCATTTCTTAGCCTTTATGTTCAATTAAAGGATGATGGTTTCTGCCTTCAATATATTTATAGTCTAGTTGTAGAGATGAGACAAATACAGAAAAATAAGACTATATACTATTAGATGACAAATTAGATACACAATAAAGAAATGTTTTCATCACTTTCTTTGTAGTGCTTACAAGGATGTTCCATGAAATCTTTTTTGCACTTTTTTTATTTTACCTTGATGAACTTTGTGGCTTTTCCAAAGTCTTACATCAGCAATTTTATTTTACTTTTAAAAGATGGTAGACAATCCCCTCACCAGCTCCTAGATAGAAGACATTCTCTCTCTCTCCCTCACACACACACACACACACACACACACACACACACGCACAGACACGATGGCCCTTTTCTTTGTTAGTTAGACATGCAGCGTTTTTGTTCATGTGTCTGCCTGGTTGTTCTGATCTGAGGGATACATTTTCTTAGTCTTCTAATAAGGTATTTTATAACAGTCTCCAGGCTTCCTGTAGCCTTTATATGTTCTAAGCTACTCCTTTTTATATTCATCTATCCAGCAATACTCAGGAACTATAAAATCTTTGTGTATAATGCCTTCAGTAAATATTATTTTTACTCAAATTGTCAGTATCTAATGTGCAAAATTCCAAAAATAAATCTAGATTACTTTTATTTCCTCTGAAAAACAAAACAAATGAATTGGTAATAATTTAAATATACTTTATTGTAAAATAGCCCTTTCTTTTCCCAACCTTGCTGGCTAAAATAGATTTATAAAACTGAAATAGGCCAGGCGCAGTGGCTCATGCCTGTGATCCCAGAACTTTGGGAGGCCGAGGCGAGCGGATCACGAGGTCAAGAGATCGAGACCATCCTGGCCAACATGGTGAAACCCCGTCTCTACTAAAAATACAAAAATTAGCTGGGCGTGGTGGCGCATGCCTGCAGTCCCAGCTACTCCGGAGGCTGAGGCAGGAAAATCCCTTGAGCCCAGGGGCCAAAGGTTGCAGTGAGCTGAGATCGCACAACCGCACTCCAGCCTGGCGATAGAGACTCCGTCTTAAAAAAAAAATGAAATAAATATCATATCCTTATCAAGGACAAGAACTAGCTAGGCATGGTGCCTCACACCTGTAATCCCAGCACTTTGGGAGGCCAAGGCGGATGGATCACGAGGTCAGGAGCTCGACACCATCCTGGCTAACACGGTGAAACCCTGTCTCTACTAAAAATACAAAAAATTGGCTGGGCTTGGTGACACACGCCTATAGTCCCAGCTACTTGGGAGGCTGAGGCAGGAGAATTGCTTGAACCCGGGAGGTGGACGTTGCAGTGAGCCGAGATCGCACCACTACACTCCAGCTTGGGCGATAGGGTGAGACTCTGTCTAAAAAAAAAAAAAAAAAAAAAAAAAAAAAGGCCAAGAACTAGTTCTAGTGACTACATAGATTCCTTGATCATTCTGAAATTGGGACATGGTGGATTTCCTAAGTGTCTCCCACTATCACAATGATTTCAATTTAAAAAGGTTTTCAGCTGGGTTTAGTGGCTTATGCCTGTAATACCAGCATTTTCGGCCGGGCGCGGCGGTTCACGCCTGTAATCTCTGTAATCTCAGCACTTTGGAGGCCTAGGCGGGTGAATCACCTGAGGTCAGGAGTTTGAGGGCAGCCTGACCAACATGGTGAAAACCCGTCTATACTAAAAATACAAAAATTAGCCGGGTGTGGCGGCAGGCTCCAGTAATCCCAGCTACTCTGGAGGCTAAGGCAGGGAGAATGGCTTGCATCCGGGAGGCAGAGGTTGCAGTGAGCCAAGATTGCGCCACTGCACTCCAGCCTGGTAGACAGAGCAAGACTCCATCTCAGACAACAACAACAACAAAGAAACGCATTTTGGGAGGCCAAGACTGATGGATCACTTGAACCCAGGAGTTTGGGACCAGCCTTGGCAAAATGGTAAACCTCATCTCTACAAAAAATGTGAAAATTATCGGCCGGGTGCGGTGGCTCAGGCCTGTAATCCCAGCACTTTGGGAGGCCGAGGCGGGCGGATCACGAGGTCAGGAGATCGAGACCATCCTGGCTAACATGGTGAAACCCCGTCTCTACTAAAAATACAAAAAATTAGCTGGGCGTGGTGGTGGGCGCCTGTAGTCCCAGCTACTCGGGAGGCCGAGGCAGGAGAATGGCGTGAACCCGGGAGGCGGAGCTTGCAGTGAGCCGAGATCACTCCACTGCACTCCAGCCTCGGTAGCAGAGCGAAACCCCGTCACACACACAAAAAAAGAACAAGTGAAAATTAGCCCGGCGTGGTGGCTCACCCCTGTAATTCCAGCTAGGTGGGAGGCTCAGGCAGCAGGATCGCTTGGGCGCAGGTCTAGGCTGCAGTGCGCCGTGATCCATTGTGCCACTGCACTCCGGACCCTCGGTGACCAGAGTGAGACTTTGTCTCAAAAATAAATAAATAAAAATTAAAACAAAAAAAGAAATATTCAGTTTTTGTTTTGTAAAGACAGGGTTTCCCTATGTTGCCCAGGCTGCTCTCCTGAGCTCAAGCAATCCGCCTGCCTCGGCCTCCCAAAGTGCTGGGATTACAGGCGTGAGCCACCATGCCTGGTCTTTTTAAATTTAGAATGTTTCCTGTCTGGCCAGGCGCGGTGGCTCATGCCTGTAATCCCAGCACTTTGGGAGGCTGAGGCCGCCGGATCACTTGAGGTCAGGAGTTTGAGACCAGCCTGGCCAACCTGATGAAACCCGTCTCTACTAAAAATACAAAAATTAGTCGGGTGTTGTGGCGGACGCCTGTAATCCCAGCTACTTGGGAGGCTGAGGCAGGAGAATCGCTTGAACCCGGGAAGGGGAGGCTGCAGTGACCCGAGATCATGCCACTGCACTCCAGCCTGGGCGAGAGTGGGACTCTGTCTCAAAAACAAATAAACTAAATAAAATAAATAAAAAACTGAGTAAATTTTTTTTAGGAGATAAATGAGTGATGCAGATTCAATACGTCTCTACCTGATTAATTATAAATAGCGTATAGAGTCTTAGTTATACAATCCTAGTTATATAAATGCATTGACTAGACTTACAGACACTTTAAAAAATTGTGTACCGATATCACTTTCAAACTTTCTTCTAAACTTGTTTTTTAAAAAAATTTCGTGACTACAGAACTTGCTGAAGTCATTGTTTTTTTGTTTTTTTTTTTTGCATAAGCATATAGTCCCTGGATGAAGTCATTCCTTTGACAATGACTTGATTAAACCCATATCAGGCAGAATATGAAAACCACCTAAGGATTAATTTGGATATTGTTCAAATTAATATTAATAAATGCTCCTCTTCCCAGAGAACTGTTAGCATAATTGTGGCCTTTTATCCTTCCAAAAGCACTTGTCATTTAATTATTAGGGTGATTTTTCTGATTCTTTGTTAGATTCTTTGAGATAGCACAAATAGTGCTAATTTTATTAAGACTATATTTCGATAAATCAAAACATCAAGTTCCCTACTCTCGAGGAGTAACTTTTGACCCACAACACATCTGAATGTTTACTAATTATCTTTTAAAGCAGTTTTAAGTAAATCAAAGCTGTTTGCCAAGCAAGGTCCATGTTTTGTAACTTCCAGCTGTGAAGCCCCCACTATACAAAGTAGATATATTAAATGTTAATCACTTTAGCTCTAATTAAATATTTAGTCCTTCAAAGACCTAGAAAAAGTGAAAAAGGTTGAAGTTGATACATATTTTTTTTTCTAAAAGGCCTAAAAGATCTACTAGAAACAACTATTTTAAATCACATCTCTCCCCAAATGGTTAAAAATCGAACTATTAATCCAGTAGTTTACCTTTGGTACCTTCTAGGTGTAAGACCGTTTGGGCTGGGCGCGGTGGCTCACGCCTGTAATCCCAGCACTCTGGGAGGCCAAGGCAGGTGGATCACAAGGTCAGGAGATCGGGACCACCATGGCTAACACGGTGAAACCCCGTCTCTACTAAAAATATAAAAAATTAGCCAGGCGTGGTGGCAGGCGCCTGTAGTCCCAGCTACTCGGGAGGCTGAGGCAGGAGAATGGCGTGAACCTGGGAGGCAGAGCTTGCAGTGAGCCAAGATTGCGCCACTGTACTCCAGCCTGGGAGACAGAGCGAGACTCCGTCTCAAAAAAAAAAAAAAAAAAAAAAAGGCCGTTTTAAAAAACATCATCATCATAACCACGATCAACATTATTGCCATCATCATTGCTAATATTTATTAGAAGTTTACTCTGTACTGGGTTATATGCTTTACAAACAAGAGTTTTATTTGCTCCTTACAACAACCCTATGAGGTAGATGCTGTTATTATCTCCATTCTGTCTAAAGCTTAATAAGGTTAAGTAACTTGACCAATGCCTAACTAGTAGCTGCCAGATCCCGGAATTGAAACCAGGCTAACTTAGTTTAAAGCCCTTGCTCCCAACTTTTATGTTCCCGAAGCCCACTTAATTCATTTAAATTTGGTATAAATTGACTTTAATTATGGCCTTTTTGTTAGAATCCATTATAGTCTTCTCTTTTATCAACAAATGTTGGATAAAGTATGCATTCAGGGAGGCTGGGCATGGTGGCTCACACCTGTAATCCAAGGAGGCTGGGCATGGTGGTTCACACCTGTAATCCCAGCACTTTGGGAGGCCGAGGCAGGCGGATCATAAGGTCAGGAGTTCGAGACCAGCCTGGCCAACATGGTGAAACTCCGTCTCTACTAAAAATACAAAAATTAGCTGGGCATGGTGGCGGGCGCTTGTAATCCCAGCTACTTGGGAGGCTGAGGCAGGAGAACCAATTGTTTGAACCCGGGAGATGGAGGTTGCAGTGAGCCGAGATAGTGCCATTGCACTCTAGCCTGGGTAACAGGGCGAGATTCCGTCTCAAAAAAAAAAAAAAAAAGGGCATTCAAGGAATAGGAAGACAAAGTATAATGGAAAAGTAAATGAACAAAAAGGATTTAAAAAAACAAATCCCAACTGTCAGATTAGTGGACAGTGAACCAATGCTCTGAGTTTGTTCATCAATCTGTGGTAGAACTACAATTGTTTCCTAAAGAGTGGAAAGGCTTTGAATAAAAGTGGAGAGGTAGAGAGGGCTCTCCCAGGACAGGTTGATTGCTTCCGCAAAGGCAAAGGGTCTGTAAAGTGCTAGGCGAGTGGGAACAAGTGGGAATAGTTCTGTTTGACTACATTTGAGGGTTTGAGAAAGGAAAGGGAGGGTAGAAGGGATGGAAGTGGGAATCACATATGTTTAATGATGTCTTGTTCGGTGCCAAGGACAGTTTTAGACCCTGATAAGCGGAAAGCTTTGAATACTCAGGAGGTGAATTTGGGTCATTTCATCTCCTCTCTTAGCTGCTGTATGACCCTGTGCCATCCTATTTATGTTTCATTTTCCTATCTGCAAAAAGGGAGTAATTCTTGTTCCCTTGGGTTTTCTCCTAGTCATAAAAAATGAATGAGTTCGGCCACAGTACACAAACAAAAGGAAAATATGTAATATTTTGTAGGATAAATTCATAAAAGTTGTGGAGGATCTGGGCACTTTTATAAAGCAAGCACTGTAGAAAACTTTCAAAGGAAACATTTAAATTCACTAATGACAGCTATAGGGATCCTGATTTTTCCTTTAAATGGCAGGCACTTCAAAAAATTAAAATAGAATGTAGTTAGCTTTCAATTACTTAGGCCACTGACAATTCAATTTATGGATTATATAGTATTTTAATTTACTCATTTCACACGTCGTTATCAACTCTACATGAAGTTTAAAAGGACAAAGGATGCAAGTGGAATTGGTCAGTGTTCCGGGTTATTTCCAAGGGAGGCAGAGGGTGGGGGGTTTCCTTTGAGACAAGACTTGGGGTTGGCCAATAATTGCTGGTATTGCCTGCCTGGTAATAACAGGCTGATGAAAAGGTGACTACAACGTGAAAACTGGTTAAATCAAGCGCACCCTCCCACCCTCGTTTTAGATGAGGAATTTTCCGCCCTCACAGAAGGGGCTGAGGCAGCATCTGGCATCACAACACTAACATTTGCTTCGTGATTTCCTCTTTACCCGGCCCTTTGACACACATCCCTTCCCAGAAATCAGGATTCGCTGGTGCTTTTGCATTTCTAAAATGGGAATCCCGTGGCTGAGCTTTTAGCCGGCCGGAACGACTGAGGGCTGCATCCCTTTCCCGCAGGAGCGGGGCTCCCGCCTCCAGTTCTGTTCCAGGCCTGACTCCTCCACTCCCTCCGTGACTCATGTCCTGCGGATCCTTCGCCCCCGACGCGCCCCCCAACACACAAACCCCCAGAATCCGCCCCCAGCCTACAGCGCGACGTCAGCCCGCCCCAGCCGACTTGGAGGTCTCGGGTCTGAGTCACACAGAAAGACCACCCTCGTCGGCATCCCCACACACAGTCCGACACCCGGCGCGCCGGCCTCCCCGCCTGACACACTAACGCCCGTCGTCTCCGCGCAACTTGTTATGCTCCGGCTCGAGCCCTTGACCCAAAACCCTCAGCGAAACGGAGAGCCGCAGAGCCGGCCTCGGGCGGCCTTTGATGGCTTTGTTATTGTTTGGGTTTGAATCGATACGCCCCTCCCCATCCTTCCTCCCTCGCGGCCCTACACCCAGCTCCCGCCTCCCCTCACGCCCCGCGCCCCTCCCCCTCCATTTTGGCGCCTTTTCCTTCCCGCCACGTCGTGGCGGCGTAGAGACCATTCTGACCGCGAGAGCTGGGCGGGGCGGGGGCGGGGCGCGCCGAGTTATGCAGATCAATCGGCCTCTGGTTGGCTGGAGTAGCGCTGGCAGGGGCGGGGCCGGGGCGCGGCCACAGAGCGCGCGGGGCGGGGGCCGAGGGGAGTCGCCCAGTCCCGCCGCTTCCCCACCCCCTCTCCTCCCTCGGCCGGCCCGGCAGCCCTGCTCCCCGCCTTGGCCTCCCGGAGAGGCCCCGCCCCGTCCCCGCCCGCCGCGCCCTCCCCGCGCGCCCTCCCCGCCGGCGCGCTCCTCCCCTTTACTCCTGGCTGCGGGGCGAGCCGGGCGTCTGCTGCAGCGGCCGCGGTGGCTGAGGAGGCCCGAGAGGAGTCGGTGGCAGCGGCGGCGGCGGGACCGGCAGCAGCAGCAGCAGCAGCAGCAGCAGCAACCACTAGCCTCCTGCCCCGCGGCGCTGCCGCACGAGCCCCACGAGCCGCTCACCCCGCCGTTCTCAGCGCTGCCCGACCCCGCTGGCGCGCCCTCCCGCCGCCAGTCCCGGCAGCGCCCTCAGTTGTCCTCCGACTCGCCCTCGGCCTTCCGCGCCAGCCGCAGCCACAGCCGCAACGCCACCCGCAGCCACAGCCACAGCCACAGCCCCAGGCATAGCCTTCGGCACAGCCCCGGCTCCGGCTCCTGCGGCAGCTCCTCTGGGCACCGTCCCTGCGCCGACATCCTGGAGGTTGGGATGCTCTTGTCCAAAATCAACTCGCTTGCCCACCTGCGCGCCGCGCCCTGCAACGACCTGCACGCCACCAAGCTGGCGCCCGGTGAGAGCACCCCCCGCCTCCGGCCCGGGGATGCGGGGCGGCGGCGGGATCTCCTGGGTGGGGAGCTGGCGGCTCGCGGGCCGGCACTGAGTCCCCGTGCTTCCCCCTTTCCTAGGCAAGGAGAAGGAGCCCCTGGAGTCGCAGTACCAGGTGGGCCCGCTACTGGGCAGCGGCGGCTTCGGCTCGGTCTACTCAGGCATCCGCGTCTCCGACAACTTGCCGGTGAGTGGGCGCCCCGCGGTGGGGAGGGCGCGCCGGGCGGGGGGCGCACGGGCGTGCTTTAGCCCGGACGAGGGAACCTGACGGAGACCCTGGGCTTCCAGGTGGCCATCAAACACGTGGAGAAGGACCGGATTTCCGACTGGGGAGAGCTGGTGAGTGCCCTGCAGGAGCGACCCCCAGGATGAGTGGGTGGGGTGAGGGGCGCCCCCGACTCCCGCCCTAACGCGGCCCCCTCGCCCCTGCAGCCTAATGGCACTCGAGTGCCCATGGAAGTGGTCCTGCTGAAGAAGGTGAGCTCGGGTTTCTCCGGCGTCATTAGGCTCCTGGACTGGTTCGAGAGGCCCGACAGTTTCGTCCTGATCCTGGAGAGGCCCGAGCCGGTGCAAGATCTCTTCGACTTCATCACGGAAAGGGGAGCCCTGCAAGAGGAGCTGGCCCGCAGCTTCTTCTGGCAGGTGCTGGAGGCCGTGCGGCACTGCCACAACTGCGGGGTGCTCCACCGCGACATCAAGGACGAAAACATCCTTATCGACCTCAATCGCGGCGAGCTCAAGCTCATCGACTTCGGGTCGGGGGCGCTGCTCAAGGACACCGTCTACACGGACTTCGATGGTGAGCCAGGCCCGGGAGGGAGCTGCCCAGGTGACTCGGCCCGGCCCGGCCCAGTCCGGAGGCCTCGGCCAGTCTCCCGCGCCAGCCTTTTGTAAAGGTCATTGGGCCGCCTGGCTCGATGCTAGCCGGGGTGGGACGCAGGAGAGCCTCCCAGCGTAGTAAAGCCGGGGATTTTCAGCCAGCTGAACCTGTAATGTTTCTGGCATGATTTTATTCTTCAAGTGGAATTCAGTTAGTTCCAGGCTTTCCCGATGAATAAGAGGTTGTGGGCAACCGGCGGTAGCCCAGATTTTTCTAAAGTCTGACCCAGTTTCCCCGCCAGTAAAAGGATGGGGGCGGGGGAAGAGGTGGAAATTGATGCCGGTTTTGTAATTTTTGTTTTATTTTATAAGGGAGTTAGTTTTCTGTATGGTAGTTTTAGAGCTGCAGTTCTTAACTCCTTTCTGATCTAGGGAAGGTTAAGGAATAGGAACTATATTATTACTGGTGGCTTTTTTTTTTCTTTAGTGTTAAGGGGAGAGAGAGTCAGGAATGAATGTTGTGAAATAAGATCTGTCGCTGGTTTGAAAATTAGTTGGGTGTCTCCGCAGAGAGGATGAAAACCTATCCTAGGGAGGGGCTTGGAGCGGGTTCTTTCAGAAAAGAAGGAATGGAGAGCCTGAGATCAAAGCTGCGGAGGGTGGGTCATCATCTGAGCGGCTTAACCTAACAAACGACAGCCTTTCAAAACTTGTGACTCGGGCTTGTGGTTTATGTTTATTTGCCCTTGGAGGACGCTGGGTTGGGCTGCATTTTTTGTATTTAACAGTTAATGGCTGGCCGGGTCCTCCCATGTTTTTTCTTTCAAGTCTTTGCTGCCCCCTGGTGAGCACCAGCGGCATGGCCCCTCCTTTTTCTTTTACTACCCAAAGTTTGTAAACAGGAATCACGTGGTCTGAAACCAACCCTGCAGCTCTGTCTACCTTTCCAGTCTAGGGAGGAAAGGGTGTGGGTGTCTGCTCCTGCTTGCATCGGGTGGGGAGGAAGGCCTCCCAAAGGGCACCCTGACTTAGGATGTTGTGCAAGCATCCTTGCTTGGATCCTGTCGGCCATGAGAATCTCACCCGGGCTCCTGGGCAGTGGTGAATGCAATTTAAGGATAGTCTATGAGATACCTTTCTTGGTTGTGCAGACATGCATCCCTTCATCCTTCGCAGGCGGTCCTGCCTCACAGGGCCTCAAGTTTTGGGTCTGCGGCCAGCTGTGTTTGTTTCTTGGAGCAGTTCATAAAGAATTTCAGTTTATGGTTTGGGCTAGCAGAGAGGTGGGTAATGCTTTGGGTTGGAGAGATGCCGTAAGGTGCGCCTCCACTCTCCTTAGCCCAGAGGGAAAAATGGAGTTCACCTAGCTCCTGAGAGAAGGGATTTTTTTTTTTTTTAAAAGAAAGAGTTATATATACCACCCAGCTTCTTTGTGCTTGTTTTTGCTAAAAGTGTGTTTTCTCTTCTATTCCCTTGGCTCACAGGGACCCGAGTGTATAGCCCTCCAGAGTGGATCCGCTACCATCGCTACCATGGCAGGTCGGCGGCAGTCTGGTCCCTGGGGATCCTGCTGTATGATATGGTGTGTGGAGATATTCCTTTCGAGCATGACGAAGAGATCATCAGGGGCCAGGTTTTCTTCAGGCAGAGGGTCTCTTCAGGTAACTGATGGAAACCCCTGGCCATGGGGTTATTGGTCTTAATGGGGCTATTAGTCTTCATGGGACAGTCTTTGAAATTCTGGAGAGCTTCACTCTCCAGTAGATTCTGTCACCCTTGGCTTAGAATTGTAGGTGAGTGATTTACACTTGAGCTGGCCTCATAAATCACATGGTTTGCACTTGAGCTTTCCTTGGGAGGTCAGAGGAAGGCATGTGTGAGCATATTAAGAAGAAAAGACAATCTGGCTTCTCCAAAAACTTTTTTAAAGGTACCAACAGAAACCTGATAATTCCTGGCTGTTTTGCCAGGGAGTAAAAAGTTAAAAGCTCTTTTAGCATCTTCTTTAAGGCAGCAGCTCCAAATATTTTGGTACCAGTGACCTCACTGTGGGTGGTGTTCGTGTTTGTAAGTTGGTAGGTGAATTGAATCATTTCATCATGCTCAGTGGTGTCTCATCAAAATCTCTTGTCATCATCCTTCCTATTTCTGGTGAGTGGGTGTTGTGGGAAAGGCCCCCACTATTGAAGTTTGAAAACCACAGGTTTAAGAGGGGAGTCAGTTTTTAGCTGAAAGCAGACTGGAGGACCCAGATATTAGTCAATACCTTCCTATTGAAGGGTACCCAGCACAGTGTTCTAGAAAATGCTTGGCCTCCCTGGGACCCCAGACTTGTGGGCCTCTGAGAAGCAAATGGGGAAGACCTTTGCAGTGTAAAAACAAGTTGAGTCATTCATAACCTCGTCTATCCTCCTTTCTGCAGAATGTCAGCATCTCATTAGATGGTGCTTGGCCCTGAGACCATCAGATAGGCCAACCTTCGAAGAAATCCAGAACCATCCATGGATGCAAGATGTTCTCCTGCCCCAGGAAACTGCTGAGATCCACCTCCACAGCCTGTCGCCGGGGCCCAGCAAATAGCAGCCTTTCTGGCAGGTCCTCCCCTCTCTTGTCAGATGCCCGAGGGAGGGGAAGCTTCTGTCTCCAGCTTCCCGAGTACCAGTGACACGTCTCGCCAAGCAGGACAGTGCTTGATACAGGAACAACATTTACAACTCATTCCAGATCCCAGGCCCCTGGAGGCTGCCTCCCAACAGTGGGGAAGAGTGACTCTCCAGGGGTCCTAGGCCTCAACTCCTCCCATAGATACTCTCTTCTTCTCATAGGTGTCCAGCATTGCTGGACTCTGAAATATCCCGGGGGTGGGGGGTGGGGGTGGGTCAGAACCCTGCCATGGAACTGTTTCCTTCATCATGAGTTCTGCTGAATGCCGCGATGGGTCAGGTAGGGGGGAAACAGGTTGGGATGGGATAGGACTAGCACCATTTTAAGTCCCTGTCACCTCTTCCGACTCTTTCTGAGTGCCTTCTGTGGGGACTCCGGCTGTGCTGGGAGAAATACTTGAACTTGCCTCTTTTACCTGCTGCTTCTCCAAAAATCTGCCTGGGTTTTGTTCCCTATTTTTCTCTCCTGTCCTCCCTCACCCCCTCCTTCATATGAAAGGTGCCATGGAAGAGGCTACAGGGCCAAACGCTGAGCCACCTGCCCTTTTTTCTGCCTCCTTTAGTAAAACTCCGAGTGAACTGGTCTTCCTTTTTGGTTTTTACTTAACTGTTTCAAAGCCAAGACCTCACACACACAAAAAATGCACAAACAATGCAATCAACAGAAAAGCTGTAAATGTGTGTACAGTTGGCATGGTAGTATACAAAAAGATTGTAGTGGATCTAATTTTTAAGAAATTTTGCCTTTAAGTTATTTTACCTGTTTTTGTTTCTTGTTTTGAAAGATGCGCATTCTAACCTGGAGGTCAATGTTATGTATTTATTTATTTATTTATTTGGTTCCCTTCCTATTCCAAGCTTCCATAGCTGCTGCCCTAGTTTTCTTTCCTCCTTTCCTCCTCTGACTTGGGGACCTTTTGGGGGAGGGCTGCGACGCTTGCTCTGTTTGTGGGGTGACGGGACTCAGGCGGGACAGTGCTGCAGCTCCCTGGCTTCTGTGGGGCCCCTCACCTACTTACCCAGGTGGGTCCCGGCTCTGTGGGTGATGGGGAGGGGCATTGCTGACTGTGTATATAGGATAATTATGAAAAGCAGTTCTGGATGGTGTGCCTTCCAGATCCTCTCTGGGGCTGTGTTTTGAGCAGCAGGTAGCCTGCTGGTTTTATCTGAGTGAAATACTGTACAGGGGAATAAAAGAGATCTTATTTTTTTTTTTATACTTGGCGTTTTTTGAATAAAAACCTTTTGTCTTAACTCGTGGCTTCTAATCGTCTGTGCGGAGGCATTGCTAACCTGCATTTATTGAGCATTTGGTAAGTGCCAAAGAATTGTAGGAGAAAGGAATTCTCAGCCTAAATCTGGCTTCCTTCAACATTGGGATTTCTAGGATAGTCATCTTCCTGAAACGAATGTATGGTCAAGGGGTAGGACCAGTATTGTCAAAATTTGGGCAATATCTGGCATGGGAGGCCTAATAAAATAACCTTTTCCAGATTACAATTTTAAAGCTATGCAAATAGGATAGATGTGACAATTTTCAAGTGTTCAATAGCCATTTATGGCTAGTGGCCACCTCATATAAAACATCATTGCAGAAAGTTCTATTGGATGGGGCTGATCTAGAGATAACAAATACATACCTATTACCAAACTAACCCTTGAAGCTTTTATCAGTTGTCTGCCACTGATAGTAAAACATTTTGAGCATGTCCCCTTGGTACACGTGAAGTTTATTGAAAAACTATTGCCTCTATTACTCTCGGTTCCTGATTCAAGTTTCCTTCACCTTTAGTGTGAGGTTTAGTTTCTTTTCGAGACTGAGTCTCTGTCAACCAGGCTGGACCAGCTGGCGTGCCACTGCCAGTGGCACGATCTCGGCTCACTGCAACTTTCACTTCCCGGGTTCAAGCAGTTCTACCTCAGCCTCCTGAGTAGCTGGGATTACAGGCGCCCGCTGCCACGCCCAGCTAATTTTTGTATTTTAGTAGAGACAGGGTTTTACCATGTTGGCCAGGCTGGTCTCGAGCTCCTTGACCTTATGATCCGCCTGCTTCAGCCACCCAAAGTGCTAGGATTACAGGTGTGAGCCATCGTGCTCCGCAGCCTTTTTTTTTTTTTTTTTGAGATGGAGTGTCGCTCTGTTGCCCAGGCTGGGGTGCAGTGGTGCAATCTAGGCTCATCGCAAGCTCCGCCTCCCGGGTTTTAAGTGATTATCCTGTCTCAGCCTCCCGAGAAGTTGGGATTACAGGCATGTGCCACCAGGCCAGCTAATTTTGTATTAGTAGATACGGGGTTTCGCCATGTTGGCCAGGCTGGTTTGGAACTCCTGACTTCAAGTGATCTGCCTGCCTTGGCCTCCCAAAGTGCTGGGATTACAGGCGTGGGCCACCGCGCCTGGCCTAGTCTTTAACAATAGTATAATTTATTATGCAGCATAGAAAAAATAATAGAACAGTGTGGTGACACTAAAGTCGTGACCAGATAAGACCCAGTCTACAAAAAATAAGTGAAAATTAGCTGAGCGTGGTGGCATACACCTGTAGTCCTACCTATGCAGGAGGCTGAGGCAGGAGGATCGCTTGAACCCAGGAGCTCCAAGGTTGCAGTGAGTTATGATCACGCTATTGCACTCCAGCCTGGGCAACAGGTAACCCCACTTAAAACACACACACACACACACACACACACACACACAATAGTGGATGGGTAGAAATGTGAGTTTGACTTAAGGTTTCCCCCTCTGATGTGTTTGACAAAGGGCTAATATTGGGAGTAGGTGAAATGTTAGCTCTGCCATTTTCTTACTGCTTATTCTTGAATAATTAGTATTTTTAGTCCATGGTTTCTTTGCAGGGATCTGTTTAATAGGCCCTTTGTCCATTTTGTGTGAGTTTAGTTAAACTGGATGGCAAGACCCATGAATCCACTTTGTACGTGTGGCCTGAATACATCCTGATATTTTGAAAGCACACTGGAGTGCCATTGTCAATTCATATATTAAGTATTGGTAAATGTTGGTTTCTTGTTTCTTTATAAATATCCACAGTTATAATACTCCCTCCCTGGGGGTCATCATGCTCCCAACCCTCAATGCATCCACACACCCTTTGGACACTGGCCCATATGCACCCTCGAGGTTGCTGGAGGGTGCAGACTATAATACCCCTCACTCCTCATTGGGTTCTGGTGTATGTCTACCCTTAAGCTTAGACTAGATCCCATACCTCAGCTCAGCCCCCATGTGGCTATAAAGAGGAAGGAAGGATGTCTTGGTTCTGGGGGGCTGATTTTCTGAGGTTCCCCTTTTCTCTAATCTCTCCCATCCCCCACACAACATACACACACTACCAACATCTTGGAGCCTGAGGGTTGCATGCTTCGTCCTTTCCAGTAAAGCTGACACTTGGATAATTAAAAGTTGCCGCAAACTATTAACGAAATCAGGCAAAGCCCCACCCTTCTCTTTCTCGAAGTGAGTTTCTGGCAGTTTCCCCATCTAATGAGACTGCTGCGGGGGAATAGAAGAAAGTATCTCTGAATAAAGACAGATCGTGCTCCTGTTGGATGCAAGAGATTAAGAGTTTTAGGGGGAGGGTGAAAGGTCATATTTAATCTCTTCTCAGGGGCAGTTTGACATCTAGCGTGGAAAGGGAATCAGATAACCAATAAGTCTGCGGGGGATCAATGTCATGGCCAGAGGAATATAGAGAGCAATGGTTAAAAGCATTGACTTGGGAATCAGCCTTGAGCTTACTTATCTAGAAACCTTGGGCAAGTTATTACACCCTCTAAAACTAATCTCTAAACAGAGATACTCCTGGATTGGATTATTAGGAGACTGGGTTAAATAACAGATATACTTACATACAGAAAAACTACTATCTCCCGCTTACGGATGCATACACATGTAGCAAAAGTACAAAGAAGTACAGGGTGGGGTAGGGTGTGGTAGTTCACACCCATAATCCCAGCACTTTGGGAAGACAAGGAGGGATGATCACTTGAGCCCAGGAGTTTGAGACTAGCCTGGCCAACATGACAAAACCCCATCTCTACAAAAAAATAGAAGCATTAGCCGGACGTGGTGGTGCGTGCCGGTAGTCCCAGCTACTTGGGAGGCTGAGGTGGGAGGATCAATTGAGTCCGGGAGATGGAGGCTGCAGTGAACCAAGATGGCACCACAACATTCTAGCTTGGGTGAAAGAGCGAGACCCTGTCTCAAAAAAACAAAACAAAACAAAACAAACAAAAAAGTACAGGGTGATAATAAGTTTCCAGAGTCAGGGAAGTGGTTATTACCTTTGGGGAGAAGGGAGGGAGGTTGTGATTTGTGGAAAGAGACCTTCAACTATTTTGGCAATGCTTTATTCCATAAACTAGATGGTATGAGTAAGGTGTTTGTATTATTCTTTTCAACTTTTGGGTTGTTTTAAATGTTTTATGATAAACTTTATTTTTAAAAATTTTTCTCTGGCTGGGCGCGGTGGCTCACACCTGTAATCCCAGCACTTTGGGAGGCCGAGGCAGGCGGATCACAAGGTCAGGAGATCGACACCATCCTGGCTAACACAGTGAAACCCCATCTCTACTAAAAATACAAAAACTTAGCCAGGCATGGTGGCATGTGCCCATAGTCCCAGCTACCCAGGAGGCTGAGGCAAGAGAATCGCTTGAACCCAGGAGGCGGAGGTTGCAGTGAGCCAAGATAGCTAGCCACTGCACTCCAGCCTGGGCGACAGAGTGAGACTCCGTCTCAAAAACAAAAAAAATTTTTTTTCTTTGTTCTTTCTTTTTAAACATTTATTTATTTATTTTAGCTGGGAGTGGTGGCTCACGCCTGTAATCCCAGCACTTTAGGAGGCTGAGGCGGGTGGATCATCTGAGGTCAGCAGTTCAAGACCAGCCTGACCAACATGGTGAAACCCAGTCTCTACCAAAAATACAAAATTAGCTGGGCATGGTGGTGCATGTCTATAGTCCCAGCTACTCAGGAGGCTGAGGCAGGAGAATCACTTGAATCCAGGAGGTGGAGGCTGCAGTGAGCCACGATCACGTATAGCCTGGGCGACAGAGCGAAACTCTGTCTCAAAAAAAATATATATATTTATATATATAATATATAATATATATTATATATTATATTATATATTATACATAAATTATATATTATATATATAATATATAATATATAATATATATTATATATTATATATTATATATTATACATAAAATATATATAATATATATTATATATTATATTATATATTATATATAAAATATATATATAATATATATAATATTATTTATTTATTTTGAGACAGGGTCTCACTCTGTCACCCAGACTGGAGTGCAGTGGCATAATCTCGGTTCACTGCAACCTCCACTTCCTGAGTTCAAGCAATTCTCGTGCCTCAGCCTCCCAAGTAGCTGAGACTACAAGCGTGTGCTACCACACCTGTCTACTTTTTGTATTGTTAGTAGAGATGGGGTTTCACCATGTTTGCCAGGCTAGTCTTGAACTCCTGATCTCAAGTAATCCACCTGCCTTGGCTTCCCAAAGTGCTGGGATTACAGGTGTGAGCCACTGCGCCCGGTCCATTTTTTTTTTTTCTTTTGAGAGACAGATTTTTGCTCTGTATCCCAGGCTGGAGTGCAGAGGCATGAACTTGGCTCACGGCACCCAGGTTCAAGCGATTCCCCTGCCTCAGCCTCCCAAGTAGCTGGGATTACAGGGACCTGCCGCCATGCTTGGCTAATTTTTGTATTTTTAGTAGAGATGGGGTTTCATCTTCTTGGCCAGGCTGGTGTCAAACTCCTGACCTCAGGTGATCCGTCCACCTCGGCCTCCCAAAGTGCTGGGATTACAGGCACGAGCCACTGTCCTCAGCCTTTCACTTTTTCTTTTAATTGAGACAGGGTCTCACTACGTTGCTCAGGCTAATCTTTAATTCCTGGCCTCAAGTGATCCTCCCTCCTTGGCCTCCCAAAGTGCTGTGATTACAGGTGTGGAATATCATGCCCAGCCTATGATAAGCTTTTAAAAGTGATGAATATATTTGTGCGTATCATGTAGGAGGCAGCAGATGGAGTTATTACTGCCCTTGGCTGAGGGGATCTGGGAAGGCTTCAAAGAGGAGGTGGCATTTCACCTGGATTTTGAAGGATGGAGCCTTAGCCTGCTTCCCTGTAAAATAGGCACCAAACATGCAGATGGAGCAGAGAAATCTGGATGTGCTAAATGTTTTTCCCCCACTAGACCAGGAATCAGCAAACTATGGCCTGCTGCCTGAACTGGTCCCTGTACAGTTTTTGTACGGCTTGCAAGCTAAGCCTAGATTTTACATTTTTAAGTAGTTGAAAATCAATCAAATGAAGAATAATATGTTGTGATATGTAAAAATTATATAATACTTGGCTGGGTATAGTGGCTCATGCTTATAATCCCAGCACTTTGGGAGGCCGAGGTGGGAGGATTGCTTGAGGCCAGGAGTTCTGGACCAGCTTGGGCAACCTAGCAAGACTTCCATCTCTACAAAAAATAAATAAAAATTAGTCAGGCATGATGGCCTAGCTACTTGGGAGGCTGAGACAGGAGGATCACGTGAGCCCAGGAGTTTGAGGTTACAGTGAGCTATGATCTCACCACTGCGCTCCAGCACTCCAGCCTGGTTGACAGAGCAAGACTCTATCTCTAAAAGAAAAAGAAAAAAAAAGAGGCCAGGTATGGTGGCTCATACCTGTAATCCCAGCACTTTGGGAGGCTTAGGTGGGCGGATCACCTGAGATCAGGAGTTTGAGACCAGCCTGGCCAACATGGTGAGACCCTGTATCTACAAAATACAAAAATTAGCCCAGTGTGTTGGTGCCTGCCTGTAATCCCAGCTACCAGGGAGGCTGAGGCAGGAGAATTGCTTAAACCCATAAGGTGGAGCTTGCAGTGAGCCAAGATTTCTCCATTGCACGCCAGCCTGGGCAACAGAGTGAGACTGCATCTCACAAAAAAAAAAAAAAATATATATATATATATATATATATATACACACACACACACATTTGTACACACATATGCAACTCAATTGTCTGTGTTCATAAATAAATCTTGTCCATTTACATATTGTCTATGGCTGCATTTGTGATACGATGGCAGAGTTGAGTAGTTAAGACACTCAGTATGGCTGGCGAAGCTGAAAACATTTACTATCTTGTCCTTTACAGAGAAATTTGCTAATCTCTACACTAGATTATGGTCCCATTGACTCATTTTTTGTTGTTGTTGTTTTTTTGGGGTTTTTTTTTTTGAGACAGGGTCTTACTCCGTCATCCAGGCTGGAGTGCAGTGGCTCGATCAGGGCTCACTGCAGCCTTGACTTTCCAGGCTTAAGCAATCCTCCCACCTCAGTCTCCTGAGTAGCTGTGACTACAGGTGGGCCCCACTGTGCCCAGCTAATTTGTTTTTTTGTTTGTTTGTCTGTTTGTCTTGAGACAGGGTCTTGCAATGTTGCCCAGGCTGGAGTGCAGTGGTGCGATCACGACACACTGCAACCTCAACCTCCTGAGCTCAAGTAATCCTCTTGCCACTGCCTCCCAAAGTGCTGGGATTACAGGCATGAGCCATTGTGCCTGGTCTGAACTACATCTTTGATAACTCTTTTTTTTTTTCTTTTTGAGATGGAGTCTCGCTCTGTCCCCAGGCTGGAGTGCAGTGGCATGATCTCGGCTCCACCTCCTGGTTCAAACATTCTCCTGCCTCAGCCTCCCAAGTAGCTGGGATTACAGGCGCCTGCCACCACGCCTGGCTAATTTTTGTTTTTGTTTTGTTTTGTTTTGTTTTGAGATGGAGTCTCACTCTGTCACCCAGGTTGGAGTGCAGTGGCACCATCTCGGCTCACTGCAAGTTCAGCCTCCCGGGTTCATGCCATTCTCCTGCCTCAGCCTCCCAAGTAGCTGGGACTACAGGCACCCACCACCACGCCCGGCTAATTTTTTTTTTTTTTTTTTTTGGTATTTTTAGTAGAGACGGAGTTTCACCATGTTGTCCAGGATGGTCTCAATCTTTTGATCTTGTGATCTGCCCGCCTTGGCCTCCCAAAGTGCTGGGATTACAGGCATGAGCCACCACGCCCGGCCTGATAACTCTTAACCTAGTGCCAGGCATGTAGTAGTTCCTTAGTGATAATAGCTAACATACAGTACCTACTATGTGCCCAGCACTATTCTGCATGCTTTGCATGCATTAACTTATTTATCCTTAAAACAACTCTATGACACTATTGGAAAGTACAGGGGGAAACACTGTTATTTGTTTTATTTTATTTTATTTTATTTTGTATTTTTATTTATTTATTTTTTTTTGAGACAGTCTCGCTGTATTGCCCAGGCTGGAGTGTAATGGCGCGATCTCAGCTCACTGAAATTTCTGCCTCCTGGGTTCAAGCGATTCTCCTGCCTCAGCCTTCTGAGTGGCTGGGATTACAGGTATGTGCTATCACGCCCAGCTAATTTTTGTATTTTTTTTTAGTAGAGACTGGGTTTTGCCATGTTGGCCAGGCTGGTCTCAAACTCCTGACCTCGGGTGATCCACCCGCCTCAGCCTCCCAAAGTGCTAGGATTACAGGCATGAGCCACTCCGCTCTGCCTATTTTATTGTTTTAGAGATGAGGGTCTTGTCATGTTGCCCAGGCTGGCCTCAAAATCTTGGCCTCAAGCAATACTCCTGCCTCAGCCTCCTGAGTAGCTGACTGTACAGGTACATGCCACCTAGCCCGGCTTGATGCAGTTATGTATCCACATTTCACAGATGGGGATAACAGATGTGCAGAGCAGTAAATTTCATGTCAAAGGCCACATATTAGGTAGTGGTCAGGTCAGAATTTGGACCTAGGCCATCTGTGGTTCTATGGTCATCCAGACTCCGCGATCTTGGCTCACTGCAAACATTTGTGTGGATTAGCCACCTCAAGGTCCCTTCAGGGCCCAGGATCTGGAGGTGAGAATGGTTCTTCCCCAGACTCCAGAGTTGGGTAAGCCATTCTGTTCTGTGGAAATAGTCATTATGAACTCCTGTAAACTATCTTTCACTTGGGCCTGGCTGGGGAGGAAGAGTTGGAGGCTGAAAAGGGAGAAGAAAGGGGACCCGGGGGGGTTGGGGTGGGGCAGGGGCACATTTCTTGTAAATGTTGCTCAGCTCCTTCAACTGCTGTGCTGGTTCTTGGAAACCTTCACCACAAAAGACCTATCAAGAACAGTGTTAAAAAAGATATGGCCTCATCCCCCAGTTCATTTCCTGCCCAGCCTTGCACTACTAACCCCGATTGCCAAGAGCAAGGTTGCAGTGTCCCCTCAGCAGTGCTGTGGGAGGAAGTGCAAAAATAAGCAGAACTAGGGGCAAGACCAGAGGACTGTCTTTATTTTTATTTATTATAACAGGACATCCGATGTACAGAAGTGGATTCATCATAATCCTTGGCTCATCGTATATTCTCATCCTTGGTCCAAGAATGGTCTTTTGTTTATATATATATATATATATATATATATATATATATATTTTTAAATCGGAGTCTTGTCACCCAGGCTGGTATGCAATGACGTGATCTCGGCTCACTGTAACCTTCACCTCCCAGGTTCAAGTAATTCTCCTGGTTCAGCCTTCCAAGTAGCTGGGATTACAGGCGCCTGCCACCACGCCCGGCTAATTTTTTGTATTTTTAGTAGAGACAGGTTTCGCAATGTTGGCCAGGCTGATCTCGAACTCCTGACCTCAGGTGATCCACCTGCCTCGGCCTCCCAAAGTGCTGGGATTACAGGCGTTAGCCACCGCATCTGGCCCGTTATTATTATATTTTATCATACTGGGTAGTGAATCCACCACCCAGCTCAAAAAACAGAATATTAACAATGACATCCATCTATCTATATGATCCTCTCTTAGTCCATTTCTTACCTCCCCCAGATACAACCCACTGTCCTAAATTTTGTGTTTGGCATTCTCTTACTTTATATTTTATTTATTTATTTTGAGACAGAGTCTCACTCTTGCCCAGGCTGGAGTGCAGTGGCATGATCTTGGCTCACTGCACCCTCATCTTCCTGGGTTCAAGCGATTCTCCTGCCTCGGTCTCCGAAGTAGCTGAGATTACAGGCATGTGCCACCATGATTTTTGTATGTTTAGTAGAGACAGGGTTTCACCATGTTGGTCAGGCTGGTCTTGAACTCCTGTCCTCAGGTGATCTGCTCGCCTCAGCCTCCCAAATTGCTGGGATTACAGGCATAAGCCACCATGCCCGGCTTATTTATTTATTTACTTTGAGCTTGTCACCCAGGCTGGGGTAGTCGCGCAATTGAGGCTCACTGCAGCCTCAAATTCCTGGGCTCAAGTGATCCTCCTGCCTCAGCCTCCCAAGAAGCTGAGACACAGACATGTTGCCACCACACCTTGCTAATTTTTTTTTTTTTGAGATGGAGTCTTGCTCTGTCGCCTCGGCTGGAGTGCAGTGGCACAATCTAGGCTCACTGCAAGCTCCACCTCCTGGGTTCACGCCATTCTCCTGCCTCAGCCTCCCGAGTAGCTGGGACTACAGGTGCCCACCACCACGCCTGGCTAATTTTTTTGTATTTTCTAGTACAGACAGGGTTTCACCATGTTAGCCAGGATGGTCTCGATCTCCTGACCTCGTGATCCGCCCGCCTCAGCCTCCCAAAGTGCTGGGATTACAGGCGTGAGCCACCGTGCCCAGCCCACCTTACTAATATTTAAATTTTTTGTAGAGATGGGTGTCTCACTATGTTGACCAAGTTGTTCTTGAATTCCTGGCCTCAAGCAATCCTCCAAACTCAGCCTCCCAAAGTGCTGGGATTACAGGCGTGACCACTGTGCCCGGCTAACTTTTAAAATTTTTTATAGAAATAGGATTTTGCAATGTTGCCCAGGCTGGTCTCAAATTTCTGGGCTCAAGTGATTCACCCGCCTCGGCCTCCCAAATTGTTGGGATTACGGATGTGAGGTACTGCACCTGGCTAACAGCATAGCAGCATTCTTTCACTTTAAAATAACATTTTATTTTATAGGTATGTATCCCTAAATTATGGAGTATTTAGTATTTTTATTTTGTCTTATTTTATTTCATTTCATTTTTAGATGGAGTCTCGTTCTGTCGGCCAGGTTGGAGTGCAGTGGTGCGATCTCGGCTCACTGCAAACTCTGCCTCCCGGGTTCAAGTGATTCTCCTGCCTCAGCCTCCCGAGTAGCTGGGATTATAAGCATGCGCCCCAACGCCCTGCTATTTTTTGCATTTTTAGTAGAGATGTGGTTTCACCATGTTAGCCAGGCTGGTCTCAAACTCCTGACCTCAAGTGATCCACCAGCCTGGGCCTCCCAAAATGCTGGGATTATAGGTGTGAGCCACTTGTGCCCGGCCAATTGTTTTTTAATTTTTAATTTTTGGGGTACATAGTAGGTGTAAATATTTATGGAGTACAGGAGATGTTTTGACACAGGCATGCAATGTGTAATAATCACATCATGAAGAATGGGGTATACATCTCCTCAAGCATTTATCCTTTGTGTTACAAACAATCCAATTATGCTCTTGTAGTTATTTTTAAATGTACACTTCAATTATTATTGACTATAGTCACATTCATTGTTTCTATTTTTTTTTTTTGTACCCATCAACCATCCTCTCTTCCCTACCAGGGTCCCACTATGTTTCCCAGCCTCTGGTTACCATTATTCTACTCTCTGTCCATGAGGTCAATTGTTTTGATTTTTAGAATTCCCAGATAAATGAGAACCTCAATGTTTGTCTTTCTGTGCCTCGTTTATTTCACTTAGCGTAATGACCTCCCATCCCATCCATTTTGTTGCAAATGACAGGATCTCATTCCTTTTTACGGCTGAATAGTACTCCATTGTGTATATGTACCACATTTTCTTTATCCATTCATCTGTCAATGGACACTTAGGTTGCTTTCAAATCTTGGCTATTGTGAACAGTGCTGCAACAAACATGAAAGTGCAGATATCTCTTCGACACACTGATTTCCTTTCTTTGGGGTATATACCCAGCAGTCAGATTGCTGGATCATATGATAGTTCTATTTTTGGTTTTTTGAGGAACTTCCAAACTGTTCTCCATAGTGGCTGTACTAATTTACATTTCTACCAACAGCGTAGGAGGGTTCCTTCCCTTTTCTCCACATCCTCACCAGCATTCATTATTGCCTGTCTTTTGGATAAAAGCCATTTTAACTGGGGTGAGAAGATATCCCACTATAGTTTTGATTTGCATTTCTCTGATGATCAGTGATGTTGAGCACCTTTTCACATGCCTGTTTGCCATTTGTATGTCTTCTCTTGAGAAGTGCCTATTCAAATCTTTTGCCCATTTTTAATCAGATTATTGGATTTTTTCCCTATTGTTTGAGCTTCTTATATGTTCTGGTTTTTAATCCCTTGTCAGGTGGGTAGTTTGCAAATATTTTCGCCCATTCTCTGGGTTGTCTTTTCACTTTGTTACTTTGTTGATTGTTTCCTTTGCTGTGCAGAAGCTTTTTTTTTTTTTTTTTAATTGAGACGGAGTCTTACTCTGTCACCCAGGCTGGAGTGCAGTGGCTCGATCTAGGCTCACTGCAACCTCCGACTCCTGGGTTCAAGCGATTCTCCTGCCTCAGCCTTCCGAGTAGCTGGGATTACGGGTGCGTGCCACCATGCCCGGCTAATTTTGTATTTTTAGTAGAGATGGGGTTTCTCCATGTTGGTCAGGCTGGTCTCGAACTCCTGACTTCAGGTGACCCACCCGCCTTGGCCTCCCAAAGTGCTGGAATTACAGGCATCAGCCACCACCCCTGGCTCACCTCCTTCTCTTCTTTCCTATTTAAACTTGGGTGTCTTTCCCCTTTTTCACTGCTAAGCCCTCTGTGGTGGTCAGGATCTTGGCAGGAGACAGACAGCCAGCTCAAATGGCCAGCTCAAATCGAGTAATGTAAGGAGAGCATAAAAAAGCACTCCAAGGGGGCAGTGCTGTACCCTGGGGCGCATTCCTTCCCTGGGGCCTGGGGTGGGGGCCGGGGGGCTACAGGAGGGAGCAGGGACCAGAGCTGGGGGCTCTGCATACGTGTCCAGAAGGCTGCCTGACAAGAGCTGTGACCTTCCTTTGAGAAATCAGCCTGTATAACCCAACCCTGTGGGAGCCACCCTCTCATCTCCCAGCAGGGCCTCCCATTGAACCAACTGGAAGCCAGAAGGCAGGGAGTCTGGGGTGCTGCAGTCTGCGTAGTTCCCTCTCTAGGGCAGGGAGCAGCTCCTGGGAGGCCAAGGAGACACCCAGCACCGCTGCTTTCCCCTCATGACTAATTCCTGGAACTCCAGCACCGAGCTCGCTCCTGAGCTCCAGGCCTCCCAGATACCCCTGCCCAGGGGCTCCCAGACACCGGGTCACTCAGTACCATTGTGTGCTGGAGGGAAGACACCCCCAACTCTGAACCCCACCCTGCCACAACTCGCCTTTCAGCTCCACTCAGGAAGTGCCTGAGAGACACAGATGCTCACGTATTTCTAAGTGAAAATACATTTTTTTAGTTCTGCTTATAAAAAAGGCACATGTTTTTTTATAAAAATAATAATATAAAGTGAATTAAAGTTATGTGATGTAATCCTACCACCCCAGAGAGAAATACTTTGAGTATGTCCAGACTCTCTCTCTCTCTCTCTCTCTCTCTGTGTGTGTATTTTTTCTTTCTTTCTTTCTTTTTTTTTTTTTTTTTTTAGTAGAGATGGGGTCTCACTCTGTTGCCCAAGCTGGTCTTGAACTCCTGGTTTCAAGTGATCCTCCTACTTCACCCTCCCAAAGTGCTGGAATTATAGGCATGAGCCACCACACGAGCCAGAGCTTGTATTTTTAGTAACCTTTTCCCACTTAACAAAGTGCTGTTGGTATGTTTCCATTTCAAGAACTATGGACAAACACAATCATTTTGATATGGCCATAATGTGGATGTACATAATTAATTTTGGTAATTTCCTGGGAGCCAAATGATAAGAACTTATGAACACAAACAAGGAAACAGCAGGCCGGGCGCGGTGGCTCACGCCTGTAATCCCAGCACTTTGGGAGGCCGAGGCGGGTGGATCACCTAAGATCAGGAGTTCAAGACTAGCCTGGCCAACATGGCGAAACCTTGTCTCTTCTAAAAATATAAAAATTAGCCCGGCGTGGTGGTGGGCACCTGTAATCCCAGTTACTCGGGAGGCTGAGGCAGGAGAATTGCTTGAATCCAGGAAGAGGAGTTTGCAGTGAGCCAAGGTCGCGCCACTGTACTCCAGCCTGGGTGACAGAACAAGACTCTGTCTCAAAAAAAAAGGAAACAGCAGGCATTGGGATCTACTTGAGAGGGGAGGGTGAGAGGATGGAGAGGAGCTGAAAAGATAACTATTGGGTACTAGGTTTATTACCTGGGTGATGAAATAATCTGTACAACAACCCCCCACGACACGTGTTTACCTATGAACAAACCTTCACATGTATCCCCAAACCTAAAATAAAAGTTAAAAAAATAATTAATTTTGGTAATTTCCAAAATTCCACCATTTTATATATAAAATGCTCCATTAATAGACAGGGCTTTGGGCAGAGATTATTGCCTATACAGATATGTATTATCCTTTTCTTCCTTGGTGATAGACTTCTAATTTTTATTTTTAAAATTATTTTATTATTACATTTATTTTATTATTAAATTAAATAGTAATTTGTTATTATTACTCTTTTAGAGACACAGTCTTGTTCTGTCACCCAGGCTAGAGTGCAGTGGTACAATCATAGCTCACTGTAACCTTGAACTCCTGGGTTCTAGTGATCATTTTGCCTCAGCCTCCTGAGCAACTGGGACTATAAGCACAGGCTACTATGCCCAGCTAATTTTTTAAATTTTTTGTAGAGATGGGGTCTTGCTGTGTTGCCCAGGCTGGTCTCAAACTCCTTACCTTAGGCAGTCCTCCTGCCTTGGCCTCCTAAAATGTTGGGATTACAGGTGTCAGTCCCTGCACTCAGCCAAAGTTTTATTTTTATTTATTTATTTATTTACTTTAGAACCTCTTATGTTTAGCAAGTCGTGAGTCCTTCCTTAAGAATAAACAGGAAATTCCTCAGATTCTCTTGCAGCTAGCTTTGGACACATGACAAAGTTAAGGCCAATGAAATGAAAGCAAAAATGTTCTGGTGCAGATTCCAGAAAAGTTCCTTCAAAGACAGAGGGAAACAGGAGCTATTATGAGAAGGCAGTAGTGGAAGTGGGGGAGAAAACTTGCTGAGTAGAAAAAAAGTGGCTCCTGGCCGGGCACAGTAGCTCACACCTGTAATCCCAGCACTTTGGGAGGCCAAGGCAGACGGATCACCTGAGGTCAGGAGTTCGAGGCCAGCCTGACCAACGTGGTGAAATCCCATCTCTACTAAAAATATAAAAATTAGCTGGACATGGTGGCAGGTGCCTGTAATCCCAGCCACTCGGGAGGCTGTGGCTGAGACAGGAGAATCGCTTGAGCCTGGTAGGCAGAGGTTGCAGTGAGCCATGATCGCGCCATTGCACTCCAGCCTGGGCAACGAGAGTGAAACTCCACCTCAAAAAAAAAAAAAAAAAAGAGAAAGAAAAAAAGTGGCTCCCTCAGGCCCTACATTAATCTGAGCTGTCACCATGATCACCTTGTTTTGTGACAAGCTTTTTTTTTTTTTTTTGACACAGGGCCTCACTCTGTCACCCAGGCTGGAGTGCAGTGGTGCAATCATGGCTTATTCCAGCTTCAACATCCTGGTCTCAAGCAATCCTCCTGACTCAGCTTCCTCATAGCTGGGGCTACAGGCACACATACCACGCCTGACTAATTTTTATAAATTTTTTTGTAGAGGTGGAGTCTTGTTGTATTGCCCAGGCTGGTCTTGAACTCCTGGACTCAAGTGATCCTCTTGCCTCAGCCTCCCAAAGTGCTGAGATTACAGGTATGGGCCACTACACCTGGGCCTGTGACAAGCTTTTAATATTTCACAAGAAAAATACTTTTCCCCTCTAAGTAGTGATTTTTCAAAAAATGTGTGGTATCTTTAAGTATACTTTCACTTTCTCATGATCCCAGTGTCTGCTCCTTCCAACTCCTCATGACACATCTGTCCAATTTTATACTGCAAGTCAGTTAGAAAGTGAGATTGGAGGCTGAGTGCAGTGGCTCACGCCTATAGTCCCAGCACTCTGGGAGGCCAAGGCAGGCAGATAGTTTAGGCCAGGAGTTCAAGAACCCCCTGGGCAACATAGTGAGAACCCATTTCTATTTAAAAATAAAAATAAACTGGGCATGGTGGCATGCACCTGTAATCCTAGCTACTCAGGAGGCTTCGGCAGGAGGGTGACTCGAGCCCAGGAGTTCGAGGTGATACTGAGCTATGACGGTGCAACTGCATTGCACCCTGGGTGACAGAGTGAGACCCTGTCTCTAAAAAACAAAAAATAAAAAATAAAAAGAAAGCGAACTTGGCTATCGAGCCGATTCTCATTTATTTACATCAATCCATGGGGAAAGTATATGATAGTATGAATAATCTAAAATGAAAGATAACTTAAAATGTATATTTGGCACTAGAATGTATTCCTAAATCCAACATATTTTATTTTATTGTTTGTTTTTGTTTTTGAGACAGAGTCTCGCTCTGTTGCCCAGGCTGGAGTGCAGTAGCATGATCTTGGCTCACTGCAGCCTCCTCCCAGGTTCAAGCAATTCACCTCCCAAGTAGCAGTGGTTACAGACACGCACGCATCACCATGCCCAGCTAATTTTTGTATTTTTTGTAGAAACAGGGTTTCACCATGTTGGCCAGGCTGGTCTCAATCTCCTGACCTCAGGTAATCCACCCACCTCAGCCTCCCAAAGTGCTGGGATTACAGGTGTAAGCTACTGTGCCCAGCCAAATCCAACGTATTTTAATTGATGGAGAAAGAAAGGGAATAGGGCCTGGTGTGGTTGCTCATGCCTGTAATCCCAGCACTTTGGGAAGCCGAGGCGGGTGGATCATTTGAGGTCAGGAGTTTGAGACCAGCTTGACCTACATAGTGAAACCTCGTCTCTACTAAAATACAAAAATTAGCTGGGCATGATGGCGGGCACCTGTAATGCCAGCTACTCGGGAGGCTGAAGCATGAGAATCACTTGAACGCAGGAGGCGGAGTTTGCAGTGAGCCGAGATTGTGCTTCTGCACTCCAGCCTGGGTGATAGAGCAAGACTCACTCTCAAAAAAAAAAAAAAAAGAGAATACATTATTTTATTTTATTTTATTTTTTGAGATGGAGTCTTGCACTGTCACCCAGGCTTGAGTGTAGTGGTGTGATCTCGGCTCACTGCAACCTCTGCCTCCCGGGTTCAAGCGATTCTCCTGCCTCAGCCTCCCGAGTAGCTGGGATTACAGGCACCCGCCACCACGCCCAGCTAGTTGTTTGTATTTTTAGTAGAGACGGTGTTTCACCATGTTGGCCAGGCTGGTCTCGAACTCCTGACCTTGTGATTTGCCCGCCTCAGCCTCCCAAAGTGCTGGGATTACAGGCGTGAGCCACCGTGCCCAGCGATAATACATATTTTTTTAAAAAAAACTTTATTGAGGGGTAATTTACATACACTAAATAGCACTCATTTTAAGCACGCAGTTTGATGTGTTTTGACAAACGTACAGGCCCCTGTAACCATGACCACAATCAGGATACAGAACGTTTCCACCACCCCCAAAAGTTCCCGGGCCCTTTGCATTCAATCTCCCCATCCCACCCTCACTGGCCCCAGGCAACCACAGATCTGCTTTCTGTCACTGTAGATTAGGTTTGCCTGTTGTAGGATTTTATTTAAGTGGTGTCATACATCATGTGCTTATTTATGGGAATGATGATTTATTGGGTGCCTAGCATGTGACAGACACTTTATAAGTGTATAGTCATTTCCCTTTTAGAGACTAGTAAATCAAGACTCCAAAATGGAATAATTTACCAAGGTCACATGGCTAGTAAAAGGCAGAGTAGAATTCTAAGTTTATGTGTCCCCAAGTTTAGGGTCTTTCCTTACACACTGCATTGCTGGCCAGGCGCAGTGGTTCATGCCTGTAATCTCGGCACTTTGGGAGGCTGAGGCAGGAGTATCATCTGAGGTTAGGAGTTCAACCTCACATTTCACCTGGCCAACACTGTGAAACCCTGTCTCTACTAAAAATCAGCTGGGCGTGGTGGCACACGCCTGTAATCCCAGCTACTCCGGAGGCTGAGGCAGGAGAATCGCTTGAACCCGGGAGGTGGAGGCTGCAGTGAGCAGAGATCACGCCACTGCACTCCAGCCTGGGCGACAGAGCAAGGCCTTGTCTCAAAAAAACAAAAAAAACAAACAGAAAAAAACCACACTATGTTGCTTCTGTCCTTGGCTTTTTGGAGGCTCTAACAGATGAATATGTTATAGGCTAATGTAAGGTCAAGGCATACAGTTTTATGAAAAGGCAGGTGTAGGGTACAGGGAACAACTAGAGAACAGACAAGAGGATACATAATAACATGATAAAGTAAATGGTAACCTAGCACCAAAACATGTTGTCTGCTTTATAGAGATACAAATCACCACTGAGGGCCTAAGAAGAGAATGTTGGCTGCAGGTGTCACAGCAGGTTTCTCGGGAAGCGGGGAGGGGGCAGGATTATCTATCAACCTAGGCATTTACTTCAGACAAACTAATAAAGCTAGGTTGTAAAAATCTTCTTCTTTTTTTTTTTTTTCCCTTGAGACGGAGTCTCCCTCTGTCACCCAGGCTGGAGTGCAGCAGTGCAATCTCAGCTCACTGCAACCTCTGCCTCCCAGGTTCAAGTGATTCTCCTGCCTTAGCCTTCCAAGTAGCTGGGACAACAGATGTGCACCATCATGCCAGGTTAATTTTTTTTTTTTTTTTTAAGACAGAGTCTCCCTCTGTTGCCCAGGCTGGAGTGCAGTGGTGCAATCTTGGCTCACTGCAACCTCTGCCTCCTCGGTTCAAGTGATTCTCCTGCCTTACTCTCCTGAGTAGCTGGAACTACTGGCGTGCTCCACCACGCCGGGCTAGCTTTTTTTTTTTTTGTATTTTTAGTAGAGATGGGGTTTCACCATATTGCCCAGGCTGGTCTCGAACTCCTGACCTCGTGATCCACCCGCCTCAGCCTCCCAAAGTGCTGGGATTACAGGTGTGAGCCACCGCACCTGGCCTCCCGGCTAACTTTTGTATGTTTAACAGAGACAGAGTTTCACCATGTTGGCTAGGCTGGTCTTGAACTCCTGACCTCAAGTGATCCACCCGCCTCAGCCTGGGTTGGAAAAATCTGACTCAGAAGGGGCCAGGTCTTGGGTTTCCTTCTTTCCTGTCTGGTCAAACTCATCCTGGAATTTGAAGTTTAGAAAATCATAATTTAATAAGACAAACATAGACTTAATCCCCAAACCCAGGAACAGTAGCATGAGGACAGCTGGGAGTGTTAAGGAGTTTAAGAACCAGTAAAAAGAAGAGCAGGCAGTTCTCTGCTTATAAAGGGTCATGGTTCAAAAGTTTGTTTGTGTATCATTTGCTTGAAATCCAACACATCTTCCTATAGAAACCGCATTACAAATGGAGGTTGAGCTCTCAGCTCTGCCCTCAACTGCTGAGTTAACACATGAGGTGGCGAAATACTATACAATTGCTATGAAAACAATACTTTGGGAATTCTAGAGCTCAGACAAAACAGTGGATTGTGGACTCAGACATTTGAGTTTGCTCTTTGCAGTCAATCTCCCCATCCCAACCCTGCATCTTGGTCCATCTTGTTGTCTAGAGCTCCCTCCTCCTCAGTACAGGAATCAGCACCACCATATAGATAGGCATTCTCCCTTAGCTGAGTCCATTCCCCTCCCAAGACAGTTAGAAAAGTCTTCCTTGTTTCAAGTTGTTATTTGTCTTCTGCTACCTTCTTTCTCCTTTTTTTTTTTTTTTTTTTTTTTTTTTTGAGTAGGAGTCTCACTCTGTCACCCAGGCTGGAGTGCAGTGGTGCAATCTTGGCTCACTGCAACCTCCACTTTCCAGGTTCAAGCAATTCTCCCACCTCAGCCTCCCGAGTAGCTGGGACTACAGGCACCCGCCAACATGCCCAGCTAATTTTTGTATTTTTAGTAGAGACAGGGTTTCTCTATGTTGGTCAGGCTGGTCTCTGAACTCCTGACCTCAGGTGATCTGCCTGCCTTGGCCTCCCAAAGTGCTGGGATTACAGGCATGAGCCATCACACCTGGCCTACAAGTGGTTTTAATTCCAGATACTACAAACTATAATTATTCAAGCCTACCCACAGCTGTGAGTATTGAAATTCTCACATTTCCAGTCATCTAGATAAGTAAAGGTCATTTTGTTTATTCAGTTATTTATATCAGTATGGACTCATGGATATGTATTTTATTCTATGGGTTATAGAATCCATCACTATTGTTAATTATTTTGTTGCTCAAACTGCTTCAGCTTTAGCCATTGGGAGCTCTTTCAGGTTGGTTCCTGAGTCCTTTCAATGAGCTCCCGTCCTTTTTTGAGCACTTTATCTCTGCTACCATAAGCTACTCTGGGTTCCTTGTGTGTTTTCCCTTCCCAGCACTGAAATCAACCACTTCTCCAAGAAACCTTGGTCCTTTTATTGAAGAATGCTATTTAAAAGCCAAATCTGTGGTGGAATGGATAAGAAAAAATAATCCAATCATATATTGCTTACAAGAAATCCACCTAACTGGTAAAGACACTTATAGACTGAAGGTAGTAAAGGGGTGGAAAAAGATATTCTATGCAAATGGAAACCAAAAGTGAGCAGGAGTAGCTATACTCAGATCAAGCAGACTTAAATCAACAACAGTAAAAAAAAAAAAAAAATAGAGAAGGTCATTATCACATGAAAAAATGCTCATCATCACTGGCCATCAGAGAAATGCAAATCAAAACCACAATGAGATACCATCTCACACCAGTTAGAATGGCGATCATTAAAAAGTCAGGAAACAACAGGTGCTGGAGAGGATATGGAGAAATAGGAACACTTTTACACTGTTGGTGGGACTGTAAACTAGTTCAACCATTGTGGAAGACAGTGTGGCGATTTCTCAAGGATCTAGAACTAGAAATACCATTTGACCCAGCCATCCCATTACTGGGTATATACCCAAAGGATTATAAATCATGCTGCTATAAAGACACATGCACACGTATGTTTATTGTGGCACTATTCACAATAGCAAAGACTTGGAACCAACCCAAATGTCCATCAATGATAGACTGGATTAAGAAAATATGGCACATATACACCATGGAATACTGTGCAGCCATAAAAAAGGATGAGTTCATGTCCTTTTGTAGGGACATGGATGAAGCTGGAAACCATCATTCTCAGCAAACTATTGCAAGGACAGAAAAACAAACACCACATGTTCTCACTCACAGGTGGGAATTGAACAATGAGAACACTTGGACACAGGATGGGGAACAGCACACACTGGGGCCTGTCGTGGGGTGGGGGGAGGGGGGAGGGATAGCATTAGGAGGAATAGCTAATGTAAATGACAAGTTAATGGGTGCAGCACACCAACATGGCACATGTATACATATGTGACAAACCTGCACGTGGTACACATGTACCCTCGAACTTAAAGTATAATAAAAATAAATAAATAAATAAAAATAAATAAATAGGCCGGGCATGGTGGCTCACGCCTGTAATCCCAGCACTTTGGGAGGCCGAGGTGGGTGGATCACGAGGTCAGGAGATCGAGACCATCCTGGCTAACACGGTGAAACCCTGTCTCTACTAAAAATACAAAAAATTAGCTGGGTGCGGTGGCAGGCGCCTGTATCCCAGCTACTTGGTGGCTGAGACAAGAGAATGGCGAGAACCCAGGAGGCGGAGCTTGCAGTGAGCCAAGATTGTGCCACTGCACTCCGGCCTGGGCAAAAGAGCAAGACTCCATCTCAAAAAATAAATAAATTAAATAAATAAATAAATAAAGTTAGTATGTATTTACACTTAAAAAAAAGGTCATTATATAATGATAAACGGATCAATTCAACAAGACGATACAACAATCCTAAATATATATGCACCCAACATTGGAGCACCAAGATTCATCGAACAAGTACTACTTGACCTAAGAAAAGAGATATACAGGAATACAATAATAGTGGGGGACTTCAGCACCCCCACTGACACACTAGGCAGATCATCGAGAAAGAAAATCTACAAAGAAGCACTGGATTTAAATTGGACTTTAGACCAAATGGACCTAAGAGACATTTACAGAACATTCTACCCAACAACAATAGAATATACATTCTTCTCATCAGCACACAGAACATTCTCCAGGATAGACCTTATGTTGGGCCACAAAACAGGTCTCAATAAATTTATTTTTATTTTTTAATTAATTTATTTATTTATTTATTTATTTATTTATTTATTTATTTTTGAGATGGAATCTCGCTCTGTCACCCAGGCTGGAGTGCAGTGGTGTGATCTTGGCTCACTGCAACCTCTGCCTCCCAGGTTCAAACAATTCTCCTATCTCAGCTTTCCGAGTAGCTGGGATTACAGGTGCCCGCCATCACGCCTGGCTAATTTTTTTTATTTTTAGTAGAGATGGGGTTTCACCATCTTGGCTAGTCTGGTCTTGAACTCCTGACCTCGAGATCCACCCACCTCGGCTTCCTAAAGTGCTGGGAATACAGGTGTGAGCCACTGCGTCCAGACTATTTTTTTTTTTTAAGAGATAGGGTCTTGCTTGTTGTCCAGGCTGGAGTGCAGTGGCACATTCTTGGTTCACTGCAGCCTCGACCTCCTGGGCTTAAGCCCAAATAGCCAAAGTAATCCTAAGCAAAAAGAACAAAGCTGGAAGTATCATATTATTTGACTTCAAATTATACTACCAGGCTATGGTAACCAAAACAGCATGGTGCTGGTATAATAATAGGCACATAGATCAATGGAACAGAAAAAAGAACCCAGAAAAAAAGCCAAATACCTACAGTGAACTGATCTTTGCAAAGCTGACAAAAATTTACACTAGGGAAAGGACACCCTACTCAATACATGGTGCTGGGAAATGGGATAGCCATATGCTGAAGAATGAAACTGGACCCATACCTCTTACCATATACAAAATTAACTCAAGATGGATTAAAAACTTAAATGTAAGACCTGAAACTGCAAAATCTCTAGAAGAAAATCTAGGAAAATTCTCGACATTGGCCTAAGCAAATAATTCATGAGTAAGAACTCAAAATAAAATGCAAAAATAGACAAATGAGACTTTATTAAATGAAAAAGCTTCTGCACAGCAAAAGATATAATCAACAGAGTGAACATACAACCTACAGAATGGGAGAAAATATTTGCAGGCCGAGCGTAGTGGCTTATGCCTATAATCCCAGAACTTTGGGAGGCTGAGGTGGGATGATTGCTTGAGCCCAGGAGTTCAAGACTAGCCTGGCCAACATGGTAAGACCCCATTTCTACAAAATAGTAAAATAAAAAAATTAGCCAGGTATGCTAGCATGCACTGGTGGTCCCAGCTACCCTGGAGGCTGAGGCGGGAGGATAATTTGAGTCTTGAAGTTTGAGGCTACAGTGAGCTATGATCATGCCACTACACTCCATGCATTCCAGCCCGGGTGACAGAGTGAGATCCTGAAAAAAAAAAAAAAAAAAAGGAAGGAAAGAAGGAAATGTTCGCAAAGTATGCACCAACAAAGGACTAATATCCAGAATCTACAAGGAACTCCAACAATACAACAATAAAAAAAAAATAACCCCATTTAAATGTGGGCAAAAGACATGAACACACACTTTTCAAAGAAGACATACAAATGGCCAACAAGCTTATGAAAAAATGCTCAGCATCACTAATCATCAGAGAGATGCAAATTAAAACCATAATGAGGTATCACCTTATACCAGTCAAAATGACTATTATACATATTATATTTATAATATATATAAATAAAATGTACATACTATGGAATACTACTCAGCTATAAAAAAAAGAAATTATGTCTTTTGCAGCAACATGGATGGAACTGGAGGCCATTATCTGAAATGGAGTACTCAGAAACAAAAAGTCCTGCTGGGCATGGTGCTTCACTCCTGTAATCCCAGCACTTTGGGAGGCCAAGGCAGGCGGATCACTTGAGGTCAGGAGTTCGAGACCAGCCTGGCCAACATGGCGAAACCCCATCTCTACTAAAAATACAAAATTAGCGGGGTGTGGTGACATGCTACTTGGGAGGCTGAGGCAGGAGAATGACTTGAACCCAGGAGGTGGAGGCTGCAGTGAACCAAGATTGCGCCATCGCACTCCAGCCCGGGCAACAGAGTCAGACTCCGTCTCAGAAAAAAAAAAAAAAATGAGCAAAAAGTCAAATACCACATGTTCTCATTTATAAGTGGGATCTAAATAATCTGTACACGTGGACACAGAGAGTGGAATAACAGACGCTGGAGACTTGGAAAGGTAGGAGGATGGGAGGAGGGTGAAGGATGAGAAATTACCTAAGGGTTATAATGCACACTATTTGGGCAATGGTCAGGCTTAAAGCCCAGCTGTTCAATATATCCCTGCAACAAATATGAGCTTGTGCCCCCTAAATCCATTTTTTAAAAAATCTGAGATCGCCTGGGCGCGATGGCTCACGCCTGTAATCCCAGCCCTTTGGGAGGCCAGGGTAGGCAGATCACGAGGTCAGGAGATCGAGACCATCCTGGCTAACATGGTGAAACCCCGTCTCTACTAAAAATACAAAAAATTAGCCGGGCGTGGTGGCGGGTGCCTGTGGTCCCAGCTACTTGGGAGGCTGAGGCAGGAGAATGGCGTGAACCCCGGAGGCGGAGCTTGCAGTGAGCTGAAATCGTGCCACTGCACTCCAGCCTGGGTGACAGAGCAAGACTCCGTCTCAAAAACAAAAAAAAAAAATCTGAACTCTAGATGTGCTCAATTGCTACAAGGATATCATTGCTTCTATGCCCTCTCAGTGGTCAGAGCTAGGAAAGATATGTATATGTATGAATCCATGCATAAACCTAGAAATATTTACTTCTGTATCTATTTATGATACTAGCTAAGGAGAATTTTATGAAGGTTGTTCCTCTGTCTTTATAACCTAGTATATAATAGGGTTATACATAAATATTTGTTGAATTGAATTAAATTAATTAGAAAATTAGAGGAATAAAGTGATGTTGAAATGTATTTGAGGATTGAAAGAGAGAGCAAGATAAATGAATCTCTGTCAGCTAGTGACACTGAAGAGGTCTGGTCTTGGATTCAGAAATCAGGGTTCGAAAACTGGCTCTTGCCACTGAGCCTCAGGACCTTGAATAAGTTGCTTAACCTCAGTGGGCTTAAGTTTCCCATCTATAAGAAGGAATAACTGGGCTAAGTGATCCTTAAGATTCCTTTCAGCTTGGGAGCATGAATCTGATTACATTGTTCACTTGCTTAAAGCATTTTCTTTTTTTTTTTAGACGGAGTCTCGCTGTGACACCCAGGCTGGAGTGCAATGGCAGGATCTTGGCTCACTGCAACCTCTGACACCCGGGTTCAAGCAATTCTCCTGCTTCAGCCTCCCGAGTAGCTGGAATTACAGTTGTCCACCACCATGCCGGGCTAAACTTTGTATTTTTAGTAGAGACGGGGTTTCATCATGTTGGTCAGGCTGTTCTCGAACTCCTGACCCCGTGATCTGCCCACCTGGGCCTCTCAAAGTGCTGGGATTACAGGTGTGAGCCACCACGTCCGGCCAGGGATTTGATTATTAAGATCAGAAGAGGAGAATGGATTGATGGAAAACTTGCAGCCTCTATCGCAATATATAAAATGGAAGCATTTTTACAGAATAGCATTTACTCTTAATACGAGAATATTGCATCTTTCTTGTATTCCAGTCTAGTCTGTTCCATTCTATTCCTTTTTGACCTGCTTAACTGATTTCACAATACTCTAATGGATGAATTACAACCCTTACCACTGCCCCAGAGAAAAGTGCAAACTCAGCACAGCAGTGGGGGCTGGGGGTGATGAGAGGGGCGGGTGGCGGAGGGGAGTCCCCTTCAAGAAATGGCAGCTGCTCACTCTCCAGCCTCCCCTCCAGCTGCTACCCACTAGCACTGCTGCAACCCAACTGAGCTCCCGCTTTCTGCAACACATCATCCTGTTCCACACCACCTTGTCTTTGCACTTGCCGTGCCCTTCATCTGGAATGCCTTCTGCCCTAACCCTGACCCTTGACCCACCCTCCACCCCACAACAATTGGACTTGCAGACCATCTTCATTTACATTTTTCAAAACCCAGCTTGTGTGTCACCTCTCCAAAGAAGGCTTTCTGACCAGTAAGTCACCTACAAAGAGTTAACCTACCCCTTGGTACCCCCAAACCCCTTATTATTCCGTATCACAATTAATGTACTTAGCCGTCAGCTTCCCCTCCTACCTTGTGAGCACCTCAAGGGCAGGAACACAGGGCCTCAGTTTCCTTATATGTAAAACAGGAAAAACAATATGATTTATTTCACTGCCTTGAAAAATAAATTGGTTCATTCATGTAAAGCATTTGGAGCAGTACCTGGTAAACACTCAATCAGTGTTAGCTCTGATGGCTTATCTACGTATTTCTCTCCACTAAACAGTAAGCACCTGGAGGGAAAATCTTCCCCAGTGCTTTTTGTCCAGGTCTTGCTCACAGTAGCTCTCCATAAGTGTTGATTTTCATTGGCAAGTCACCTGGAAATGCAGACCAGTATCACCTCCGTACCTGGCTAGTCTATAAAATCGTAATAATGAGCAGGTCATTGAACATCTAGCCAAGTGTAACCTACTCAGAAATAGATGGCCCAAGGAAATCAAGCCTGCCACATCTGCTTAAACTATTTAAGGTCAGGCACAGTAGCTCACGCCTGTGATCCCAGCATTTTGGGAGGCTGAGTGGGGAGGATCACTTAAGGCCAGAAGTTCAAGGGCAGCCTGGGCAACAAAGCGAGACCTCATCTCTACAAAAAATAAGAATTAGCCAGGCATGGTGGTGTGTGCCTGTAGTTCCGGCAACTTTGGAGGCTGAGGCAGGAGGATTGCTTGAGCCCAGGAGTGTGAGGCTGCAGTGAGCTGTGACCACACCACTGCACTCCAGCCTGGATCACAGAGAGATACCTTGTCTCTAAAAAAAAATAAAAAATAAAAATTATTTGAGCAATTCAACAAATATGGCAAAGAGAAACTTGTGGATTTATGTTTATTAAGACTGCCCACAATTCTTTGACCAAGTTTGAACTACCCTGAAGTTAGGAGAAATGTTTCATTATGAATAAGGACTTGGCTCTGTCGTGGGAAACAGAGAGTAGGGTTAGTGGGTTCTTCTCTGCTTAATGGTGGGGTCTCCCGGAGGATGAGAGCTGGGTCCCCCAAACCTCTGCATCACCCAGGACCAGTTGCAGAGAACCAGAGACTACTCCAGGTATTTGCAGCAGAAAGGGATTTAATACAGGGACTTGCTTCCTTCAACATCCTTGGAAGGAGGGGTATAGGAGGCTTCATGCTTGGCCTTTGGGAGTAACTCCTGAAAGAACACCACTGAACTGGTCCCCCAGGAGAGCTGCTGCCACTGCTCCTGACAGGAAGACAGTGATCAGGAAGCTACAGCTGCTCACTAAGCTAGTGATCAAACACTGGAATGTTGCTGCAGAGATCCAGGGAGTCTCCATGACCTTACTTGCCAGCAGCAAAGTCAAAGGCAGCAGGAAGATGGGCTCTGCCTCACTTCCACCTTCCCAAGTTCACTCTCCACATGCAGCCTCCAAGACTGTATCTGCCAAGGCATCCGGAATGTTGGTTTTAGCTTTCTGCTCTGATGCCCAGGAAGGTACATTAGAGGGACTGAAAGGCATACTGGTCCACCTTGTCTTCCATACCCTCCTCACCATGCTCCAGTCACTGGCTTTCTTTTTTTTTTTTTGAGACGGAGTTTCACTCTTGTCACCCAGGCTGGAGTGCAATGGTGCTATCTTGGCTGCCTGCAACTTCCGCGTCCCAGATTCAAGAGACTCTCCTGCCTCAGCCTCCTGAGTAGCTGGGATTACAGGCACCTGCCACCATGCCTGGCTAATTTTTGTATTTTTAGTAGAGATGGGGTTTCACCGCGTTGGCCAAGGCTGGTTTTGAACTCCTGACCTCAGATGATCTGCCCGCCTCGGCCTCCCAGAGGGCTGGGATTAGAGGTGTGAACCACCGCACCCCAGCCCAGTCACTGGCTTCCTGACTGTTCTTTGAACACCCCAGACTTGCTCCCCCTGCTTGGAACTTTGCACTTGCTCTTCGTTTCAAATGTCCCACAGATCTTCTCAGTCATGTTAAGCATCACCTCCCCAGAGAGACATCCTTTGTCCAAAGGCCTCCTGGCTGCCCATCTCCATTGAGTCATGAGCCTATTCCTGAGCCAGTTAATCACGAGAGGACAGAATTACTAGGACTGGCAAAGTCTTGTTATTTGGGACCAAACTCTCTATTATACTACCTTGTCTTATTCTCTTCCCAGCACCTATCATAGCTGAAATGATTATACAGATGTGCAAGTTTCGTTGCTTATCATCTGTCTTCCCTCCTCAGAATGTAAGTTTCGTGAGAGCAGGAATTTATCTGTTTTTTTCACCTTTGTCACTCCAATATCTAGAACAGGGTCTGATATATTTAGTATAAACTCAATAAAGATTCGTTGAATGAATCACTGACAAATAGAGATAACATAGCACTTTGGACTTCCTCTCTTACCTGATTTATCACATAGTACTGTAATGACTTCCTGACACGCTCCCTTCTTGATTCAGGGCCAAGACTGCATTTTGCTTTTTATTTTTGCCTCACTTAGCACAATGCCTGGCATATATTTGACAAGCCATATGTTTTGATGAATGAATAAATTTTGATGAATGAAAGAAGGTGTGAACGCATATGTTTGGGAAACATAGGTGTGCTCCAGGATATCAGAAGTTGGAGAAGGTGGATGGTTATTGTACACAGGTGATCAAATGCTTAATAAAATAATCCCAATCAGGCCAAAAAATGCAAGAGCTCCTCAGATCAAAGGGTGGGGCAGGTGGGGCCAGGCTGAGGTCCGGGTAGCAGGGAGGAGGCTGGAGAGGAAGATGCCGGGAGCTGGGAAATCCTTGAAAAGGAGCTGTAAAATGTTTATTTGCTGAATTAACAGGACTCTTAATTGCTTGGGCAAATTTTATTTTTCTTTTCTTGTTTCTTTTTTTTTTTTTTAGAGACAGGGTCTCACCACGTTGCCCTGTAGTGACCAGCTCAGGCTGGTCTTGAGCTCCTGGGCTCAAGTGATCCTCCTGCCTCGGCCCCCCAAAATGTTGGAATTACAGGCATGAGCCACTGTGCCCAGCCACTGGGACACTTTTACAAGTACTTTCTCCCAAAGCCTCTGAAAAGAATCCTTTATTTCCCCCAAAACTCTGTTTGAGAAGCAGGCTGACTTCAAATCCATTCTCCATCACATCATTCATAAAAGACATCTTGTCAGTGCCACGCTGTCAGGAGGAGAAACCAAACATACACTTTAAATAAGATGCCCCTCACGGGATACATTTCTGTATCCTTGGTAAGAGGCAGAAGGAGATTTTAAAAACATGTAAAGTCTGAAAAAAATTTTGAGTTTTGTGTATCTTTAATATGAAAGTTATTTCTGATAATCACCAAGTAATTATTTCTTTTTAAGCCCTTCCAGTACAGAAGCTACCTAGTAATTATTTAACTCAGTCTTTTACATATACACAAGCACACACATACACACATACACAAGCACACACATACAAACATACACACAGACACAACATACACAAATACACACTCATATTCACATACACAAACACAGATACCCAAACATACACACAGACACAACATATACAAATACACGCACATACTCACATACACAAACACAGACATACAAACATACACAAATACACACACATATTCACATACACATACACAAACACAGATACCCAAACATACACACATAGACACAACAGACACAAATACAAACACGCACATGCACAAACCCAGATTACAAACATACACACAGACCCAAATGCATACATTCACACGCACAACACAGATGCACAGACACACACAATCATACACCAAACACACATGCATAAAACCCTTGTTTCCTAAGCGAACTAACACAGGAACAGAAAAAAGAAATACTGCATGTTCTCCCTTATGAGTGGGAGCTGAACACTGAGTACATATGGACACGAAGAAGGAAACAGCAGACATTGGGGCCTACTAGAGGGTGGAAGGTTGGAGAAGTGTGAGGCTCACAAAACTGTGGAATCCAGCCAGGTGCAGTGACTCATACCTGTAATCCCAGCACTTTGAGAGGCCGAGGCCAGCAGATCACTTGAGGTCAGGAGTCCAAGACCATCCTAGCCAACATGGTGAAACCCTTTCTCTACTAAAAATAAAAAAATTAGCCGGGCATGGTGGTGAGTGCCTGTAATCCCAGCTACTCAGGAGGCTGAGGCAGGAGAATCGCTTGAACCCGGGAGGTGGAGGTTGCAGTGAGCTGAGATCGCACCCCTGGACTCCAGCCTGGGCTACAGAGTGAGACTCCATCTCAAAAAAAATGGAAAGAAAAAGAAAAGAAATCTGCACACGTGCCCTTGAACCTAAAATAAAATTTAAAAAAATAATAATAAAAGAGGTGTAAAACAAAACAAAAAATCCCTTGTTAATGAAGCAAAATATGATCAGAGGCATTTGTAAAAACTATTTCCTAGGGAATAAAATCATCATTTATTCAGGGGAAAAAAGTAAGCATTTAAATGAGTCCCTCTTTTACTAATAGCTGGTGAGAGGACAACATGGGAGGGAGGCTGGGAGCGCTTCCCTGTGCATCTTCCCTGTGTGTCTGGGAGTCAGGGGCTCAGTCCTTGTCTCCAGGCAGCCTCCTCCAGGGCTGGCTCCCAGGGCCCTTCATAAAACACTTGGTGGGTGGAGAGAGGGATGCAGTGGGGGCTGGGGGGAAGCAAAGCTTTAGTCCACGTGTACAGACCAACAGTCAGAAGACACTGAGGAGGCCAGGCACAGTGGTTCACGCCTGTAATCCCAACACTTTGGAAGGCAGAGCCCGGAGGATCACATGAGCCCAGAAGTTCAAGACAAGCCCAGGCAACATAGCGAAACCCCGTCTCTACAAAAAAATACAAAAATTAGCCAGGCGTGGTGGCATGCGCCTGTAGTCCCAGCTAATCAGGTGGCTGAAGCGGGATCACTTGAGTCTGGTGCCACTGCACTCCAGCCTGGGTGACACAGCAAAAACATTTTAAAAATTAAAAAAAAAAAAAAGACTGAAGAAAGGTAGCAATCCATGTGGGGAGGACTAGGGGAAAGGAGGCCAGGGAAATGGAGAGTGAAAGCTGTGAGGTGAAAAGAAGTAAACCTCATGGAAACATTGATACATCCTGAACCAATGGGGGGAAACTGACAGAGAATGAAGTTTATTCTCCATGGGACACTATTGCTAGAAATGACTTGGAGTTAAAGGCAGCCACAGCCAGGTGGGAAAGTTGCTGAAGAAATATTTGGTGGTTAGACACCTAAGAGCCGAGGCCGTGGGAAAGCGGAGACCCTCTTCGATCTGGGGAAGTTCCATGCCTGCTTGCTTCCTCTTGACACTATCGTCCCCTGCACACAGCCCCTCCTGTCACCCTAGGTGGAAATGACTGAAAAAAGCTTACAGATCTGCTATCCCAGGGGTACCTGCACCTTCTCAGGCTCCCAACTTTCCTTTTCCTCCCTCCTTTCTTTTTTCTTTTTCTTTTCTTTCTTTTCTTTTTTTTTTTTGACACAGGGTCTCACTGTCACCCAGGCGGAGTGCAGTGGCGCAATCTTGGCTCAATGCAACCTCTGCCTCCTAGGCTCAAGTGATCCGCCCACTTCAGACTTCCAAGTAGTGGGGATACAGGTGCGCACCACCAGCCAAACTATGTTTGGCTAATTTTAATTTTTATTTTTATTTTTTTGAGACAAAGTCTTGCCCTGTCACCCACACTGGAGTGCAGTGGAGTGATCTCAGCTCACTGCACCCTCCCGGGTTCCAACGATTTTCCTGCCTCAGGCTCCCGAGTAGCTGGGCTACAGGCGCCCAGCACCACGCCCAGCTAATTTTTGTATTTTTTGGTAGAGACGGGGTTTTGCCATGTTGGCCATGTTGGTCTCGAACTCCTGAACTCAAATGATCTGCCCGAACTCAAAGTGCTGGGATTACAGGCTTGGCATGAGCCACCGCGCCCGGCCTAATTTTTAAATTTTTTGTAGAGATGAAGTCTTACTGTATTGCCCAGGCTGGTCTTGAACACCTGGGCTCAAGCCATCCTCCCGCCTCAGCTTCCCAAAGTGCTAGGATTACAGGCGTGAGCCACTGCACCCAGCCTTCTTCCCCTCCTTTCTAAGGGCTAAATCATGCTATCTTCCAGGACTCGGCTTAAAGGTTTTCTCCTCCAGGAAGACTTCCCTGACTCTCCACCTCCAAGGCCCCCTCCTGCGGCCCCCAGTGCTTCCTCTAGCACCTATCGTCCTGGGTCCAGATAGCCTAAGTGGCTTGGCCCCTCGCTAGGCTGGGAGCCCCTTGGAATGTGGGCTGTGTCTTGCTTCCCCAGGTATTCCTCAATTCCTAATTCACGGTCTGCAACACAGTAATAAACTGTATGAAGAAAAGTAGGACGGAAGGCTGGGGGATCTTCACGGACTGAAAGTGTCAGGGGTGGGTGACAGCCCTTAAGAGTGTTGCTCTTCCCGGGGACACCTGCACTGTTAGAAAGACTTGTTTTCCACTTGGTGAGATGGAGCTGGGAGATGAGGTGGTGATTCTAGTGGCAGCAGTTGGTGTAAGGGAACAGGACTGGGAAAGGAGGAAAGGAATAAGGGGCTGAAATCGTATCCTTTGTCGGTATTTTCCTACCTGTGTCTAGATTCTTCACCAGAGACTGCAGAATTGAATGAGAGAAGAAAGGAGTAGGAACAGGAGGCTGAAAGAACAGTAATAATTTGCCTCTCATAGGCCGGGCGTGGCGACTCATGCCTGTAATCTCAACACTTTGGGCAGATCACCTGAGGTCAGGAGTTCAAGACCAGCCTGGCCAACTTGGTGAAACCCCATCTCTACTAAAAATACAAAAATTAGCCCAGAGTGGTGGTGGGCACCTGTAGTCCCAGCTACTCAGGTGGATGAGGTAGGAGAATCGCTTGAACTCAGGAGGCGGAGGTTGCACTAAGCCACAATGGTGCCACTGCACTTCAGCCTGGGCGACAGAGACTCTGTCTCCAAAACAAAAACAAAACTGAGAGTCTATGTCCATTCATTCCACAAATCTTTATCAAGCACCTGCTACATGCTGGGCATTGAACTAGGTGCTGGGAAAACATCAGTGAAGTAAATATGGTGCCCACATTTTTGGAGGGTGGTGGGAGAGGCAACTGTATAGAGTAAGTCAGGTGATAGTACATGTTATGAAGAAATGTAGCACAGTAAGTGGGAAAGAGACACATGGGATGGTAGGGAGGGGCTGTTTCACACCCATTGGTAGGGAAGGCCTCTCTGATGCCTTCTGAGCAAGAAAGGAAGCTGGTGAATAGCTGGAGTAAGAATATTCTAGGCGGAAGGCACAGTGAGTGCAAAGGCCCCGAGGCTGGAGTGTGCTGTCTGTGTTAGGGTGAACGAAAGGAAGACAGCATGGCTGCAGCAGAGGGAGGCGGAGAGAACAAAATGGTTAGAAAGCAGATCAGAGGGTGACAAGGGACTGGGTTATTTAGCAGCTGGCATGCCGTGGTAAAGACTTGGGATTTCTACCCTGAGTGTGGTGGGGAGCCCTGGCAGGTGAGGACCGGAGTAGAGGAGGGACTTGATCTGACTCAGGTTTCAACAGGAGCCCTCTGGTGGCTGGGCGGAGAACTGACTGTAAAGGGAACACAGTGGCATGGGGAGGCCAGTCAGGAACTGCTACTGCAATAGCCTGGGCAAGAGATGGTGATGGCCTGGGCCAGGGAGGTGGCAGGGGAGGTTATATGAAGTGGTTGGATATGGATCTATATTGAAGGGTGGGCTGATGGGGAGTGGTGAGGAGTTAGATTCAGGCTGAGAGAAAGAGAGGACCTAAGGATGCCTGCTGGGTCTTTAACTTGAGCAATGGAAGGGTAGAGGTGGCAAAGACTGGGGGTTAGGGCAAGGTATACGGGAGAAAATCAGGAGTGTGGATTGGGATACACTCCCCAATTTTTATTTATTTATTTATTTATTTATTTATTTATTTGAGATGGAGTTTTGCTCTTGTTGCCCAGGCTGCAGTATAGTGGCGCGATCTCAGCTCACTGCAACCTCCACCTCCCAGGTTCAAGCAATTCTCCTGCCTCAGCCTCCTGAGTAACTGGGATTACAGGCACCTGCTACCATGCCCGGTTAATTTTTGTATTTTTAGTAGAGAGGAGGTTTCACCATGTTGGCCAGACTGGTCTTGAACTCCTGACCTCAGGTGATCCACCCGCCTCAGCCTCCCAAAGTGCTGTCATTACAGGCGTGAGCTACCATGCCCGGCTACATTCCCACATTTTAAGAAAATTAAAAAAAAAAATTTTTTTACATCAGTTGGATGCGGTGGCACACCTGTATTCCCAGCTACTCAGGAGGCTGAGGTGGGAGGATCGCTTGAGCCTGGAAGTTCAAGGCTCCAGTGAGCTATGATTGCACGACTGCATTCCAGCCTGGGTGACAGAGTGCAACCCTGTCTCTAAAAATCAAATAAAAGTAGAGACATCCTGAGTGAGACCCTGAGAGAATCTGAGTCAGAGAACCAGGTGAGCTGTGTCTGGACTCCTGACCGCAGAAACTAAGACAGAATAAATGTACTGTCTTAAGCTGCTAATTTTGGGGTAATTTGTTATGCAGTAATAGATAACTAGTACATGTCACATCTCTACAAAAATGTCTCTACAACAGTAACCACCCCAAAACATATCCTGACTGGGTATGGTGGCTCATGCCTATAATCTCAGCACTCTGGGAAGCCAAGGTGGGAGGATAGCCTGAGGCCAGGAGTTCAAGACCAGCCTGGGCAACATAGGGAGACCCCATATTGTATTTAAAAAAAAAAAAAAGAGTTGTGTAGGGGAGGATCTGCTTCCAAGCTCCCTCATGGGGCTGTTGGTAGGATTCCGTTCCTCACGGGCTCTTGGTTAGTGACCTCTGCTCCTGGCAGTGTGAGCCTTTCCATAAAGATACTTTCAACATGATAGCCAGCTTCCCTCAGAGAGCGGGCAGCACTGACGTCATCGTCTTCTGTAACCTAACCTTAGAAAGGACAACCCATCGCTTTTGCTATGTTCTCTTTGCTAGAAGAGGATCACTGGGTCCTGCCCACATCTAAGAAGAGGTGATGAATGTGAATATCAGTTCGCAGAGATCTCTGGGAACCATGTTAGAGCTGGCTACCACATCAAGGAAGCAACTGCATAAACAAAGCCAGGGTTTAGGGGAGAAGTCCAGGCTGAAGATGTATATGGGGCTTATTAGTGATGGGTCTGGACCAGGTGAGCTGGGAGTGAGTGAGACAGAGAACAAGACCAAGGACTGTGCCAAGGGCACTCCGGTGTTTGGAGGTCAGGAAGATGAGGAGAGGCCAGCAAAGGAGACTGAGGAGAAGGGGCCAGTGCGGCAGGGGAGGGATGGAGACGGAGGCAGAGGGGCTACCAGAGAAACCTGTTGGCAGGAGAGAGGGATCAGCAGTCAAAAGCCACTGCAGGACAGGTCAGCAAAGGTGGAGAACTGACCACCGGCTTGAGCAGTGTGGAGATCACCTTGACAAGAGCAGTCCCAGTGGGGCGGTGGGGGTGAAACCTAACTGGATGGGTTCTAGAAAGAACAGGAGACCAGGAAGTAAAGGCAGAAGCAACCATGCTTTTGAGGAGTCTTGTATAGAGGATAGCACAACCTTGCGTTTGAGTGTCTTAAACTTTCTCAACTAAAGTAACTCTCAGCTGAGGTGATTCCTGGAACTCTGCTTCTGCCTACACTTCTTCAACACACAGGTCTCCAGTTCCCCAATGTTGCCCAGGTCTACCTCCCACCGTAGCGACCTCAACCGGGATGGGGAATCAGAACCCAGAAGTTGGCCCATGTTTTATATTTTGTGTTTTGGTACTAGCAAGTCACAATCAGACAAGGCATGCCTTGTGAGACTGGGGCAGAGACACACACATTAGCTCCCAGTCATCAGCTGGAAGCTCCATAAATCCTGAACAGCCACCCTTGGAGGATCTGGTTTAGGGGCCAACAGCTCTAAGCAAAAGCTTATTACTGACTGCCATCTTGTGGTCATTTGGGGAACTGGCCTAGGTTTAAATCCGTGGTGGAAAGAGTTGAGTGAATTGTAGGATAGTACCTGGCACTGAGTGTTCAGTAAAAGCCAGCGACTGTCATTACTATGCTCATGGTTTGGAAGAGTATGGCCAAAACAAACAAACAAACATGTCTCTTGACTTCACTCCCAACATTTTTCAAGGGAAAAGGAACTACCCTAAAAGGAGGTGTTCCTTTTTGTCTTGGTAAAAGTAAGAATGAATCAGGGAGCCGACTTTCGTGTATGAAGTCAGATGATGAGATGCAAGTCCTGCTTTTGCTACCATGTGACCTTGATCTCATCACTGAAGCCCAGTGAGTCTCAGTTTCGTCAAACCATAAAACAGGAGCATTAGGATGAAGACTGCACAACTGGTGAATGTGAAGAGTTCTCAGGAAAAGCGGCACTCCTAGTTCAAGGCAGGGGCCTGCTGGCTCTCAACACAGAGCTTGTTGCTTTACAATAGTGTCTCTCAACTAGGGGCAACTTTGCCCCCCCACCACCCCCACCCCATGGGATGTTTGACAATGCCTGGAGATATTTTGGGGGGTTCTTTTTGTTTTTCAAAGGGTTGGTCCTTGTTTTTGTTTTGTCTGTTTGTTTGAGACAGAGTCTCGCTCTGTCACCCAGGCTGCAGTGCAGTGGCGCGATCTCGGCTCACTGCAAGCTCCACCTCCCAGGTTCAGGCCATTCTCCTGCCTCAGCCTCCTGAGTATCTGGGACCACAGGCACCCGCTACCATGCCTGGCAATTTTTTTGTATTTTTAGTAGAGACGGGGTTTCACTGTGTTAGCCAGGATGGTCTCGATCTCCTGACCTCTTGATCTGCCTGCCTCGGCCTCCCAAAGTGCTGGGATTACAGCCGTGAGCCACCGAACCCGGCCCTGTTTGTGTGTGTGTGTGTGTGTGTGTGTGTGTGTGTGTGTTTGTGTTTTTGAGATGGAGTCTCACTCTGTCCCCCAGGCTGGAGTGCAGTGGCACCATCTCAGCTCACTGCCACCTCCGCCTCCTGGGTTCAAGTGATTCTCCTGCCTCAGCCTCCCGAGTAGCTGGGATTACAGGCACCCACCACCACGCCCGGCTAATTTTTGTATTTTTAGTAGAGAGCGGGTTTCACCATGCTGGCCAGTCTTGTCTTGAACTCCTGACCTCAAGTGATCCACCTGCCTTGGCCTCCCAAAGTGCTGGGATTACAGGCGTAAGCCACCATGCTGGGCCGATAGGCTAGTCTTGAGCCAGCCATACATAGTTATTGAAATGGAAATTAGCTAAAAAAGAATAAAATTTAAAATTTGATTACTGGGTTGTAATAGCCACATTTCCAAGTGCTCAGTCGCCACACATGGCTAGTAGCCAGCACAGATAGAGGACATTTCCATCAGCACAGGAAGTTCTACTGGACAACACTCCTCCAAAGGACTCAGCAGAACCGGCATCTGTGGGCCAACCCATAAAGGAAGAACTAGAAACTAAGGAAGTGCAGAGGAGAGGGGACAGTGAGAGGCAAAAACAGACACCAGTGAGATGGTTAAGTAAGCACAAGGCCACATATCATTAACTGCTAAAACAAGTCACACAACACATCTGTAAAATAATTGATCCGCACAACCTGCCCTCTCCCGAGAATCATTCCTCAGTGCGTAAAACTCAAAAGCCCTGACAAACCAAGCAGCATCAACAGAAGACAGGCAGGGTAGGGAGGGTTCCATTGTTGAGGAACACCATTCCCTCCCACCTTTCCTGGCATCTGGCATGGTTCAGTTTAACTTCCGGTACAACATTCCCAGACGGACAGGTAGTCATGAGTTCACTGCAATGGTGGAGCAGAGCCTGTGGCGGCGTTTCCTGCCCACAGTCTGGGATTCCTTGTAAAGGTTGTATGCATGCTTGACGATGAAGGGCAGACAGAAAAAGTGCAGGAGCATGTGTGAGATTTGGAAGATCCAGTGCAAATAACTCAGCGTCTTGAAGTGATCTTTGATGATCCCGTTGAGGAGCAGGACTATGGAGAAGTTGATGAGCTCGTAAGTGATGATCCACATGGCATAGATCAGCAGCCCCATGTAGATATTCTTGTGGATACAATAAAAGAGGAAGCAGCCGATGATGATGGTGGTGAGGGAGAGGCCAGTGCTGATATTAGCCCTGTGGAACAGGGTCCAAGTGACTAGCTCCGACTTTGAGTCCACGTAGATGCTGAACTTGGCCTCATAGCAAATGTGTGTCTTCTGGTTCAGGTCAAAGATGAAGAACTGGGTGGTATTAAGGACAGAGAAGATGCCCACCATGAGGGAGAACATCCTGACATTCATTTTATACTTGTTTTACCAGAGCACCTCCTGCAGGAAGAAAATCATACAGACACGTGACAAGATGGCAGAGGTAGCCTTAGACAAATCCCCCAAGTCACTAGATATAAATCAGAGAGCTAAGAGCAATGATGGTGTGTGGACAGGCAATAGGCTGGAAGTTAAGGGACATGGGGTCTGGCCCGTGCTCTGGCCTAACTTGCTAGATGTGACCACATCATTGAGAAATGAATGTATCACTGGCCTGGGACTTCCTAAGTAGCTTCCAATTCTGCTGTTCCAGCTTCAGCTTTGCTTTAAAGTGGCAAAAAGAGTGCTCCTGTTGATGTAGGTTTGTGGGAATTCAGAGGTTCCTGTATTGAGGATAACGATGGTATGAACGAAGCTCCCATCTGGGGAGTTTGCTTCTCTGAAGTCAGAAAACTCTCATGGCTCCTCAAGGGCTTGGAATCATCCCTGACATCCTCTGCCCCCACTACTCTTTCCTTCCAAGTCCTTAGAAATTTCCCTGATTTGCTCCCTGGGCATGGCCCAGCCTTGTCCCAAGTCACAGGGTTTGGCCAGCAGGAATGGAATGGGTAAAGGTTTATGGATCCAGGCAAGACTCTGCCCAGGGCCAAGATGCCTTAACAATAAGCCACCATTGTGCAGGTGAAGGCCCAGCAGGCAGACCTCCAGCTGCAACCTAGGTTACACCTGAGCTCTAGAGGTCAACTCATGGCAGGGAGCAGGAACCTGGTGCCCGAGCCGACCCTGCTGAGGGCATGTTGATAATGGGGGACCTAAGGCTGGAGTAGGCTGGGCCTACAGCGCAAACGTTCCTCCACAACCTGAATCTTCTTCTTACTGGCTCCCAATTCAGAGGACTCCTGAGCAAACCTCTCTCCTCATCATTCACTACACTGGCGAGCTACCTCTGTTGTGGGGCAAAGGAAGGGGCACAGTCACACATTAGGAGAACACAGGGCTGTCCTCAGGCTGACGAATGTCCAATGGGGGACAACTTGTTGGAAGCCTGACCTGGCCTCTCTCTGAGATGACCAGAATGGGTCCTGTCCAGCCAGGCAGAGCACAGACAGGCTGCCACTAGCCTCCCTCCAGCCCTCTCCTCTTCACTCACTGGATCAACTCCAAATACAGTAAAATATACAGAATGTAAAATTCACCACTTTAGCCCTTTTTGAATGTGCAATTCAGTGACATTAAGTACATTCACGTTGTCGTGCAAGCATATCGCTATCCATCTCCAGAACTTCCTTTCTCTCTCTCTCTCTCTCTTTCGACAGAGTCTTGCTCTGTCACCCAGGCTGGAGTGCAGTGGTACGATCTTGGATCACTGCAATCTCTGCCTCCCAGGATGAAGCGATTCTCATGCCTCAGCCTCCCAAGTAGCTGGGATTACAAGCGTGCGCCAGCATGCCCAGCTAATTTTTGTATTTTTAGTAGAGACAGGTTTCACCATGTTGGCCAGGCTGGTCTTGAACCCCTGACCACAAGTGATCTGCCCGCCTCGGCCTCCCAAAGTGCTGGGATTACAGGCATGAGCCACCATGCCTGGCCATCTTCAGAACTTTTTCATCATCCCCACCAAAATCTCTGTACCCATTATAAACATCAACTCCCCATTCTCCTCTTCCCCCGCTCCCTACTAACCATTTTTCTTGCTGTCTCTATGAATTTGCCTGCTCTAGGTGTCTCACATAAGTGGAATCATACATTTGTCCTTCGGTATCTGGCTTACTTCACTTAGCATAATGTTTTCCAGATTCATCCCAAATATTCTTATACTTTATTCTCCACCATCCTCCCAACCCTGTGTGACTCCAGATACACAAAACTCTCAGTGCACCCTAGAACCTGGAGGGCCCAGGAGGGAGGCAGTGTGTTGTCTAGTGGGTAGCTGCACTGATGCTTCCCCGTCTGCACCAACGAAACCTCACCTCTGCTCGGTTCACAGCGCAGCTTCCAGAGCAGCCACTACCCATGGGGTACTCACCTGAATTGTCTAAAAATAAGGCCCTGAACCACACAGTTTTCTTCCTTTGCTTTATATCTATGTTGTGAGTTTCAAGGAAATGTCTGTATAAAGCCCACTGGTTCCACAGCTCTGCTGCCCCAGCCTTGGTCTCCACCCTCGGCACCTCTCTCTTGGGTCACTATAATAATGGCCTAACTTCCCTTTCTGCCGCTAGCCAAGGTCCTCTGGTACATTCTATTCATTCAATACTCACTCAGCAGACATCTATTGTGTATCTACAGGTGCTGGGGGCTGAGCTTGGCACTGGAGACAGACAGGTAAATATGCTAGTGTGGAAGCTAGACAAATAAAAAAACAAATGAATAAAAATTGTTTTTAATTAAGAGAAAAGAAAACTTGAGGCAGGCGGATCACGAGGTCAGGAGTTCAAGACCAGTCTAGCCAACATGGTGAAACCCCATCTCTACTAAAGATACAAAAATTAGCTGGGCATGGTGGCACGCGCCAACTACCTGGGAGGCTGAGGCAGCAGAATTGCTTAATCAGGACCCGGGAGGTAGAGGTTGCAGTGAGCTGATATCACACCACTGTACTCCAGCCTGGGCTGCAGAGCGAGACTCTGTCTCAAAAAAAAAAAAAAAAAAAAAAAAAAAAAAAGAAAAGAAAAAAGAAAACTTACAATGCAACGTGATAAATGTGATAGAGGAAGAGATGGCTCAGTGTTGTCAAGATGTAACAGTGAGAGAGATGAAAAATCATTGGATGAGAATCAGGGGAGGCTTTCTGGAGTAGGCAATAGCTGAGCTTGGGTCTTCAGAGACATGGGCATTAACTAGGCAGAAAAAGGAGGGACTTCACCCCCAGCAAAGGAGACAACACAAAGGGGTAGGCACAGGGATAGGCAAAAGCCATTTTGGAAACAGCAAGTTTGCCTTGGCTTGAGCAGAGGGGAAGGCTGTATATGTTGGCAGGGGCCAGATCAGGAAGGATCCTTACCTGCTACCAGCCATGTGGATGTTTCTCTGAAAGGCAAAGGAGAGGTTCTTCAGGGTGTGTGTGTGTGTGTGTGTGTGTGTGTGTGTGTGTGTGAGAAACAGATAGACAGACAGACATAATCAGATTTGAATTTTATTTATTTATTTATTTATTTTTGAGACAAAGTCTCACTCTGTTGCCCAGGCTGCAGTGCAGTGGTGCAATTATGGCTCACTGCAACCTCCATCTCCCAAGTTCAAGCAATTCTCCTGCCTCAGCCTCCCGAGTAGCTGGGATTACAGGTGCCTGCCACTATACCCGCCTAATTTTGGTAGTTTTAGTAGAGAAGGGGTCTCACCATGTTGGCCAGGCTGGTCTTGAACTCCTGACCTCAAGTGATCCGCCCGCTTTGGCCTCCAAAAGTATTGGGATTACAGACGTGAGCCCCTGCGCCTGGCCCGATTTGCATTTTAGAAAAATCTTTCTTGCTGCTGTGAGGGCCATGGGTCAGAAAGGGAGCAAAGGTGGAGGTAGGCAGAGCAGTTGAGAGGCTATGGAAGGAAATAAGGTGAAGTAAGGCAGCAGAGGGATGTTGGGGGACAGATTTGGGGCCTGGGGCTGTGGAAGAAGGAGTCTGGGATGAGCACCTGGATGGAGGACAGCCCATCCTCTGAGGCGAGGAGCACAGAGGCAGGAGAGCCCTGAGGATGGGAGCGGGGAAGACAATGACAAGGACAGCTTGCCAAATGGTGAGTGCTGTGGTTTGACTGTCCCCTTCAAAATTCATGTTGAAACTTAATCCCTAATGCAACAGCATTAAAAGATGGGGCCTTTAGGAGGTGATTGAATCATAGGGGCAGAGCCCTCATGAATGGAATAAGTGACCTTATAAAGGGACAGGAGGGAACTAGCTAGTTTCTTTTGCCTCTCCATCCCTTCTGCCATGTAAGGACAGTGTTTGCACCATCTTAGAAGCAAAGAGAGCAGGCCCTTACCAGACACCAAACCTACTGGCACCTTGATATTGAACTTCTAGCCTCCAAAAGTGTGAGAAAATAAATCTCAGCTCTTTATAAATTACTCAGTTATTATAGCAGCAGTGGGTGACTCACACCTGTACTCCCAGCACTTTGGGAGGCTGAGGCAAGTGGATCACCTAAGGTCAGGAATTCAATACCAGCCTGACCAACATGGGGAAACCCCGTCTCTACTAAAAATACAAAAATTAGCCAGGCATGGTGGCCTGTGCCTGTAATCCCAGCTATTCAGGAGGCTGAAGCTGGAGAATCGCTTAAACCCGGGAGGCGGGGGTTGCAGTGAGCCGAGGTCGCACCATTGCACTCTGGCCTGGGCGACAGAGCCAGACTCGGTCTCAAAAATAAAAAATGTGCTTCATACAGTCTCTGGACCTGAATGCAAAGTGATGTCTGTTTATTTGTGATAGTATGTAATCATATACTGTCTTATATGATTGGCTAATTGATTCATAAACAATAATTTACTTTCTTCCACTAAACTACAAAATTCTCATAGTCATTCATATCTTACACATTTTTGTATACAGTATATACACAATGTTCAGTACAGTGTTCACACTACAGAGTACAGCACAGCAACAGATACAGAAGTATGTTTAACATATATCTTTGATTAAGGAAGTGCCTTTCACACTCCTTGACAAATTTGGAAAGGGTGGGGAAATTCGAGACATAAATTGAAGGATGAATTTTCTCTATTTTTATTCTTTTTCTTATCTGGAATAAAACAGAAGACACAGTGGGGAAATCATAGCACAAACCCACCCCAGGGCCAACAGTATCCTTTGTGCTGCAAAAATCTGGTATAAATACAGATTTGCTTATCCCAGGGTTAAATTAAAGAGTTGTGGGTTGAAGGCTAATGAAGATGCCAAGAAAAAAGGATTGCCCTACTGCAATTCAGCTTCATCTTATTCCATTCATTTTGACCAATCAGGTGGTAGAAAGGTGAGTTCACAGAAGTTTTGATAAATCACAATATCCTTTAACTAAATACCCTCAATGAGCAGGATGTTCCGGTTGTGATTATAATCACATTTTCTCTTCATGTTCTCCTGAAAGAGTGGCAGTAGGGTCTCTACTTGCAGAACTGCTAAGCAAAAGTGGGGGGAAAAAAGGAAATAGAACTACCCTGGGAATCTGAGAGACCTACCTCTTATGGGAAAGAAAAGGGCCAACATGATTGCTTATAGTGGTGGATAAAGCTGCTAACTTTTTTTTTTTTTTTTGGGGGACAGAGTCTTACTCTGTCACTCAGGCTGAAGTGCACTGGCGCAATCTCGGCTCACTGCAACCTCCACCTCCCAGGTCAAGTGATTCTCCAGTCTCAGCCTCTCAAGTGGCTGGGATTACAGGTGTGTGCCGCCACGCCTGGCTAATTTTCTATTTTTTTTAGTAGAGACGGGGTTTTGCCATGGCTGCCAAGGCCAGGCTGGTCTTGAACTCCTGACCTCAGGCGATCCACCTACCTCTGCCTCTCAAAGTACTGGGATTCCAGGTGTGAGCCACTGAACCCACTCGAAATTGATAATCTTTTATTTCTGCTGTGGAGAATCTCCGCTGTAGAAATTCGTCTCTTGTAGGAAATTATATTGCCCTGGCTCCGGTTTTTGTAGGTTATGTGGGCATAGTTGATGACAAAGAACATCCAGAAACAGTGCATGACTGTACGAGACACCAAGCCAAACCAGCGCATGATTCTGACCTCTTTAATGTCAAAGTCATTGTTGGTGAGGATTTGTATTACGACGTTTGCAGTTTCATAGAAAAAAATCCAGACAATGTAGATGACCAGGCCCCTGAAGATCTGGGCATACACTGAGTACAGGAGGAAGCAGCTGATGAGGATGGTGATGAAAGACAGGAAGAGGACGATTTTAAAACTCCAGCAGATGATGAAGTTATTTATGATGTTACTTGCACCCCTGTACTTTGGTGTGATCTCAGTGCAACTGCCATTCCCTAGGTGCTTCTGTTCAAAGATGAGATACATGTCTACGGCCATGATGGTGAAGACCCCTGACAACACGGTGCCCATTTTGGCAGTCATCCCACACCACTGCTGCTGTTTCATGCTGAGACCTCCTGTGAAGACAAACAACATGAGGGAGAATTCTAGTTCCTGCCAACATGGTAAATTACCAGGGTTTCTGCCTCCTTCCCCAAATCTACTTTGGAGAAATATAGACAGAAATACGAAAACTGGGAAACTATAGCCTTGGGAAGACACAGGCTGTTTAAAATAGATTGGGGGTGGGGAAGAGAGAGGATTCAGTCAAGTTGGTGGCAATGACCAGATAAAATTACAGTAGTGGTTCTCAACCCTGGATCCACCTTAGAATCACCAAAAGTACCCAAGTCCAGGCCCCACCACAGACCAATCACAACATTCTCTGGTTGGGATCCAGGCACCAGTAATTTTCAAAACTTCCTAGTAATTTTCGTATGTAGCCAGTGTTGGAAAAAGCTGAGTTAGAAAAAGATGGCTTAAATTATGCTCTTAGCTGGGCACAGTGGCTCATGCCTGTAATCCCAGTACTTTGGGAGGCTGAGGTGTGAGGATTGCTTGAGTCCAGCAGTTCAAGACCAGCCTGGACAACATGGTGAAACCCCATCTCTACAAAAATTAGTCAGGTGTGGTGGTGCATGCCTGTAGTTTTAGCTACTTAGGAGGCTGAAGTAGGAGGATCACTTGAGCCCAGGAAGTCAAGGCTGCAGTGAGCTGAGATCATGCCACTGCACTCCATCCTGGGTGACAGAGCAAGACCCTATATCCAAAAAAAAAAAATTATGCTGTTAACTCTCCCAGCATTGCCTTGGGCTTCCATTGCTGCCCAGATGGTGAAAATTGCCTGTACTTGTTCAGACCTGAGTACAGATGTTTCAGGATATAACCAGGGCAGCACAAGAACCCTGTTGGGTGGAGATGATAAAAACAGGTGGACACCAACTGGCTTTGGGCAATCGCTTCTCTACTACATATCAAAATATGGATTACAGTGAAAGATGCATACTTTAAAGGAAATTTAGAGCCCTAGGATAGACTAGCCTTATAATAGAAAAGAAAATGTAACAATGAGCTAAGTATTCAACTCAAGAAGTTAGAGGGAAAATAAGAACTATACAAAAGTAGGAGGAAGAAAATAAATAGAAGCGCGTAAGTCAATGAAACAGGAAATAAAGTAGAGGGATTTCTGACTGGTTAGGTTATTTGGGCTGACATGTTGCCAAAAAGCAACTTAAAATGCTGGATAAAATAGTTTAAAAATATAAAGTATAGAAGTGCTCCCCAAGTGGAAGGAAGTAAATTTTGCTCTGAAGTTATTTGCCAATCTAGGCACACTTGATTTCATTATGACAGCAATGCAGGGTAAAGAACAAAATCAAAGCTCTGGGTCCACCAAGGTGAGGAGTCTTTCCTATATTAGTTGTGAGCATCCCCAAAGGCCTACGATTAGGGGAAAGGTGAATCAGAAGTAAACCTCCCCTACATCTTTCTGCCAGGAAACTCCAAGAAAAGTTGGCTTGTTAACTACACTGAGCAGGTGGGGAGAAAACTCTCCTTGAGACATTGTAATCATAGCTGGCCTTTTTTTTTTTGTAGATTTATAGCCCATATTACATGAAGTATTTTTTTTAACTTTAAGTTATAAATCTTGTTTAAAGTCGTCCTAAACTGAAAGTGTGTCTAAGTGTCTGGCAGAAGCAAATTCAAATCCTCTCTGGAGGATTGTACTTTTATGCTGGTCTTCATCCTCTAAGAATCTTCATCAGTAATTTTTCAGGGACAATGACAAGTACATAGTGAAAAATAACCAAGCACATAAGGAACAAGGCACTGTGAGAACAAGCTGAAACAACAGATAGCAATGGAACTGCAGTAATATCTGATCATCAAACAACTATGATTACTATATTTTTGCATTATTTAAAATTTTTGTTTTACTTTTATTATAGTATAATTCATGCATATATAATACACAGATATATATAATATATATACAAGATAAAATTTTACATCTTAACCATTTTTAAGTAGACAGTTTAGTAGTGTTAAGTATATTCATTTTGTTGTACAAACAATCTCTAGAACTTTTTCATCTTGCAAAACTGAAACTGTACACCCATTAAGCAACGAATTCCCATTTCCCCCTGCCCCAGCTCCTGGAAACTATCATTCTACTTTCTGTTTCTATTAATTTGACTACTCTGGACATGTCATGTAAGTGGAGTCTTTTTTTTTTTTTTGAGACGGAGTCTCGCTCTGTCGCCCAGGCTGGAATGCAGTGGTGCAATCTCAGCTCACTGTAACCTCCATCTCCTGGGTTCAAGCGATTCTCGTGCCTCAGCCTCCCAAGTAGCTGGGACTACAGGAGTGCACCACCACACCTGGCTAATTTTTGTATTTTTAGTAGAGACGGGGTTTCGCCATGTTGGTCAGGCTGGTCTCAAACTCCTGACCTCAGGTGATCCTCCCACCTCGGCCTCCCAAAGTGCTGGGATTACAGGGGTGAGCCACCCCACCTGGCCATGTAAGTAGAATCTTATAGCATTTGTGACTGGCTTATTTCTGTTAACATAATGTCCTCAAGGTTCATCTATGTTATAGAATGTGTCAGAATTTTCTTTGATTACTGCATTAAAATAAATAAAAGATAAACTGAAAATATATGAAGAAACAGGAAACCATAGAAAATGACCTAGTGTTACAGGATCTCTGGGGTGTCAATTTTCTGGCCAGAAACCTCTGTGGCCAGCGGCACCTTTGCCTGAGTTCTTGTTCTGTGTCCAAGATGAATGAGGTACACAGACAAGTGAAGGGTAAACAAGATGAAGATGAGCTTTAAGTGTTAGATCAGCTAAAAGGAGACTCGCAGTGGGTAGCTCCGCTCTGTAGGCAAGTCATGCTAATATCTGCTGTTCTCAGCAGGGAGAAGGCCCTGGAGAGGGTTGCTCCTCTATGCAGCTGATAGTCCTGACGTCTCTGCAGGTCTCTGAGGCTCTCAGAAGAGAGGGTAGTTCCTCTCTGTAGCTGGTCCTCCCATTGTCTCCTGCTATCAGCAGAGAGGATAGCTCCTCTCTGCAGCTGGTCGTCCTATCATCTCTCTGCTCTCTTCGTCCTCTAGCCATCCTCTGCCCTGCTCTGGCTAAGCCCAGGTCTTTTATGGACCTCAGAAGGGAGGAAGTGCACGCAGATTGGTACATCGGGGGCCATGGGCAGGCTGGAAGAGGCACCACTTAGGTCTGCAGGACTGGCGGCCTGGCCCCAGCCTTCAGGCTCTCCCTGGCCTGAGGGTGGGGCCTTACTGAGGACCCGCCCCCTTCCACCCGGGAATCGATACGCCTCCCGCTGCCATCCATGGCCCCCCCAGGGCTCGACCCCAACCCGGCTCCGAGATTTGAACTGGTGCCGGGATTGGAGAGAGGCCAGGCAGCGGGAGCAGACATCCGGGAGCCTGCAGGGACGGCAGGAAGCCGGGGAAGGGGGCCTCCTGGGGTCCCCGAGGGTGCAGGCTGCAGAGACGCCCGGGTCCTGCACCTAGGAGGTCCCGCCCCGCTAACTCGAAAGGGGCGGGTCTCCTACTTGTCCCTGGCTCCTGCCTGCTCAGTGAAGTGGGAGGCCCAGGTCTGCAGCCGTGGGTCCTGGCAGCTGCAGCTGCACCTGGGAGGGCAGATCCTGCCTATTCCCGGCCCTCCTCCAAGAGCACAGGGAGGCTTCGATGCACAGCCACAGTTTGGGCAGCTGCAGCCCGCCCAAGAGGGCGGGACTTCTGCCTGCTCCGTAGAGCCGGAGGTGGGGTCTACGGCTTTGGTTTGGGCGGCTGCAGTAGCACCCGGTGAGTTCCCGACTTAACTCAGAAGGGGCCGGGCTTCCACCGGCTCCATGGAGTGTGTAACCCTAGCCGCGCCTCCCTGCTGCAGCTGGAGTGACAGCCGGAGTGATGGTAGCAGCCACTGCCATTACTAGCTGATTTGAAAAAGAACCCAAATAGAATTTCTAGAGATGAAAAACTCAGTATCTGAAATTAAAAATTCAGTGGACATAAATGGTAGCAGGTTGGACACAGATTAAGGAATAATTAGTTAACCAGGAAACAAGATAAATCAGCAGAAATTATCCAGAATGTAGCACAGGGAGACAAAAAGATGGAAAATATGAAGGAGAAGTTAAGAGACATGAAAGACATAATAAGATGTTCTGATAGAGAAAGAGAGATGAGACAAAATGGGGGTAGCATATTTACAGAGAAAATAGCTGAGGATTTGCACAACTGAAAAAAAAACACCAATGCACAGATTCAAGAAACCTAACTGATTGCTAGAAGGATAAATGAAAGAAAATCTACACAAAACATATGGTACTCAAACTATGGAACACCACACACAAAAAGAAAATCTCAAAAGCAGCCAATGGGCTTTTTATTTAAAAGACCAACAGTTATAGACTTCTATAGGAAACAAAAATCCCATGGAATAATATTTTAATTGTGCTACACAAAGCAAAACAAACAAATAGAAACCCCTGCCAACCTAGGATTCTATACTCAACTCAAATATTTTTCTTTTTTTGAGACAGTATCTTGCTCTGTCGCCCAGGCTGGAGTACAGTGGCGTGATCTCAGTTCACCACAACCTCTGCCTCCCGGGTTCAAGCAATTATCCTGCCTCAGCCTCTCAGGTAGCTGGGATTACAAGCGTGTGCCACCATGCCCAGCTAATTTTTGCATTTTTAGTAGAGACGGGGTTTCACCATGTTGGTCAGGCTGCTCTCAAACTCCTGACCTCAGGTGATCTGCCACCTTGGCCTCCCAAAGTGCTGGGATTACAGGCGTGAGCCACTGCACCTAGCCCATTTTTCTTATTTATATATTTATTTATAGAGATGGAGTCTTGCTGTGTTGCCCAGGCCAGAATGGAGTAATGCAATCATAGCTCACTGCAGCCTCAAACTCCTGAGCTCAACAGAGCCTCCTGCCTCAGCCTTTTTTTTTTTTTCTGGAGACAGGATCTCACTCTGTCACCAGGCTGGAATGCAGTGGCACGATCTCAGCTCACTGCAACCTCCGCCTCCTGGGTTCAAGCGATTCTCCTGCCTCAGCCTCCCGAGTAGCTGGGACTACAGGCGCCCACCACCATGCCTGGCTCATTTTTTTGTATTTTTAGTAGAGACAGAGTTTTACCATGTTGGCCAGGCTGGTCTTGAACTCCTGACCTCAAATGATCCGCCTGCCTCGGCCTCCCAAAGTGCTGGGATTACAGGCGTGAGCCACCGCGCCCGGCCTCTGCCTCAGCCTTTTAACTAGCTGGGACCACAGGTGCATACTACCACATGCAGCTCATTAAAAAAGAAATTTTTTTTAGCTGGGTGCAGTGGCTCATGCCTGTAATCCCAGCACTTTGGGAGGCTGAGGTGGGCGGATCATGAGGTCAGGAGATCGAGACCATCCTGGCTAACATGATGAAACCCTGTCTCTACTAAAAATACAAAAAATTAGCCGGGCGTGGTGGCGGGCACCTGTGGTCCCAGCTACTCGGGAGGCTGAGTCAGGAGAATGGCGTGAACCCAGGAGGCAGAGCTTGCAGTGAGCCAAGATCACACCACTGCACTCCAGGCTGGGTGACAGAGCGAGACTCCTCTCAAAAACAAACAAACAAACGAAAAAAAAACCTTTTATTTTTGGAGAGACAGCATCTCGCCATGTTACCCAGGCTGGTCTCAAACTCCTGGCCTCAAGTGACCCTCCCACCTCAGCCTTCTGAGCAGCTGGGATTACAGGAGTGAGCCACTGTAAATATTTTTCTAAAATATTTTTCAAGATTGAGAGCACACAGTATGATGATAACCTTTTCATAAAAATCAAAACCAAGCAAAATTTAAGAATATATTTTTTGGCCATACATATATATGTGAATAAAACTTTATTATAAAAGTAAGGGAAGACCAGTCATGGTGGCTCATGCCTGTAATCCCAGCACTTTGGGAAGCTGAGGCAGGTGAATTGCTTGAGTACAGGAGTTCGAAACCAACCTGCCCAACATGGCCCATCTCTATAAAAAAAAAAAAAAAAACACCACCACCAAAACCAAAAATTACCTAGGTGTGGTGGTGGCACATCCCTGTAATCTCAGCTACTCCGGAGGCTGAGGTATGAGAATCACTTGAGCCTGGGAGGCAGAGGTTGCAGTGAGCCAAGATTGTGACACTGCACTCCAGCCTCGGTGACAGAGCGAGACTCTGACTAAAAAAAAGAAAAAAAAATTACCAAAAGTAAGAGGATAATAGATACAATATTTGGGATTGTGGTTACTTCTGAAGTGCAAGGGGCAGGGATAGGGGCAGGGGCACATAGATAATTATGAGGCATTATTCTGTTTCTTGGGTTGAATGAGAGATTCACAAGTGTTCATCATAGTTTAAAAAAAACAAGCTAGTAAATAAAAGAACAAAAGTGGGCCATGCATGTATTAATGATGACTGTTTTCTATGACCTAGGATTATGAATAATCCAATTCTGTATACCTGAGTTCCCTAAGGAAAAAAATAAAAAGAGTGGAAAAAGACATGTAATCTAATCTCACACCTGTGGCATACTGTGGCGTAATTGGCCTTGCTGTGTTCATTGCCTCCCATCCAACTAAAACAGATAGCAAACGTCCTCTTTGTACTTCTTAAAAATCTCATTAAAATTTTGGGTTCCCATTGGTCTATCCCTAGCAAAGACTGATAATTGTCTCCCAACATTCATTTCTCCCTTTTCACTTTTACCTTTAGCTAGACACATGGCCACCCAGCTAATGACTGCATTTCCCAGCTTCCCTTGCTGATTTGTGTGGCCCCATGACCAACGGGATGCAAATGCAAGTGATGGGTGCCACTTTACAGTCTTGCTCATAAAAGAATTAGGGGTGCTCTCACCTTCTCCCTTTCCCCCTTCCTGTTTTTTAGCCATGATTGGAACTGATCTATGACCTACCCTATCAGCCGTGGGTCATTGCTACTTGAGAGAGAAATAAACTCCTATCATAAATCAGCCATTGTCTTTTGGGGTTTCTTTGTTACAGTGGCTTAGCTTGTACCACATTATACTACCTAAACTTCTTTATTGACGAAGTGTAATGAGAACTAGTGATCTACTGGGATCTAGCACCTCCTTTGACTTTGCTCTTTTGAAGAATCCAGCAGATTCTTCCTGTCTACATGCTTATTTCACTGAGTCTATGCTTATTTACCATCTCCTCATAAAGAGATATCTCCCCTTTATCTCAAGATCACCATTCTCTTTTTTTGTTTTGTTTTGTTTTATTTTGTTTTTTTGAGACAGTCTTTTTTTTTTTTTTTTTTTTTTTTTTTTTGAGACAGAGTCTCGCTCTTTCGCCCAGGCTGGAGTGCAGTGGCGCTATCTTGGCTCACTGCAAGCTCCGCCTCCCGGGTTCACGCCATTCTCCTGCCTCAGCCTCCCAAGTAGCTGGGACTATAGGCGCCTGCCACGGCGCCCAGCTAATTTTTTTTTTTGTATTTTGAGTAGAGACGGGGTTTCACCGTGTTAGCCAGGATGGTCTCGATCTCCTGACCTCGTGATCCGCCCGCCTCGGCCACCCAAAGTGCTGGGATTACAGGCGTGAGCCACTGCGCCCGGCCGAGACAGAGTCTTGCTCTGTTGCCCAGGCTGGAGTGCAGTGGCACGATCTCGCCTCCCAGGTTAAAGCGATTCTCCTGCCTCAGCCTCCTGAGTAGCTGGGATTACAGGCGCGTGCAACCACACCCAGCTAATTTTTTTGTATTTTTAGTAGAGAGGGGTTTCACCATGTTGGTCAGGCTGCTCGAACTTCTGACCTCATGCCTCATGATCCATCTGCCTTGGCCTCCCAAAGTGCTGGGATTACAGGTGTGAGCCACGGCACCCAGCCCAAGATCACCATTCTCTTACAATTAACTTGGTAACAACTCATGTATTGTCTTATGACATATTTTATTATATATTGTCTTAAATTGTTATTTAAATATTTTATACTTATAACAATCATTTTCATAGCTACCAATAAGGTTATTGAGTGTTAGAGAAGCTAATTAATTTTGCCCAGGCCTGTATATCTGCACAGCAGCAAAATTAGGATTTGAACTCACAACTTTCTGCCTCCAAAACTGACTCACTTGTCTTCATACTCAACCTACTTGTGTCTTGTGGGTTTCAGGGATTTTTGAATCCACTGAGCCCAGAGACTCCATCCATCCCCTAGTTTCTAAGGAAGGCCTCGACTAGAGTAAGGCCTTGATTAGAGTAGGCCTTTGGTCAGTGTTGGCAATTCTTCCTCCATTATCTCTCATCTGAGTCATCTTCCTCACTAACTCTCAGGGCCATTATGTTCCTTTCTCCTTTCTTCTTTCTCTCTCTTTCCTAGTTCTTCTCCTTCCTTCCCATTCTTTTTCCCATCTATGCGGCAAAACTTCCAAGTGTGTACTCTTGATTGCTCTAAGCGAAGGTTTTTTTTGTTTTTTGTTTTTGTTTGAGACGGAGTCTCGCTCTGTCACCCAGGCTGGAGTGTAGTGGCGCGATCTTGGCTCACTGCAACCTCCATCTCCCAGATTCAAGCAATTCTCCTGCCTCAGCCTCCCAAGTAGCTGGGACTACAGGCGCACACCACCATGCCCATCTAATTTTGTATTTTTAGTAGAGGTGGGGTTTCATCATGCTGTCCAGGCTGGTCTCAAACTCCTGACCTCGTGATCCACCCGCCTCAGCCTCCCAAAGTGCTGTGCTGGGATTACAGGTATGAGCCATTGCGCTCAGCCTAAATGTTTATTATTATCATTATCTTTATCATTATTACATCATCTCATCTGACTTACATGCTTACGTGAAGTAAATATTTTAATTTGCAAAATTAAAGCATAATTTAATATTTACTTTGTATATATCTTGAGATATATATATAGGAAAAAGTTTTTAGGAAAAAAATGATCCAATACTGAGATTTAAAAAGTCACAAATAGGAACACAGAAAAAAAAGTTAATGTTTCCATGTTACGGAAAGTTTCACATTTGCTCTATCAAGTGAGATAAAGAGACTTCTAAAGCAAGAGTCTCAAACTCTAAGGACTTCCAGAGCTAGGCAAGTCAAATAAATGGGTGAGGTTGAGGGGTATGAAGATACTAGGGCTGAGTGTGGTGGCTTGCACCTATAGTCCCAACTACTTGAGAGGCTAAGGCAGGAGCATCACTTGAGCCCAGGAATTTGAGGCCAGCCTGGGCAACATAGCAAGACTCCATTTCAAAAAAGAAAAAAAAGAAAGAAAAAGTTACTAGGGAGTAGTAGAGATTGTAGCAATTAGGACAGTGTCCACCTGCCTGAAAGTATTTGAATTCAAATTTCCTTAATAGGTTGTGCTGTTCAAACAAAACATATTTGAGGGCCATGTTGCAATTTTCACAAGAGTGAAACTCCATCTCAAAAAATAATAATAAGGCCAGGCGTGATGGCTCACGCTTGTAATCTCAGCACTTTGAGAGACCAAGGTGGGTGGATCACCTGAAGTCAGGAGTTTGAGACCAGCCTGACCAATATGGTGAAACCCTGTTTCTACTAAAAATACAAAAATTAGCCAGACGTGGTGGCATGTGCCTGTAGTCCCAGATACTCGGGAGGCTGAGAGAGGAGAATTGCTTTAACCTGGGAGGCGGAGGTTGCAGTGAGCCGAGATCGCGCCACTGCACTCCAGCTTGGGCGACAGAGCAAGATTTCGTTTCAATAATAATAATAGCTGGGCGCAGTGGCTCACGCCTATAATCCCAGCACTTTGGGAGGCCGAGGCAGGCGGATCACAAGGTCAGGAGATCGAGACCATCCTGACTAACACGGTGAAACCCCGTCTCTACTAAAAACACAAAAAATTAGCTGGGCGTGGTGGCGGGTGCCTGTAGTCCCAGCTACTCAGGAGGCCGAGGCAGGAGAATGGCGTGAACCTGGGAGGTGGAGCTTGCAGTGAGCCGAGATTGTGCCACTGCACTCCAGCCTGGGTGACAGAGAGAGACTCCGTCTCAAAAAAAAAACAAAAAACAAAATAACAATAATAATAATAATAACGAACATTTAATAAAAGCTTACTTTGTGCCAGGCACTGTATTAGAGTTTCATAACAATCTTGAGGATAGCTGTAATTGTGTGTATTTATTTCCTCGTTGATAGTTTCAAGAGGGAGGTGTATTTGTATTATTTATGCATTCAGGCACCCAGATAAAGATTTTTACCTGTCAGATTTACTAACAACTATTCAGCATTTAGTGCCAACTCAACTGAACAGAGTAAGCCCTTGTCCTGTGGGAGGTCGCTCTTCAACAGGACTTTGGAAAATCTGACTCGTCTCCCTAGCAACTTTCAGTTTTTTTTTTTTTTTTTTTTTTTTTGAGACAGTGTCTCGCTCTGTCGCCCAGGCTGGAGTGCAGCGGCGCGATCTCGGCTCACTGCAAGCTCCGCCTCCCGGGTTCACTCTATTCTCCTTCCTCAGCCTCCCGAGTAGCTGGGACTACAGGCGCCCGCCACCACGCCCGGCTAATTTTTTGTATTTTTAGTAGAAACGGGGTTTCACCGTGTTAGCCAGGATGGTCTCGATCTCCTGACCTCGTGATCCACCCGCCTCCGCCTCCCAAAGTGCTGGGATTACAGGCGTGAGCCACCGCGCCGGCCAATGTGCAACTTTCAGTTTTACTAGTAACTTCGTTAGATTCATTTTATTATTTGGCTCATTCTAAGTTACAGCCATCTATAGATTTAATTTCTAGTACTTCTCCTTAATGTGCTGACTCTGCAGTTGGTTGATTTGTTTTCTATTGCTGCCATAACAAATTACCACAAACTGAGTGGTTACAACACACAGTTATAATAGTATCTCAGTTCTGTAGGTCACCAGTTCCAGTTGCCTCAATACTCAACTGGTGGTTTCTCTGCTCCAGGTTTCACAAGGTAGAAATGGAGGTATCCTGGGCTAGCGGGACCCTTCTTGGGAAATTCTAGGGAAGAATCCCCTTCTAGCCTCCTTCAGTTTGTTGGCTGAATTCGTTTCCTTGCATTTGTAGAACAAAGATCCCTACTTCCTTGCTGGCTGTTAGCTGAGGGCCACCCCTGGCTTCCAGAGGCCTCCTTCCAGGCCTTGCTCCTGAGCTCTCAGAGCCAGCAGTGGTACATCAAGTCCTTCTCACGCTTGGAATTTCTCTGACTTCTCCTTCTGTCACAATTCACTGCCTCTAACTGGAGAAAGTTCTCTCCATTTATGGGTTCGTGTGGTAAGACTGGACCCACTTGTCTAATCCAAGATAATCTCTTTACCTTCAGGTCCTTAACCTTAATTGCATCTGCAAAGTCCCTTTTGCGTACTCACAGGTGTGATACGAGGGGGCAAAGGCCATAAGGGCTGTTATGGGCTGAATTGTGCCCCTCGTCACCAGGGATTTCAATTCTATGTTGAAATCCTAACCCGCAGCACTGCAGAATGTGACTGTATTTAGAGAGAGGGTCTTTAAAGAGGTAATTAAGTTAAAATTAGGTCATTAGTGTCAGACCTAATCTGACATTTCTTATAAGAAGAGAAGATTAGGACACAGACACACAGAGAGGGATGACCATGTGAAAACATGGCGCAGGGGTGGTGAGGGTGGCCATCTACAAAATAAGGAAAAAAGCCTCAAAAAAACCCCAACGCTACTGACACCTTGATCTCAGAATTCAAGAACTGTGAGAAAATTAATTTCTGTTGTTTAAGCCACTCTGTGATATGTAGTTATAGAAGCCCTAGCAAACCAATAAAGGGGCCAAAATTCTGCTTAACACAGTTAAGCAGAACAGCCTTTCAATTCTTCTTTGGACCTGGGTAAATTGCCTCTCTACCACTGGGCAGTTGTCTTATAAAAATTAAGTTAATTTTTTTGAGAAGGGTTTTAACAATGAGTTTTCTTTTCAGTGAAACTAAATAACAACACAAAGGTTTTTTGTTATTGTTTGTTTTTGTTGTTGTTGTTGTTTAAGTTAGGCTATGGGATTAAACCAAATCAATTCAAGAACCTAGTTAAACCACTGTCACTAAATTCCATTTAATTTAGTTTAATTTAATTTTTATTTATTTTCTTTTTGAGATGGAGTCTTACTCTGTCCCAGGCTGGAGTGCAGGCGCATGATCTCTGCTCACTGCAACCTCCACCTCCCGGGTTCAAGCGATTCTCCTGCCTCAGCCTTGCAAGTAGCTGGGATTACAGGTGCAAGCCACCATGCCTGGCTAATTTTTTTTTTTTTTTTTTTTTTTTGTAGAAACGGGCTTTCACCACGTTGGCCAGGCTGGTCTTGAACTCCTGACCTCAAGTGATCCACCTGCCTCAGCCTCCCAAAGTGCTGGGATTACAGGCGTGAGTGATCACACCTGGCCTCCATTTAATTTTTAAGAAATCAGGCTGGGCGCGGTGGCTCATACCTCTAATCCCAGCACTTTGGGAGGCCGAGGCAGGCGGATCATGAGGTCAGGAGATGGAGACCATCCTGGCCAACATGGTGAAACCTCGTCTTCACTAAAAATACAAAAATTAGCCAGTCATGGTGGCGTGCACCTGTAGTCCCAGCTATTCGGGAGGCTGAGGCAGGAGAATGGCGTGAACCCGGGAGGTGGGGTTGCGGTGAGCCGAGATTGCACCATTGCACTCCAGCCTGGGCGATAGAGTGAGACTCCATCTCAAAAAAAAAAAAAAAAAATTCAACAGAAAGCTCATGCTGCCTGGGTGTTTTATCTTTTATATATATATTATATATATTATGTTATTATATATAATATATATTTTTTCAATGTAGAGATAAATGTACAATTTTTTTTTTTCAGGAAATGGGGCTACTCTGCTCTTGGATTTTCTTCCCACTTTCAGACCATTATTCTTCCTCAGACCCCTGCTTCCTAGGTCTTCCTGACTGTGTGGCTAAAAAAAAATTACAGAATCTCAGTCCCTAGCCCAGACTTACTAAAATCAGAATCTCTGGAGGTGGGACCCAGGCAAAAATCTCAAGCTTGCATGAATCGAATTATCTGCTTTCTCCTTACCTGAAACTGGGCAGCTGAAGGATAAGTCACCTTATGAGGTATTTTCTTTTTTGCTTGTGTAAGTCTTTTGTTGGGGGGGAGAGAGGGGTGAAATGGAATTTATTCTTAAATCTGGGCTAATAGATTTGATTAATGGGTACAAAAGGACGCTTCGTTCCAAAAAATAGAATTTTCCCAAGTTGATGCAAATAGAATTAGAGATCACAAACAGAATAACATGCTGAAATAGCGAAAGTCAGGAGAACTTTCTATCACAAGGCTCCTGCCCATAATGGATTTTCTATATACTTTTTCCAAACCTTCAAGGATAATCTAGACTAAAGGCCCTATGCAATAGTTTTTTCTGTTTTGTTTTGTTTTGTTTTCTTTTTTTTGAGACGGAGTCTCGCTCTGTCGCCCAGGCTGGAGTGCAGTGGCACAATCTTGGCTAACTGAAAGCTCTGCCTCCGGGGTTCACGCCATTCTCCTGCCTCAGCCTCCTGACAATAGTTTTATACCCTATTAATGGTCACCAGTTTAACTGGCCCTAAACACTGCTGGGAAATCCTACTACCCTTCTCTGGTTAACTTCCTCTCCCGTTCTCTGCAACAGCTAGTCCAAGCCTTTGGTCCCAGATCCACAAACCCCATTTCCACATATACACTCCCTTCCTTTGTTACAAAGAGGAAGTATCTTTCCTCCTCTACCCTGTTGTTATCTCTGTTCCAGAGCCCATGCTCCTGCCCTCCGCGGAATCTTCCATTTATCATTTCAGTTGACCACTCCTTATCTCTTCAAACACCTTCTCTTGACTTCTGACACCAAACTCACCTTGTTTTTCTCTCACCTGTCTGGCAACTCTTTCTCAGACTCCTTTATTAGCTTCCTTCTGCTTATTCCTAAAGGCTAGTCTCCCTCAGTGCACAAACCAAGACTGTTCTCACTTTATACTCTCTTCTTTGGTAACCTCACTGTGGTTCTGCTGCCATCTACACTGAGAACAAATGCAATGTCCACTACACTGGTGACTCCCAATCCAATCTGGTCTTCAGTTTGGAGCTTTAGTTGACATACTCAACGAGAATGCCTCCATTTGGGAGCTCTTTTGGGGCTGCTCAAACTTAGCTTGTGCCAAACTCCCACCCCCACCTACTGTTTCTCTGGTCTTTCTTATTTAAGTAAATGATATTAACACTCTTCTACCCATTTCCCCATGTACCTTCCTCTTGCTCATCCTCAACATCCAAAAAACTCACTAAGTTCCATCAACTCTCCTTCCCACCAATCTCTTGAATCATTATTTTTCTGATCCATCTTAGTCCATTCATGCAATATGTCACAACACCACAGACTGGGAAATTTATAAACAACAGAAATTTATTTCTCAGTTTTGGAGGCTGAGAAGTCCAAGATTAAGGCACCAGCAGGGCTGGCTTTCCCTGCTTTCAGGTGGCATCTTGCCACTGCATGCTCACATGGGAGAAGGTGGAAGGGCAAGAGGCAGCTCTCTGAATCCTCTTTTACGAGGGCATTAATCTCATTCACAAAGTTGGCGCCCTCATGACTTAATCATTTTCCCAAAGGCTGCACCTCTTACTACCATCACACTGGGGTTTAAGTTCCAACATATGAATTTTGGAGGGACATATACATTCTAACCGTAGTACCATCTCCACTGCTATCATCATAGTCCAAAAACCATCACGTCTCCTTTGGACAATTAACCATACAGATGGTCCCTAACTTACTTAAGTCGCTAACTAACGAAGTTACTAACTAACTAACTAACTAAGTCCCTAACTAACTTAAGTCGATGGTTCGACTTAAATTTTTTCCACTTTACAATGGTGCAAAAGTGATATGCATTCAGTAAAAACAATACTTGGAGTACCCATACAGCCATTCTGATTTTCACTTTCAGTATAGTAATGCAATAAATTACATGAGATATTCAACACTTTATTATAAAATAGTCTTTGTATTTTTTTATTAGATGATTTTGCCCAACAGTAGGCTAATGTAAGTGTTCTTAGCACATTTAAGGTAGGCTAGGCTAAGTTATGATGTTTGGTAGGTTAGGTGTATTAAATGCCTTTTTTTTTTTTTTTTTGAGATAGTCTTGCTCTGTCACCCAGGATGGAGTGCAGTGGTGTGATCTTGGCTCACTGCAACCTCTGTCTCCCAGATTTGAATGATTCTCCTGCCTCAGCCTCCCAAGTAGCTGGGATTACAGGCATGCGCCACCACACCCAGCTAACTTTTGTATTTTTAGTCGAGGTGGGGTTTCTCCATGTTGGCCAGGCTGGTCTCGAACTCCTGACCTCAGATGATCCTCCTGCCTTGGCCTCCCAAAGTGCTGAAACTACAGGCGTGAGCCACCACGCCTTGCCACTTAGATGCATTTTTGACTTAACAATATTTTCAACTTATGGGTTTATTGGGACATAACCTCATCGTAAGTTGAGGAGTACCTGTGCTTATGAAGTTGTAATCTTGATATAGCCACTAGTGATGATACAGTTAAGAGTTTGGGAGGAATGGCAGTGAGTGTGTGTGTAGAGGATAAGAAGTCCACATCTGGCCAGATGTGGTGGCTTGTGTTTGTAGTCCCAGCTACTCAGGAGTCTGAGGCAAGAGAATTACTTGAACCTAGGAGGCAGAGGTTGCACTGAGCCGAGATGGTGCCACTGCACTCCAGCCTAGGCGACAGAGTGAGACTCCATCTCAAAAAAAAGAAAATAAAATAAATATCGGTATACACATGTAATTTTGAGATAAAGAGATAAATAGGAGGGGAAATAGAAGAACTGAAAGTGGTTACCTGTGAAAAGTATGAATAGGGATAGGGAAGGAAGAAAAGAGAAATGCTGGTTTTATTATAAGGTTTACATATTAATATTACACACCCATGCACAATTTTAATAAAAATAAATTTATGAAAATATAATTATTTCATGAATTCCTAATAAACCCAGATCATTAAATAAATCCCACTGGCTACCCTTATGCTGGTGTGGCTTTTTAAAAAACACAGTATCTTCTTAACTGCAAAATGGTTAAAGCTGGCAATGTGGAAGGACAGCTGGATAACTCTGTCATAGTCTAAACCATGAGCTAAAAACATTATCATGAGAAGTAGCTGGGGATAGAACAAAGCTTTTTTTACTTGTGAAAATTTCTGGAAATGATATATTACTTCAAATACTACACAATTGGAAGTGATTCCAATTCCATCTTGGAATGTTGGCAACATTTTAAATTGTTTTAAATTAAAGATATCTGTCTTAGACCATTTATGCTGCTATAACAGAACACCACAGACTGGGTAATATATAAAGAATACAAATGTATTTCTTTTATTATTATTTTTTTTTGAGACAGAGTCTTGCTCTGTCGCCCAGGCTAGAGTGCAGTGGTGCCATCTCGGCTCACTGCAAGCTCCGCCTCCCAGGTTCACGCCATTCTCCTGCCTCAGCCTCCTGAGTAGCTGGGACTACAGGCACCCGCCACCACGCCTGGCTAATTTTTTCTATTTTTTAGTAGAGATGGGGTTTCACCATGTTAGCCAGGATGGTCTCGATCTCCTGACCTTGTGATCCGTCCACCTTGGCCTCCCAAAGTGCTGGGATTACAGGCGTGAGCCACCACGCCTGGCCTAATGTATTTCTTATGGTTCTGGAGGCTGGAAAGTCCAAGATCAAGGCACTGGCATTAGTGTCTGGTGAGGACTGCTCTCTGCTTCCAAGATGACGCCTTGTTGCTGTGTCCTCACAGGGAGGAAAGTAGAAGGGCAAGGGGACCTAAACTAGTTCCCTCTAGTCCTTTTATAAAGCACTAACCCATTTTGAAGGAACCCTCATGACTTAATCCCTTCCCCAAAGTCCCTATCTCTTAATACCACCACTATGGGGATTAAGTTTCAACACATGAATTTTGGAGGGGTCAAACACATTCAAACCACAGCAATATCTTTATGTAGAGTTTAAAATATTCATACTAGAAAAATAAAGCTAGATAAATAAAAAATCATTACCATAACAAAACATTGTAAAATAAAGCTGATTTTTATCCTTTCATCCCACTTTAACATCATCGTGTTTGAACTGAAAAAAGTGTGTAGTGTTTATTTTATTTTTAATTTAAAAACAATTTAAAAAAACAGAGACATGGTCTCACTATGTTGCCCAGGCTGGTCTTGAACTCCTGGGCTCAAGTGATTCTCCCACCTCTGCCTCCCACGAGTGCTAGGATTACAGGCATGAGCCACTGTGCCTGGCCATTTATTTTTAAATACTCTTTGTTTTTTAGGCCCTGAACTAAGCATTTATCATTTGCCAATCTGCAGCTCAGTTTAACCCTTTCTGAGTGGGTTATTTTTAGAGTATGAGCATGTGTATTTTTTTGGTGGTAGCATTGCCCTCCCAGGTTCAATCCTGGGGTGGGAGAGTAAGCTAATTAGTTGTGTTCTGAGTAACCAAGGATATCCTGAAAATGCAAGGGAATAATAGGCCATTATAGGGAGGGTATCAAGGTTGAGATCCGCAAATTTGCAAGTCAAATGCCCAGGCTTCAATCTTGGCTTCACCATTTACTGTGAATTTATTCTCTCCAAGTCTCAGTTTGCTCATCTTTAAATTGGATGTGCCAGTACTATTTTTTTTTTTACTAATTTTATTAATTTCTATAACAAATTACCCCAAAACTTAGTAGCATAAGATAACCATTTATTATGTGAATGGATTCTGTGGGTGAGGACTTCAGACAGAGCACAGTTAGCTTAATTTTGTACATTGTGGGGAATTTAGACAGGGCATGTCCAGGATGACTTGCTACTTCTCCTCAAACTTTGTAGCCTCTCCTAGAAGACTCACTCAGATGCCTGGCGATTGCTCTTGGCTGTCAGTTGGAGGCCTCAGTGCCCATCCATGTGGGCTTCTCCATGGTCTCTCTGTGTGGGCTCCTTTGGGCTCCTTCACAGCCTGATGACTGGCTTCTCCAGAATGAGTGTCCCAAAAAGAGCAAGCCAGATGGAAGCTGTATCACCTTTTCTTATTCTAGCCTCAGAAGTCCCATAGCAACACGTTTCCTGGACACTATTCTTTAGAAGTGAGTCACCAAGGCCATATTCAAGGGGAGAGGAATTAGATTCTACCTTTTGTGGGAGAAGTGTTAAAGAATTTGCCAAGATGTAGGGACTTCTGAGTATCTGAGTGTTCACAATCAAAGTTCCCGCATTTGCCAGGTTGCCCAGGGAAACAAAAGTCATCATGACAAGAAAATATTCACAAGTGAATTGACATTCTCTGCCTCCCTCAGTCCTGCAACATTCCTCCTTGCTGAAATGAAGGGCTCTCTGTGTGCACCAAGACCCCATCAAGTCAAAATCTTTATTGGTCAGCCTCTCTCTGGTAGCCCACTGTAAATATCTGACAACACACAACACAAGGCAAGTCGTTTGCAAGAAATTATTGCAAGTCTTGCAGAAGATTCAGGACTTCATGCAGACATTAAAAAGGATATTGGAAAACTGCTAGAATCATATGCAAAGCTTGAATGTAACAGAATTAGACCAGTTAATAACCAGAAAAGAGAAAATCAATAAGAATGTTATAGGCACTTCAGTAAAGAATGGTTTCAGGATGAATAAACTGCTACATATTTGCACAATGGGAGTGTTAAACAGGAGTCAAAAGGAACAACTGTAGCAACATACAACAATATGGTAGAATCTTAACAATGTAATATCAAGTGAAAAAAGTACTAAAGACATACAGTTAAAAACAACCATCTTTCTCTATATATATACACACACACTACACACACATATTTTTAGGACTTTATATAGATGCAAGAAAACTCTAAAACTGTATGAAAAGCAAAGTGAAGGATAATGAGCTCAGAATTCTGGATGATGATCACCTTGGCCAGGGGAGGAAGTAAAATGTGTTGGGGGTACCATACAGCCAGATGCAAATTGCTGACCAGACACTAATTTTATTTTGGACAGGGGATTTGAAGGTGTCTATATATTATTTACAATAACTAATATTTAAAAAGTAAACAAAAGAGAGCCATGCATGGACCAATGAGGGTATGTCATGAACCAGGGATTATGATCAATCTAATTGTATGTATATAAAGTAGAATTAAAAACACTGAAAAAAAAAAACCAAGGATAGTAACATTTACCTCACAAAATTGCTGTGAAGATTAAATGAGTTAACATATTTAAAACATTCAGAACAGTTCCTGGCACATAGTAAGCACTTACACAATATAATTATGTAAGTATTTTTGTTATCATTATTTTTACTTTATGCCAAGGAGTAGCTACTATTTATTATGCATATAAAACTACTATTTATTAAGCTGTGTTGTAGCAGACACCGTTAGCTTCCTTCCCAATACCTATTTCCACCTTCTTTGCTACCAGAAGTCTGCTTTCTCTCAGGATGGCAATGAGCCCAGACCCAGGCAAAATATGTGCTTTTCCAGGTTTTTGCTTGTATCCAGGGTGTTCATGGCACACAGTTCTAGCAAATGACATATAAGCAGAAACCTGCTGGAAGATCTAGGAAGACTTTTGCCTTTCCTGGTAAGAGAAGATGATGTGGCTGGCACCATTCTCACTTCTTCCTTTTTCTTGCCTTGAATGTGGTGTGATGCCTGCAGCCTCAGCAGCTATTTTGTTACTGAAGCAACAAGCATGAAGACAAAAACAAGTAGGCTAAGGATGCCAACATGAAAGGGAGAGACTTACTTTTTACATTTTATTGGTTACTCTTGAGGTTGAGTATTCTTCTAAGTATTGATATATGATTTTAAAAAATCTATGTCTAGGCTGGGCATGGTGGCTCACGCCTGTAATCCCAGCAGTTTAGGAGGCCAAGGCAGGCAGATCACCTGAAGTCAGGAGTTCAAGACCAGCCAGCCAACAGGGTGAAACCCTGTCTCTACTAAAAATACAAAAATTAGCCAGGCATGTTGGCACATGCCTGTAATCCCAGCTACTAGGGAGGCTGAGGCATGAGAATCACTTGAACCTAAGAGGTGGAGAGGTTGCAGTGAGCCGAGATCATGCCACTGCACTCCAGCCTGGGTGACACAGACTCTGTCTCCAAAACAAAAACAAAAGCCGTATGTCTAAATAAGTATTAAAAATTATTTTGATAAGCATACAATAAAAATTCAGTCATGGGCTGGGCACAGTGGCTCATGCCTATAATTCCAGCAGTTTGGGAGGCCAAGGTGGGCATATCACTTGAGCCCAGGAGTTTGAGACTAGCCTGGGCAAGATGGCAAAAACCCATCTCTACAAAACATACAAAAATTAGCTGGGCTTGGTGGCCACGCCTGTAGTCCCAGCTACTTGGGAGGACTGCTTGAGCCCAGGAGGCCGAGGCTGCAGTGAACCATGATCGTGCCACTGAACTCCAGTCTGGGTGACAGAGCAAGACTCTGTCTTAAAAAATAAATAAATAAATAAATAAATAAATAAGTAAATAAAATTCTAAGATATGAGAAAGCATTGAAGCATAGTGTAATTAATGATATTTGTATTTCAGTGGTACCTAAGATAATGATGCATTTTGCAGTTGACGGCACCTTAGATTTACTCAATCATGGTAAGAACTTTTTATTTTCAATTGCTCTCATCAAGTTGACTTGTGATCTCAGTAGAATATGTTGCTGCCAACTCATTTCAGATGGATCTCTTGCAACACTGGGTTAGGGAGGAAAATAACAATGACAACGAACACATTATAAAGCTTTAGAGCCTAATTCATCTATATCGGTTAAGATCCTCCCCTTAAATAGGAGGATCACTTAAGCCCAGGGGTTTCAGACCAGCCTGGGCAACATGGTGAGACCCCAGCTCATTAAAAAAAAAAAAAAAGAAGAATGCATTTGGCTGCAAGGAACAGAGACTCAAACAATAGTAGTTTAAACAACTAGAAATTTATTTTCTTCTTCTAACAGGAAATCTGGCAGTGGCAGCCTAGCACTTGGTCAGTAGCCTCTGGGTAATGTGTCTGGGTGGCTAAGAAGAGGCGAGACAGAAAACTGCTGGGACTTTTTAAAGCCTTTAAGTATGTGTGACTGTTTTGCCCTCTGAACTCTTGTATTAGTCACTATTGCTCTGTAACAAATTACCTCAAACCTTAGACACTTATGATATAAAACATTTATTATCTCATAATTTCCATGAGTCAGGAATCCAAGAGTAGCGTAGGTGGGTGGTTCTGGTTCAAGGTTTCTCACAGGGCTGCTGTCAAGCTGTTGGCCTGGGCTGGGGGCCATCTAAAGGCTCTACTTGTGGGAGGGAAGTTTCATCCAAGCTCGCTCTCTCTGACTGTTGGCAGGAAGCCACAGTTCTTTCTTGGCTGTTGGCCAGAGAACTCAGTTCCTCACCTCCTGGGCCTTTCTATAGTCCACTTGAATTTCCTCATGACATGGCCACTGGCTTCCCCCAGAGTAAGTGATGAGAGAGAGAGAGAGAGAGACCAAAATGGAAGCTGCACTGTCTTAGTAATCTCAGAAGTGATATCCATCACTTCAGCTATTTAATTGGTCACACTCACTGACCCTGCAGGGGACTATGGGGAGAGGACAACATAAGGGTGTAAATACCAGGAGGCCAGGATTATTGAGGCAAACTTGAGGCCGGCTATCACATCTCTATGTATGTATACATGTATGTGTGTGTATTTGAGAAACATGATTAATTTAAAACAGAAAAATAAATTTAAAAAAAGACATAAAAACAAAACATCAAATGGTTGTTACTAATTCACTCTTCCATCAAAAATATATGTACCTATCTGTTTTAGCACACATTTGCTATCATTTGGTATTACTATTTTAAGATTCTATTTTGATTTATTCTCTTCATTTAACCTAGTAGTAGGTGAAAATATTTTAATTTTTGTATCTTATTGATTATTCCTAAGGTTGAACATTTATGAAGTATTTGTTAACCAGTTTTACTGACCTTTTTGCAAGTTATGTCTTTACTTAATATATTAATGTATCAGGATATTAGCATTTTTTCAATGTGCATGAGTTCTATATATAATAAAAGTATTACTCTTTTTTTTTTTTTTTTTGAGACAGGGTCTTGCTCTGTCTCCCAGGCTGGAGTGTAGTGGCACAATCTTGGCTCACTGCACCTTTGACCTCCTGGGCCCCAGTCTCCCAAGTAGTTAGAACTACAGCTGCGTGACACCATACCTGGTTAATTTTTTTTTTTTAGAAACGGGGTCTCACTATGTTGCCCAGGCTAAAGGTGTTACTCTTTGTCAAAGAAAAAAAAGGTGGCTGTCTACGTGGTGGGGAATATGAAGACCCTTCACTCCTCAGCGGCAGAGCTCCAAGGAGGGAAGCAGGACCTCAAAAGCGACATCTCAGCATTGTACCTGGAGAGGGGACTGGACCCTGAGCACTAGGGATTCTGTCTTCCCTCCTCCAACCTCAGTAAGGATTCCTACAACTCATGTGCGGCTAGAAGCAGGTGCTGGCAGGATCCAAGGTCCCCATTCTTGGGCTGGCATGAGGCAGCTGTCAGCACCCCCAGTGATGCTACAGGTTTTCTGTTCCAGGTTCTACATCTGGATTCTGGGTCATCCCTGGGAGCCAGAGGGATCCCCAGTGATAAGAGAGATTGAATTTTTTTCTAGTCTGGCAATATCCAGGCCAATTTAATTAGATTTTTAAAATACAAATGGACATTTTGTATATATATAAGCTTGAATTCTTAGAGACATACATTCTATATTTTCTTATTTAAAACTCCATTAACTTTTTAAAAAAGTTATTGAGATAATTTATGACCTCTTCTCACTCCTTTTCCTTGGCTTTGTATGTAACCGTGTAAATTTGCACTGTAACTAAACACTAACACAAGAGATGGCTTTATCGCGTTGTCTTTATTTTCAAAAAGTAATATGAAGTCTGTTTTGGCCTGCTTCCTCAGGGAGTTAGGGAAAAATTCGATCTCAATTTTTTTTTTTTTTTTTTTGCCTGCTCTTTCCCTGCCCCTTGATGGAGTCACATAGAACCCCCTGAGTTCACCCAATCTTGGAATCTGAGGGAAGAGTTCTAGACTTCAAGACAGTGTGGTCACTGTGAAGGGCTTGATGTCCAGACTTCAGTGGTCCCACTGCTCATAGCCCTGGAGACTATGGCTTAGAGCTCAGTCCCCAGCCAAGTGTCCACTCAGCTAACCCATCAAACATTCTGCCACTCTGGGGTCTGGGAGAGAGTCAAACACAGGCCCCCACGGTGGGCAGAACCTGTACCTCTCTATTCCCCCCAAGGGAAGGAAATTCCACATGCTGTAGAAAGCTGGGAACCATTCTATTCACCCTCAACTTTTCAAATCAGCACTCCCTACTCATCCATATCATCTAGATCTTTTCTTTGCCTTTAAGAGCCTAGATTTTCCAAAACAAAAGTTCTTTAACTCTCTGAGTGGGGAAGAGATGGGCAGTCTTCTTAAGCCTACAAAGAGAAAAGCCTGTCATGCTTTGGTGGTGAATCAGCTGACAAACAGGGAAACCAGCCCCAGCTTGGAATGAGGTAATTCTGACAGTAAATCACACTACTTCATACAAAGCCCTCATGATCTGACTGGGACCCAACTTTCCAGGGGTATTGCTAAGCATTCCTTCTCATGTATCTAATACTCCCACTTCCTCAAATATTTTTTCTCCCCTTCTTCACCTGCTCATCTCTCAAGGTATTCAGATCCTTAAAAAGGTGTCAGGGCTCTAGGTTGGCATCTGTAATTCCTTTGGCCTTACTTTTGTGGTCATAAGCTGACTGCCCCAGTGACTCACACCAGTATCCCAGGCAGGAGTGTGCCAGTAAGCTCTCTTCCATGTTTGTCTCTTTCATAGGAAGTAAAACATTTCCCAGAAAACCCCTAGCAGTCTTCTTCTCATGGCTCATTGGTCAGAACTGGGTCACATGGCACATGTAGCTGCAGGAGAGGCTGGGAAAGCAAGTTTCTGGCAAAGTTGAATGGGATCGCCATAACTTGTTTAGGTAAATTATGATTTATGCCCACACTGTGAACACAGTTGCCCTGCCCCTACAAAAAAAAGAGCCCCCTTAAAAAAGAATATGGAAGGAAATAACTAATAAAGTCCACCACGGAGATGTTGTCCCATTAATTATTCCATCTTCTTTAATTTGGCAAGGGCTATTACTCTCTGTTTGCCCCTTCTTCCACTCTGAAACAGGGCGTTTAGTTATAAATTCGGTTGGCCAGAATAAGGTTTACGTTTTCCAGCTTTCTGTGCAGCTGAGTGTGGTCATGTGACCAAGTCCTGAGAATGGATTGAAAGGGGGAAAAAAATGGAGGAAACCACCAGGTATTGAAGAGAAAGGTCATGTTCTCCCTGTCCTTCTTCCCAGTGTAATTGCCCAGTGGGTTCTTCCTGCCTGCTACACAGACAAAACCAATTCACTGAGACCATGACACTGCAGTAAAGAAAGAGTTTAATTGATATGAGGCTGGCCATATCATATGGGATATGGAGTTATTACTCAAATCAATCTCCCCAAAGGCTCAGAGGTTAGGGTTTTGTTTTGTTTTGTTTTTTGAGACAGAGTTTCTCTCTTGTTGCCCAGGCTGGAGTGCAATGGCATGATCTCGGCTCACTGCAACCTCCGCCTCCTGGGTTCAAGCGATTCTCCTGCCTCAGCATCCCAACTAGCTGGGATTACAGGCATGCACCACCACACCTGGCTAGGGTTTTTCGAGGATAGTTTGGTGAGCAGAGGACTAGGGAATGGGTGGTGCTGACTGGTGGGGAATGCCATCATAAGGATGTGGAAAACTCCTTGTGTGCTGAGTCTGCCTCTGGATGGGGGGGTGCACAGGACCGGTTCAGTCAGGAGCCAGGAGCCCACATGGAGTCAGCCAGTCCTCAGAAATGCAAGTCTGAAAAGACGTCTCAAAAGGCCAATCTTAGGTTCTACAGTAGTGATGTTATCTACAGGGGAACTGGGGAAGTTACAAATTTTGTGACCTCTGGAACAGTGGCTGGTTATCATTTAACTCCACCTACATTTTAGTAGAACTCAGGCCCCTCTCATAATCCTAACCTTGTGGACTTTTATTAGTTTTACAAAGGTGGTTTAGTTTTGGGAAGGGCTATTGTCATCTTTGCTTTAAGGTTAAAATGTAAACTAAATTCTTTCCAAAGTTTGGCTTATGCATAGGAATGAACAAGGAGAATCTGGAGGTTAGAAGCAAGAAGGAGTCAACTGTGTCAGATTTCTCTTACTGTCGTAGTTTTGCAAAGGCAGTTTCACCAGAGGCTGAAACCCCTATGGGAGAAAAACTGTAAACTTCTTTCACATGAGGGAGAAAAACCGTAAACTTCTATTGTGTCTAAAGCACTATTATTTTCCAGCTACACTTATAGCCTAACAAATACAACTGCCTCCAATCCTTGGCCTATAAACATGTTGAAGTCTCGTCTACCTCAACTTCTCCCTTGACCCCATGTTTCTCTCTAATTTACTTTCAGTCTTTCTCTGTGTAAGTCAGAGCAAGCAACAAGTGCCAACTCTTGGCTGATTTAAGCAGAAAAACCATGGCTCATAGACTTGTGGAGAAATCTGGAGAATCATATGTGTGTTGGCCGTATATTGTCACAATAACATCACATAAACAACCATAAAACCACAATGGCATGTAACAATGGACATGTATTTAATACACAAGTTTGTGAGGTTCAGTTTATCTGGGGCTGGGCTGGGCTGAGCTGAGCTGATCTCAGCTGGACTCGCTCAAGTGTCTGAGGTCAACTGTTGGTTGGCCAGGCAATTTTGTTGATTTTGGCTCAGCTAATTCATACGTCAAAGGCTCAACTGGCTGTTGGCTGAACTAGGATGGCCTCAGCTGGGATAACTTAGGGAGACTTGGCCTAGTTCCACATGTTTTTCATCATCCAGCAGGCTAGCCTAGACATGTTCTCATGGCAATGGCAGAGAGCAACAGTGACAGCAAGCCAATCACACAAGTGCTTTGCAAGCCATGGCTTGGGTAATGTTTACTAACATCCCATTGACCAAAGTAAGTCAAAAGGGTGAGCCCAGTCAGAATGAGGAAGTCCAACAAGATGAGATCCTCCAGTGAAGAATTAAGATCGTGAATGCAACCAATCTACCATACTATGTTCAGAGGTTTTTCCTTACAGGGCGGTAGGTAGCCCCAACATCATAACACAGAGCTGGGTCACTGAAGACACTGCCACTGCTGCTAATGAGCATTTGACTCCATAGGTACACTGAGAGGCTCAGCACCAGATCCTGAATGTTGCTGTTGCCACAGCTATTCTCCCAAACTGGGGGTTGCTGCCATGCTGGCATTGCCCATTAGTGGAATGGATTCTGTGCTGCTTCTGCTTCTTTGCATCACAAACTCCTCCCGATTCGAAGTCTAGAGTGGGTGCATTTTATTAGCAGAGCCCACAACATGTGCCATGACTTAGTTCACAGGAAGGTTGGGAAAATAAGTAGCTGGCATTTTCAGCTATAATACTAGGAGGTGGGCTCTGCTTCCCAATGAGTTTCATAGAGTGGGAAATTCTCCGTATGTGGGAAAGGGATTTATATCATGGGCAGCAAAAACACCAACACAGAACAACAGTGACAATAAGGAAGAGGAGGAGCAGGAGGAGGAGGAGGAGGAAGAGCAGGAGGAGGACGAGGAGGAGGAGGAGATGGAGGAGGAGATCTACTAGCCTCTCATTTTCTTTTCTTTTCTTTCTTTCTTTCTTTCTTTTTTTTTTTTGAGAGGGAGTTTTGCTCTTGTTGCCCAGGCTGGAGTGCAATGGCGCAATTTTGGCTCACCGCAACCTCTGCCTCCCGGGTTCAAGCGATTCTCCTGCCTCAGCCTCCCGAGTAGCTGTAATCACAGGCGTGCACCACCAAGCCCGGCTAATTCTGTATTTTTTTTAGTAGAGAAGGGGTTTCTCCATGTTGGTCAGGCTGGTCTCGAACTCTTGACCTCAAGTGATCCACCTGCCTCGGCCTCCCAAAGTGCTGGGATTACAGGCGTGAGCCACTGCGCCCGGCCAACAGGCTCTCATTTTCTTGACAGCTAAGTTTCTTGAAAGCGTATTCTTGGCTCACTTTTCTCTTCTACTTCTCCTCTAATTCTCTCCTGCAGTAATCAGCTTTTGCCACAACAATGATGCAAAATTCAGTGGCTTAAAACCACAAGCATCTATTTTTCTTATTCAAGCTTCAGGCTGAAGGTTGCCTGGAGTGGGTTCCAGGCTTCAGTCTGGATTTTTGTCTGCTCCCACATGTCTGTTATCTTCCTTGGGCCAGTAGCTCCCCAGGGCATGCTCTTCTCATAGTGCAGGCATGGGAGTGGAAACATATGATACTTCTTGAGGCAAACTGTTACTTTTGCTCACATTCCACTGGCCAGAAGTCTTGCAGGGAAATATACTCCATCTACTCTCATGCACTGCAAGAGGGAGTGAAAAACTGACAATAATCTGGTCTACTTCTACTCTTCATCTGGCTTCTGACCCTGCTGTGCCATTAGGGTCAACTCACAATTGCCAAATTAAATAGACATTTCTCAGGCTGGGCATGGTGGTTCACGTCTGTAACCCCGGCACTTTGGGAGGCTGAGGCGGGAGGATCACTTGAGCTCAGGAGTTTGAGACTAGCCTGGGCAACATAGTGAGACCCTATCTCTACAAAATAATTTTAAAAATTAGCTGATGTGGTGGCACATGCTATGATCCCAGCTATTCAGGAGGTTCAGGTGGAAGGACTGCTTGAGCATGGGAGGTCAAGGCCGCAGTGAGCCATGATTGTGCCACTGCGTTCTAGCCTGGGCAACAGAGCAAGACTCTGTCTCAAAAAAAAAAAAAAAATTCTCAGAAGATGGGGAGACAGCCAGGTGCCGGGTCCCGCAGTACCTATCAGGCATGGTTAGGAGTTTGGATTTCATTCTAAGTGTAGCAGAAGCCATTTAATAGATATGTGACTAGAGTGGTCCTTCTACAATGCAGATCTGGTCATGTCATGTCCCAGCTTAAACTGGCAATGAATGTCCCATTGCCTAGAGGAAAAGGTAACATAAGACTTATATGGCCTTAGAAGTCTACTATGATAGACCCCTGCTGCAGTATCTTTTGTCCCTGCACACCATTCCTTGTACTCTTTGGTCTTACCATGTAGAGCTACTTATGGTTAATTTTAGTTTGGATTCTCCAAGAAGCTGACCCTGAGACAAGGATTTGAGTCCAAGTAGTTTATTTGGAGGTGACAGAAACACGAGTGGGGAAAGAGGTAGAAGTGATATAGGGGAAGGAAGGCAGTCAATAAAGGGCGAACTTTTTTACTTTTTTTTTTTTTTTTTGAGATGGAGTCTCGCTCTGTTGCCAGGCTGGAGTGCGGTGACGCGACCTCAGCTCACTGCAACCTCTGCCTCCCGGGTTAAAGCAATTCTACTGCCTCAGCCTCCCAAGTAGCTGGGACTACAGGTGCGTGCCACCACAACCAGCTAATTTTTGTATTTTTGGTAGAGATGGGGTTTCACCATGTTGGCCAGGATGGTCTCGATCTCCTGACCTCGTGATTCACCCACTTCGGCCTCCCAAAGTGCTGGGATTACAGGCATGAACCCGGCAAGGGCAAACTATTAAGCCAACTACCACAATGGACAACAGGAGCTTAATCCTGTGAAAAAAACTCTGAGAAACACACACCTCAGAATTATCCCCTGTAAGTGTTGAAGGAGCTTGGGTGTTTACCAACTCCTGAGAGTCAGTCACTAGTTGAGGGCTGCTCCCAGGAGGAGTTAACTCTTAGACATTTCCAATATGCCATGAGTGTGAACAGCATGGTTTTCCATAGTTCTCGGGAGATGGGGGAAGAGCCTTCAGGCACATGAAGAGGATGAGGGATGTGGGTGAGGTACTGACAGCATCTCCTACAGTTTCTCATATGTAATTTCTCCTTGTAGACATCCATAGTTCCATGTAGGTCTCATTCTTCTGCCTAGGATGCTTTTCCCTGCCTCTTTACCTAGTAAAATCACACTCATCTTTCAAGGCCTTCCTCAGCTTCCCAATCAGAGAGGATCATGCTCCACTCTGTGTCTTCTTAGGACATATTATAGTATACACCTCCATTTTTATCACTTGTCATGCTGCTTTACTTACTAACCAGACTCCTCTACTAGATTATACACTTGTTGAGGACAGGGGCTGTATGTTTACAGTGCTTAATATAGTTTAGTGCCAGGAATACAGTAGATGCTCAATAAAAGCTAGTTAGAAGAATTAATTTCTATCTACAGTGTGTGGCAATGATCTGGTGCAGTGCTGCATTGAATTGAGGTCAACCTGAGGCAAAATCATATGTTTTTACCCCCTTTCTCACCTTCATGGCATTCCCCTCCCTTCACTCACCCAATACCTTGCTCTTCTTTCTCTTTAGCCTAATATCAAAATCTGCTTCTAGTTACTTCTCTTACATTAAAGGAGCACAAGAAATAGGAAACCTGGGTTGCTGTTCATCTAGCTTGAGGGTCCTCAGGCAAGCCTCTTCCTCTCTTTGAGCTTCAGTCTTCTCATCTGTAAAATGATTTTCAATGTTCCTGCCAATTACTAGGAGTCTCTTTAAGAATATCTCTATAAGGATGGCGAACAAGGAACTGGCAACAGTGGTTGCCTCTGGGGAGCAGAAATAGGTGGCAATGGGCAAAAAGTTGTGAGGGAGATCAACTTTTTCTTTATATCCTGCATGAGCTTCCTAGGACTTCTCTGCAACAAATAACAACAAACATAGTGGCATAAAACAATAGAAATTTGTTCTCTTAAGGTTCTGGAGGCTAGAAGTCCTAAATCAAGTAAACTCATGCTTCAAAGTCTCTGGCAGAGAATCCTTTCCTGACCCTTCTGGGTTCTGGTGGCTCCAGGTATTCCTTGGCTTGTGGCTGCATCACTCCAATCTGCCTCTGTGGTCACACTGCCTCCTTCTCTTCTGTCTGTATCTTCTCTCATAAAACAACACTTGTCATTGGATTTGAGACCCAGCCAAGCAGTCCAAGATGATCTCATCTCAAAATCTTTAACTTAATATCTGTTAAAGATCCTTTTTCTGAATAACATAACATCCACAGGTTCCAGGGATTTTAATGTAGACAAATATTTTTGGGGGCCACAATTAAGCATATCCATTTGTAGATTTTGAATTTGTGCCATGCAGAAATTTATGGCAATAGAAAGGAAGAAATGAATATTTCTTTTCATTCTTCTTCTTCTTCTTCTTCTTTTTTTGAGGGGGGAGACAAAGTCTCACTCTGTTGCCTACGTTGGAGTGCAGTGGTGCAATCTTGGCTCACTGCAACCTCCACTTTCCAGGTTCAAGCAATTCTCCTGCCTCAGCCTCCCAAGTAGCTGGGACTATAGACACGTGCCACCATGCCCAGATAATTTTTTTGTATTTTAGTGGAGACGGGGTTTCACCATGCTGGCCAAGCTGGTTTCGAACTCCTGACCTCAAGTGATCCACCCACCTCAGCCTCCCAAAGTGTTGGGATTACAGGTGTAAGCCACCGCACCCAGTGGAAGGAAGATTTCTATGTGACTGAACAGAGACTAAGATTTCTACTTTTCTGTTTCCTGTTCAACCAAATTTTGTCCTTCCCTTAGGATCTGACTTTGAACCACCTTTTCCCTCCAGTTTTGATTTACTGGTGAAACCATGTTATAGGAAACAAAAATGGAACTCTCATCCCATGTGGTTGGAAGTGTAAAGTAGTATGACCACTTTGAAAAACAGTTGGGCAGTATTTTGCAAAGTTGAACTTATGCATACACTCCAGACCACCAATTCCACTTCCATGTCAACAACCTAGAGAAATCTTTCTAGTTGTTCACTTATGCAGAAGACACACATAAGAAAGTTTGTAGCAGCAGAGTTCATAGTGGCACAGAATGTGAAACAACCAAATGTCCATCAGTAGTAGCATAGATAAAATATGGTATTATAAAATGGACTATTACAACAGTGAAAATTAGTGAACTGTAGCTGTACTCATCAACATAGGTAAATATCAAAATCATACTATTGTCTAAAAGAAGCAGGCAACAGAAGAATAGATGTATACAATATTATGTTACTTAAGGTTACAAACATAGGTAGAAAATATAAAAACAAGGGAATTATTAATACAAAATTCTGCAGAGTGGTTACATCTGAAAGAGAGAGAAAAGGGGAATGCCCATAGGAAGGGACCCCTAAGAGGCTTCTAAGGTATTGGTAATATCCTGTTTTATAGCATGGGGAGTGGGTACACGAATGCAAATGTTATTAATCAAACTGTGCATATTAGTTTTATACATTCTCTTGTGTGTATGATATATTTAGCGTCCCATGAAAAAATTCTACTATAGGTGAGGATGTGGAGCAATGTAAACTCACACTCATTGCTGTGAGGATAAGTTGGAAAAGCCATTTTGGAGAACATTTTGCAACATTTAGTAAAGTGGAAGTTGTACATGTTCTGTGATTTAGCAACGCCTTTCCTAGATATTCCTAGGTACTGTACCTTAAAGCAGTGCTTTTCAAACATGCTGATCACGACCTCTTATTGAGAAGTACATTTTACATCACAACCAAGTATCTCTCTCAGGCGTGCGTGTGCACGCACACACACACGTGTATGTATGTGTAAGTGTAAAAAAGCTGGGAAAAATTTTTGCTAAACAATGCCCATATTACATGCAACACATTCTGATCTTTTCTATTTCTGTCTATTCTATTTCATTAAAGGTCCCAACCTTTAAGTTTACTTTAACTCACTAGTAGTTGATGCTATGGAGTGTTTGTGTCCTCTCAAAATTGGATTTAGACACATATGTTGAAATTAATCACCAATATGATGGTATTACGCGGTAAGGTATTTGGGAGGTGATGAAGGTAGATTACTGCCCTTTTAAGAGGGGCTCCAAAGAGCTGCCTGACCCTTTCCACCATGTGGGGACACAGCCAGCAGGTGTTATCTATGAACCAGGAAATGGGCCCTCACCAGAGACCAAATCTGCTGGCATCTTGATCTTGTACTTCCTAGCCTCCAGAACTGTGAGAAATAAATGTCTGCTGTTTACAAGCTACCCAATCTATGATATTTTGTTTTTTATTTTTTCATGTCAGACAGGTAATGTGCCGACAGGAAACAAGGTTTGAGGGAGGCACATCTCACATATGGGAATGAACACCCACTCATCTTGCTTACAAACTGCAAAAGGACTGACCTATGATATTTTGTTATAGCAGCCTGAATGGACTAAGACAGTTGAGAAACTATAATTTGAAAAAAACTGCACTAGAGAAAAATTTCCATGAGATAATGTATAAAGAATGTTGAATGAGCAATGCTCAAAATAAAAATAACAGGAAATGAGAATTGAGGAATATTCACATAAGGGAACGATATATTGCAGTTAAGATGAGTAAACTAGAGCTCAATGTATTAACAGAATGTTGAGTGAAAAAGCCAGTTGCTGAAGCATATGTACAGTATGATGTTATTTATAAAGTTTCAAAACATGAAAAACATGTTGTTTATGGATACACACATATGTAATAAAACTCTAAAACATGCATGGGAATGCTGAACATGTAACTCAGGATCGTGGTTTCCACTGGAGAGACGGAGGGGAATGAGATCAGAGAGGAACAAAATGGAACTTTAATTATATTTTAAGATTTTTTGTTTATTAATCTTTTTCTTATTTGTTCTTTATTATTTATTGCAGGAGATGGCAAATTACCAATGATGGGCCAAATCTGGTATGCTATTTTTATATGACCTAGGAGATAAAAATGGATTTTACATTTTTAATTTTTTTTATGAGATGGAGTTTCACTCTTGTTGCCCAGGCTGGAGTGCAATGGCACAATCTCGGCTCACTGCAACCTCCACCTCCCAGGTTCAAGCAATTCTTCTGCCTCAGCCTCCCGAGTAGCTGGGATTACAGGCATGCGCCACCATGCCCAGCTAATTTTGTAATTTTAATAGAGCCAGGGTTTCTCCATGTTGGTCAGGCCGGTCTCGAACTCCTGACCTCAGGTGATCCGCCTGCCTCGGCCTCCCAAAGTGCTGGGATTACAGGCGTGAGCCACTGCGCCTGGCCTGGATTTTACATTTTTTAATTGTTGAAAAACTTGAAAGAAGAATAATATTCCATGACATGTAACATAAAGTTCAAATTTCAATGTGGATAAAATAAGTTTTATTATTACACAGCCCCGAGAGCTTATTTATTGTCTATGGTTGTTTTCACACTACAATGGCAGAGATGAATAGCTGCAAGAGAGACCATATGGCTGGCAAAGCCTAAAAATATCTACAATCCTGCCTTTGATACAAGAAGTTTGTCAACCCCTGGTTGACATACATACATACATGTATACATACATAACATACATATACATGTATGCATATATATATGCACACACACATGCATATATATGTCAACATGTATATGTTGTGAGGGGTGTGAGGGGTGTGTGTGTGCACGTGTACGTGTATGTGTGTGTGTGTGTGTGTATGTGTGTGTATATATATATATATATATATTTTTTTTTTTTTTTTTTTTTTGACAGGGTCTCACTCTGTCACCCAGGCTGGAGTGCAATGGCACAATCTCGGCTCCCTGCAACCCCCGCCTCCTGGGCTCAAGTGATCCTCCCACCTCAGCCTCTGAGTAGCTGGGACCACAGGTGTGTGCCACCACACTCCACTAATTTTTTGTATTTTTGATAGAGATGGGGTTTTGTCATGTTGCCCAGGCTGGTCTCGAACTCCTGAGCTCAAGTGATCCACCTGCCTCAGCCTCCCAAAGTGCTGGGATTGCAGGTGTGAGCTACTGTTACCCAGGTGATGTATATTTTATAATATTAAAAAACGGTAACATTAAAGAAAAGTTCCAGAAGTACCAAGATGTATATAATTCTACCCTCTACCAAAATTTGCTTAATTTTTCCACGTTTTCTTCCAATCTTTGACAAAACCCATATATTCTTATTGAAATCATGCAAAGATATTTTATATTCTACCTTTTCCCTGCTGTACATTTCATACACCTTTTTGATGTGCTATGTAGCATTCAAATTTGCCCTCTTTAATGGTATAACATGGTTCAAGTTTATAAACTGCACACCATAATTTACATAACTTCTTCTCATGTTTAAATCTTCATATTCTTTTCATTTTCCCCTGTTTATTATTGGTTGCAAGGCAAAGAATATCTTTGTACACAGAGATTTCCCCCTTTCTTCTTGCCAGGTATGGTGACTTCTTTTCTTAGAATAAATTCTTAGGAATGAAATACCTAGTTTTCCCTTCACCCCCCAAATTCTAAAAACTTTCTCTTCCTCTCTTTATTCCTATAACCTCTTACTTTTTCAGTCTTTTTGCTTATCCCCTTGCCTTCTCTAATATAACTGATCTCTGCCATTGGCTCTAACAGTGGTTGTTTAGATACTATAAAGCTCTCTTGCTGTTAAATCCCAGCTTGACCTCACTATCTCTTAGGTGGCCCAACATTGCACAGTGCATTGTGAGGGCTGCTTCTTGCTCTCATTTCTTAACCCTTCCCCTCATCACAGTGTCTACTTCCTTCCTTCCACTCCACTCCTTCACTAAGGTTAAAGTCTGCCAGGGATCTCTCTGTAAGTCCAAAGGCTTTTTTCTCTATTTTTATCTTCCCATTGGAGCTCCTGTCCTGAAGTGACTTTCCTCCTATAGTTCTTCAGGCCTTTCTCTTTCCTTTTCTCTCCCTACTCAAGGATTATCTCTTTCATAAAACTTTCTCTAAGGGTTGGGATATGCCTACCTCTTTTGAGTCCACAGTCAACCCAGGCATATCTCATCCCTTAACTATACTTTGCCACATTTTAAGTTGTTTAACCCTCTTTTGAATGAAGATGAAGTTGAGGGGGGGAAAGTAAAAACTTGCAGAAGCCTCTACTTACAGTTTCAAAATAAACTCTTGAGATAAAGTAAACAATCACAGGCCATACTGTATTAGTAACAGAAGATCTATAAAGTGAGGTCCATGGATCAGCAGCATCAGTGTCACCTGGGAGCTTGTTAGAAATTCTGAGTTGTAGGCTCCACCTCAGACCTCCTGAATCAGAATCTAGGTTTTTAATATAATCCTCAGTGATTCACATGTGCAATATAGTATAGGAAGCACTGGTCTAGTGGACCAGTGAATGTCTGCCAAGAAGGACCTCCATCAGAAGGCCTCTAAGGACCCCTTGGGAACCTCAAACCAATGATTTACACCTCTTGCTGGGCAAGGGTGGCTGCCATACCTATCAGCCCTTTGATGACAGCTACCAACTGATCTCCTGACTAGGTGGGTGGCCTCCCTCCCTCATCATTCCAGGTACAGGCACATTCCTTTGAAGCTGCAAAAGAGTTTGAAGAATACAATCTTTCTCAGAGAAGACTGTTCTTCAACCAAGGATGTAGGCAAGGATGTAGAGTCATTGGTAAAGTGGACACATCCTACTAGGGGTTAGGAAACACTGTTTCTATCATCTTTCCTAACATAAAAATATGTGAACAACATAGAATCGAAAGACAAGAAATATTTATATTCTTCCTTCTTTCACTCAGTAAATATTTACTAAGCACTCACTATGTTCCAAACACTATTCTAGGTGCTGGGGATACAGCAGGGAACAAAACAAAGTCCCAGTCTTAGTGGGGTTCACGATCTCTAGGGCAGTAGTCCCCAACCTTTTTGGCACCTGGGACCAGTTTCAGGGAAGACAACTTTTCCATGAAAATTTTGGGGGAGGGGGGTTAAAGGATGAAACAGTTCCACTTCAAATCACAAGGCATTAGATTCTCATAAGGAGTGCGCAATGCAACCTAGATCCCTTGTATGAGCAGTTCACAATAGGGTTCAAACTCCTGTGAGAATCTGCTGCTGCTGCTGATCTGACAGGAGGCGGAGCTCTGGCAGTAATGATTGCATGCCCACCCGCCACTCACCTCCTGCTGTGCGGCCTGGTTCCTAACAGGCAACAGACAGGGGGCCTTTACTCTAGGGGATGGAGATGGACAACAAACAAGTACATAATATGGCCTGTAGTGATAGCGCTTTAAAGAAAAATAGAGCCAGGCAATAAGACCAATGGGCATGGCTGCAGCAGATTAAGCAAGAAAGAAAGCATAATGAGATGAGACTGGAGAGGTGAGTGGAGCCAAGTCATGTAGGGTCTTTAAGGAGCTTGGATTTTATGCCAAGTACAATGGGGGCCATTGCAAAGTTTTCAGCAGAGGAGTGACATGATATCGTCTACATTTTAACAGGGTGTCTCTGGGCAGGGTGCGATGGCTCCCACCTGTAATACTAGCTCTCTGGGAGGCCAAAGGTGGTGGATTGCTTGAGTTTCAGGAGTATGGGACCAGCCTGGGCAACATGGTGAAACTTCATCTCTACAAAAATACAAAAAATTAGCTGGCCATGGTGGTATGTGCCTGTTAGTCCCAGCTACTCAGGAGGCTGATGTGGGAGGATTGCTTGAGCCCAGGAGATGGAGGTTGTAGTGTGCTGAGATCATGTCACTGGACTCCAGCTTGGGTGACAGGGCAAGACCTGGTCTCAAAAAAAAAAAAAAAGGTCTCTCTGGTTGGTATATGGGGAATGGACTCTAAGGGGCTAAGAGTGGAAGCAGGGAGCCGAATAGCAGGCTGCTGTAAGCAGGTGTGTGGTTGGTGAAGATTAGGGTGACCAAGTGGTAGTGGTGAAAAAGGTTCCAACAATCTCAATTTCCCTATTTAAAAAGTCATCACAAGGTAACTGATGTGAATTTTTAAAAAATCTTGGAGGGGAAACTGATATAGAAAACAAACTGTAGAAATAACAGGGCTTTTCTGGGTTGAGCACTGTTAACTACACCCCCTGGGAATCAGTGTCATTTAACATTTCATAGAAGATTAAGAAAAAGGAGTATTTTGAGATATGTCTAGATACACAAATCATACTTTGCTTTCCACATAGTAAAATGTCAAATCAATAGGGAGCAGCTTCTGGAACATCTCTAAAGCCATGTGCATAAGCTGGAAAGTGGCAGGTATCTTGTCACATGGATGAGTGTATGGCAGCTCACATAGGGAAAGACAATTCAGAGGATACCTTTAAGACAATGAACTCTGAACTGCTGGTTGCCACCAAGGTAAGGAATCTAGAAGTTGTTTTAGATTACTCTTTCAAGACATCAACTCTTCTAAAGTCCAAACAGCCAGCAAAAGGTCTGGCTGTCCAGAATAAAGACAAAACATCAGCCTTAACAAAGCCTCAGTACATCCCTCTTTGGGCTTAGTGTGCAGTGCTGGTCACTGCATCCTAAGAAAAAGAAGCGCCAGAGAAAGGCAAGTAAAATAATTAAAAGAATAGAGGGGCTTTTTTTCTCTGGGTTAAATGCCCATAAAGAAGATAAGATGCTTTTATAGCATGAAAGACTCAGAGGAAGTAAAAATAGCCCTTGTCATCCAATCCTATAATTCTTAAATTAGGGGACAAAAGAAGCTTGAAAATGGGAGTAATGAAGAAACCGTCGTTGGAGGACATATAAAAGAAGGTCCTTCTTTGGCTGGGGCCAGGGGTCAGGTCTTTAAGTATTCTCCAATATGTGGAAGTACATGTGGTAGCTGTAAATGGAGGGTGGGGGTGGGGGTGGGGGACACGCAGCCCACCTCAACAGTCCTTCGAAGGGACAAAAACCACTCTGGACTGGTGCCCGCCTTCCCTCTTTCCCCAAATCACCACGGAATACAACCACAGAAACTCAAAACCAGCAAAAAACGCTGACAAGACATTCAAAGGATTCAAAATGCTAATACTAAATCTCATTGTCTGGGAAAATTAGATTGAAAATAAATTCAAGGGTGCAAGATTTATAATAGATTAACAAGGGAAATTAAGGATGTTGGTGGGGCCGGGAGGAGATACATCCTTAACTTTGTGATTCACACGATGGAGCAATACTGTGTCCTTCAAAGAAATGGTATTTGGTAATCTGAGTTGGACAGCTATCATAAACCATTTCCTATATACACTGTTAGCATAGTCAGAAAGTGAGAGTTATGGATTGACATAGGGATTAGATCATTTGAATTTTTAACCCACAGCACAAGTCCTTCAATCGTTTTCAATAAACAGAGGGAGAGGGAGACTCTGATGAACCGTTGCTCACGTGTTGAACAGTTAGCAATCCCGGGCTATCGGGTCCCTGCTGACCTTCCTTCAGAAAAACGAATGGACATGTAAACGGAATGAGGAAAGGAGGGTAATAACCAGAGTGTCATTGAATTGAGAGATGTTAAAAATGGGCCACAACCAACACATGGGCCCTTACTTTTAGGTGAAAGATTCCTATATATAAATACATAGTATGTTCTCTCTTGCCAAGAAATATTAGACTAAGGAACTTCATTCCTCACGAAGAAGATAATCCCCTCTTCCTTCCCATAGGTCCCTTACCTTACCTGCTTCTTCCCTCTCGCGGGTAGGAACTTTGAGCCCCGCCTCTCGGCTCGTCCAAGCTCCGCCTTCCCCGTCCACCTGTGTGCCCAGCCCCTGACGTTACCGGTCGGCTTCAGCGGCCTGCAGGATTCCGGCTCCCAATTGGTCGGCCCGTCCACGGCTTGCGCAGCTCACCAATGGCAGCGGTGCTGGGTGGAGGGGTGCCCACATCCAAGATGGCGTCCCCAGGAGCTGGGAGCGGGTGACCGGCGGCGGGGAAGCGGCCTGGGTTGGCCCTCAGATTGCGGGGTCTGGGGGCATCTCGCCGGGCAAACCCTTGGCCCGCCTACAAGGACTTCCCCCGGCCAGAGCAATGGCCGCTGAGAACAGCAAGCAGTTTTGGAAGAGGAGCGCTAAGCTGCCGGGGAGGTGAGCCCAGGACGCTGAGAGGGATAGGGGATTGGACCAAACCCTTCCAGATCCTAATCCCTGAATCCCGCGGGCCTGGGGCGCCACAGAGGCCAGAAGACTGGTTTGGGGAAGCTGGGACTGCCTGGTGGCGGCAGGGCAGCTGTCAGGCAGCGAAGCGAACAGCGAGCTTTGGGGACGGCTGGATGTGGGTGTAGACCGGGGTCTGGGGGCGGAGGTTTCAGGAGGGGTGACCTCAGCGGGAAGGTGGCCGAAGATTGGGCGTAAAGGGGAGTGGAGTTGGGTGAATAGTCAGTGTCGGCCCTGGTCTCGGAAGTTCCTCCCCAGAGCTGCTTCCCACTCTAATTAGGACTCCCTCTCAGGGGTCTCCACCACGCACAGGTGGTTGGTCGCTCGAGGATGGCCCCTTCCCTTGATCCCTGAGGTCGGCACTTACCCGAAGGATTCCGGTGGGAGTTTGGGGCCGCCTGCCGAGAGGGTTAGGCAGGAAAAGTGAGGACGATTCTCAACCCTGACCTTACTTTATCTTGAGTTGGCCCTTTCCCACTAGGAATTATTACAAGACGACCACAGAATCAGGGTTATTCCTTTGGCATTTTCTAAGGATTTGTCCAACCCCAAGTGACTTCTTCCTCCCCTGCATTGTAATGCACTTCTTGTGCAAATGCACTAAATTCGTTCATTCTTCAGTTGTTTAACTGGAGAGCAGACCCCCTAAGACTACCCCCACCCTCTTTTCGGTGTATGTTGAGACTTTTGGCAAATTATCCATCCATCAATCTACTGTTGGTTTACTGTTTCAGTTTATTTTGGGCAAAGTCCTGAGAAGTATAAGGAAGAGTGTGTATTTCAGTCGTAAATTTAAGATTTCTGCCAGCTACAGTCTACTTGGTGATGAAATTCATGTTTGGTTGTGTCCCCTGTGCTACCTTTTCTAATGGATTCAGGTTTTTTCCTTCTGGGATAATCTTTTGAACTCGTGACTTTTTTTTTTTAAGCGAGAGAGAGATGAGGGTCAGTAGTGGCTAGGTAAGAGCCTTAATTTTTTTTTTTTTTTTAAATGAAATAGAGACAAGGTCTGACTGTGTTGCCAGGGCTGGTCTCTGACTCCTGGCCTCAAGTGATCCTCTTGCCTTGGCCTCCCAAAGTGTTGGGATTACAGGCGTTAGCCACCATGCCCCACCAAGAGTCTTATTTTATTAAGGATTCTAGTAGACATATGGAGAATAGGGTGGAAATCAGCTTTTAGTAATACTTATTAAAGTAATAGAAAGGAATGCAAAGATAACTTCAGATTAAAGTGCTGTGGACTCAACAGTGTTAATATTACTGTTAAAGATGTTCTGTGTTTTTAGGTAAGCACACTTCCTGCCAACTGATTCCTTTTCCTTCCTGGTCTAGTGAGCTCTCTAGTTGTGCTAACTGCTATTCTCTGGGGTTTTCCGTAGTGAGATCATTAAATTTTGACATCCTAAGATTATAATCATAATCAATAGGAAGACTGTTGTATCAGGAAGCAGTGTAAGAGATGTGGGACGTGGCATGGGCTTCTGTGCCTTCTGACTGCTGGTTGCTATTAACAATCTTTTTTTCCTATATTTCCTGTATTTGGCTATAAGAACAGTCAACTTTTTTAAAGCACTACTTTTCTGAGATAGGAAGAGAAGTCTTTTCAGTTTCTTCAAGTTTCTGGATTCCTTTTTCATTTTGAAGAATATAGAGAAATAGAGAACTTTCGAGTTCAGAAAGACTTGGGTTACTATTTGGGCTCTGTTGTGTGTGTGACCAAGACAAATAATCTTTCTAGGCCTCAATTTCCTTACCTATGAAATGAGAAATAAAAATACTTTCCTCAGAGTTACTGTGGGGACTAAGTGAAATACCCTATTTGTAAAGAGCCTAGGACAGTGTTTATTTAGCACATTATAGTTGCTCAAAAAAACAGTAGTTATTAACATTGCTGTCATTATTACAGCAAGTAAACATTTAAAATAATGTTACTCAGATCCTTACCCCAGCTCATTGTCTTCGTTGTTTAAGGTATTCAAATATTGTCACAATTCATAATAGTTTTTAGTACCTTACTTGGTAAAGAGAAATACTGTTCAGCTGTGTGCTTTTAGCAGTGAAGCCCACAAGCCTCTGGTCATAGGAGAAAACTAAGGTTCTTTTAGATAGAAAGGTACTTTGGTTTAAAGAAAATGTTAGGGCATTTTCTCAAGAATAGAACTTTTGCATCTGTACTCTTTCGGTCTTAGAGAAGAAAAACTTTCTCCTGGGTGGGGAAATGACACAAATGACTCTACTGGATGCATGCAAACTTGGAAATGAAACTAGTTTACTCTTCTTTGCAAATTGAAAGGTGAAAAATAAAAGCGATGACAGGGTTCTTTCCATTTGTCTGATCATGATCCAACAATCTTAGTGACAACAAATAGAAATTTTATTAAATAAAAGAAGTTGCAAATGAATGAAACATTCTTTTTAAAAATAACAGCTTTATTGAGATATAATTCACATACCATAAAATTCACTCTTTTAAAGTGTACAATTCAGTGGTATTTAGTATATTCATTTATAGTATAGATGGTTTTGTGCAACCATCACCACTAATTTCAGAACATTTTCATCATCCTGAAAAGAAACTACATACCTGTTTACAGTCACTCCCCATCCACCCCACTCCAGACCCTGGTAACTACTAACCTACTTTCTGTTTCTGTGGATTTACCACTTTTGGACATTTTATATATATGGAGTAATATGATCTGAGGCCTTTTGTGAGTGGCTTCTTTTATTAAGCACAGTGATTTCAGGCTTGTCCACGCTGTAGTATGTATCAGTACTTCATTCCATTTTATGGCTGAATAATATTCCATAGTATACATACACCACATTTTGTTCATTCATCAGTTGATGGATATTTGAATTGTTTTCACTTTTGGGCTATTGTACGTAATGCTTTTATGAACATTTATGCAGAGGTTTTTGTTTGGATATATATTTTCTATTCTTCTGCTGATAAATAGGAGTGGAATTGCTGGGTCATGTAGTAACTTGGTGGAACTAAGCATCTTTTAAGTTCTCTCAGTTATTCACATGAGCCCCATTTACTTAGCACATCAAATGGTCATTGTATTAATGCCTAGAAGATAAGAGGCAATCTCTACCATTGCAGGCTTTGGCAGGTGTGGTGGCCTGTAATCCCAGAATTTTGGAAGGCTGAGGCAGGTGGATCGCTTGAGGCCAGGAGTCCGAGACCAGCCTGGCCAACGTGGTGAAACCCCCCATCTCTACTAAAAATACAAATTAGCTGGGCTTGGTGGTGTGTGCCTGTAGTCCCAGCTACTCAGGAGGCTGATGCCCAAGAATCTCTTGAACCTGGGAGACGGAGGTTGCAGTGAACTGAGATTGCGTCACTCCACTCCAGCCTGGGCAACAGAGCAAGAGATTGTCTCCAAAAAAAAAAAAAAAAAAAAATGCAGGCTCTGAAATCTGACTGCCTAGGTTAAAATCCCAGCTCTGCTTTCTAGCTATGTGATCTTATGGGATTTAATTAACCTCTCAATGCATCAGTCTCCCCATCTCTAAAATAGGGACAGAGTATCTGCTCCATGGGGCTGTTATGAGGATTAAATGAGATAATACATAATAATTGGTTAGGAGGTACACAATAATATTAGCTATTATAAGAAGGATAGTTACGATGATAGTAGCTATCATTTTTGTTTTCTCTCCTTGCTTCAGTTTTTGAAACTGAAATTGAAAAGCTTTGATCTGGTTGGGTGTGGTGGCTCACACCTGTAATCCCAGCACTTTGGGAGGCTGAGACAGGTGGATCATTTGAGGTCAGGAGTTCGAGACCAGCCTGGCCAACATGGTGAATCTCCGTCTCTACTAAAAACACACAAAAAAATTATCTGGGCTTGGTGGCACAAACCTATGGGGGAAAAATAAAAAAGCTTTGGTCAGTGTGTGTGTGTGTGTGTGTGTGTGTGTGTGTGTGTGTGTGTGTGTGTGTGTCTAGAGCTCGGGCACAGGAGAAAAAAAAAATCACCTTTTTTTTTTTTTTTTTGAGATGGGGTCTCCCTCTGTTGCCCAGGCTGGAGTGCAGTGGCACGATCTCAGCTCACTGCAGCCTCTACCTCCCAGGATTAAACGAGTCTCCTGCCTCAGCCTCCTGAGTAGCTGGGATTACAGGCACATGCCACCATGCCCAGCTAATTTTTGTATTTTTAGTAGAGAAGGGGGTTTCGCCATGTTGGCCAGGCTGGTCTTGAACTCTTGACCTCAAGTGATCTCTTGACCTCAAGCCCACCTCAGCCTCCCAAAGTTCTGAGATTATAGGTGTGAGCCACCGTGCCCAGCCCTGGCTAATTTTTGTATTTTTTGTAGAGACAGGTCTTGCCATGTTGCCCAGGCTGGTCATGAACTCCTGGGCTCAAGCAGTCTGCCCACTTCATCCTCCAAAAGTGTTGGGATTACAGGCATGAGCCTCTGCGTCTGGCCAAAATCGAAATTACCTGAGTCTTCCAGGCCCTTCGTTGTTAGAAAGAGAGGCCAAGTTAAGAACTTGAAGCCGATCCTAAAATAATAATGAATCTGATAGGAGACTTAGTGTAAAAGTCACAGCCTGTCTGGGCAGGTACATTACAACTTGTTCTTGGCTTGGAGATGTTTTACTGGTAGAGTGAGTGACTAGAAGATACTAAATTATCATCGAAACAGCATAGATCACCTGTTCTGGAAGACTAATGTGGAGTGAGTGTGTGAACCTACATCAGTTGCCAACACGTTTGGCATTTAAATTTGATGGGTCTTTTTCCCATATTTGCACTAGCTCTTTTATCAGTGCTAAACAAACACCTGTTGATTTTTCCTACCAAGATGTTTGCACTGTTTCAACTAGGCAAAACAGCTATGTCAATACATTCTATGGTGTTGGTTTTATTAAAGAGAGTGACGGAGATTAATCAGAACTTTTGTTCCATTTTGTCTGCGTGGCAGCATATTCCATGGCATTCTTTTCTCTGCATATGTGGTGTGATTTCTTCGAGATGCAGTGTGTTAACTAACCTCTGGTTTTTAGGTCTAGCTTAAGTGGAGGCCTAGGTTTTGTAGAGATCTAATCTTCACTTACTAAATATTGTTAAGTGCCTGCTGGTATGTGTCATGCTCTGCCAGGTGGCAAGGGGGCTACAGAAAAAGATATGGCACCACTATGGCTTTCTAGGAGCTAAAAAATCTGCTTGGCATCATGGCTTCCCCTGGAGAAGATGCTGTGTATGATTGACTTTCTGGTTTTTCCACTAAACATATGTTATATTTGTAATCAGACAAACTTAAAAGTGGAATTGGGTGAAAACACATTGTTGAATGCAAAGAGCAAGATGTAGAAAGATATGTGCAATGTGCAGTCTTTTATGTGAAGTTTAAAAACATAAAAAATACTGTGTGTTGTTTATGGATCTGTGAATATATGTAGAGGAATAAAAACAGATGGGAGGAGTTCCCTCCAATTTCAGAATAATTGTTATCTCTTGGGAAGTGAAGAAACAGGACTAGGGACTGCAATTAGGGCATCAGTAGTCTAACACTTTGTTTTTGTTTTGTTTTGTTTTGTTTTTTTGACATGGAGTCTTACTCTGTTGCCAGGCTGGAGTGCAGTGGCCCGATCTCCGCTCACTGCAACTTCCGCCTCCCGGGTTCAAGCGATTCTCCTGCCTTGGCCTCCCGAGTAGCTGGGACTACAGATGCGTGCCACCACACCCAGCTAATTTTCTTGTATTTTCAGTAGAGATGGGGTTTCACCATTTTGGCCAGGATAGTCTTGATCTCCTGACCTCATGACCCACCCACCTTGGCCTCCCAAAGTGCTGGGATTACAGGCGTGAGCCACTATGACCGGCCTAACACTTTTTTTCTTAAATGAAATGTGACAAATGTTAACATTTGTAAATCAGAGTGATGGGTTTGTGGATGTTTATTATATCATTTTCTGTACTTTTCTTTGTGTTTGAAAATGTCAATTAAATGCTTTTTCACTTGTGTTAGAGCAAATGTTTTGTATTTTTTTTTTTTAACTTGTGTTGGAGAGATCAGCCAGTTAGCCATGGAATTAAGTAAAATTTAAAGTAACATGATTTAGAGTCAAAATAAGTCATATTTACAGTGTGATGTTATTTATATAAAGTTTAAAAAACATGCAAAATCATACATTATTTAGGGATACATACATAGAAAATAAAAATATAAAAATGAGTGTGAAAAATGCCAGATCCAATAGAGTGGCTTGCTAGGAAGGGAGGGAGGGGTATGCCAGGGTGTTTTGTTTTGTTTGGTTTTGTTTTGTTTTTGACACGGGGTTTCACTCTTGTTGCCCTGGCTGGAGTGCAATGGCACGATCTCGGCTCACCGCAACCTCTGCCTCCCAGACTCAAGCAATTCTTGTGCCTCAGCGTCCTGAGTAGCTGGGATTACAGATGTGTGCCACCAAGCCCAGCTAATTTTTATTTTTAGTAGAGATGGGGTTTTGCTGTGTTGGCCAGGCCAGTCTCGAACTGCTGGACTCAAGTGATCTGCCTGCCTCGGCCTCTCAAAGTGCAGGGATTACAGTGCCCAGCCCTGATTGTGTCTTATATTATGATCTAAATCTAGTTTATTTTTAAAAAGTAATATAAGCCCTAATTTATGTATGTTAGGGAACTAGAGAAGACATGAGTTAGTAGATGCTGGGGGTAGGGGTATGGAAAGTTTCATGAGGGGTGTAGAATTTGAAGAGAATGTTGCAGGATGGATACAATTTTGAAAAGGGATGTAGAAAATAGAAAAGCATTCCAAGTAGGGAAAAGAGCCTTATTTAATAATGGGTTTAATAAGTTTGGAAGGTGGAGTGGAGATCAGTCTTTCTTAGAGCTGAGTTTGGGTTTGGAAGGAGTAGGTATGGTACAGACAGTGAAAGGTGAATTATAAATGTCAGGAAATTGAGCACCTTAATCATTGGGCTCTTCTGGTCTATCTCCATTTAGTCTCTGTGATCATCTCGGTTTCTCTTTTCTAAATTCTTGCCTGTCTTTTTTAAGCTGCAATAAGCTGATTTATTATACAAAGTGTTCCAGTTTTAGATACATCATGGTTCAGTTCAAGAATATGTTAACAAATTCAATTTGGGCCCTGATACCTTTGCTGATGAAGTCCATCATTTATCTTAGCCTTCCTGGCTATGCCAGCACCTTGGGCTGACAGCTTTAAAAAATAGTCTACTGTGATTTTAAGATTCCTTTCCTAGATGGTAATTGATGGCCTCTGGCCCTTCAGCCTGCACAAATTAGGTTTGCTTTTCTTCTGCATGGGTTACTGGCAGATGGTAATACTTCTTTAAGGTAATACTCTCTTATTTTTCTACCCAGTCACCTTACCTAACCGGCCTGTTGAGATCTTCCTGCAGTTTATCCTCTGATTTTATATTTTATTGTGAGGAGGGCTTGTGGGCTTGAAGAATTCAGGTGTACTCTTAGATTATTTGCAGCTGCTAATGTGCATATCAGTAGCCCTTTGGGTTTTTTTTTTTTTCCCGTGGTCAGTGGGGGTGTCTAACACCCCCTTCCTCTCTCAGCAGAACTTTCCCTTTACTCTTTGATTCCTCTTTTTTTCTCTCTGCCTAGGAAACCCTTTAAACACATCAATTAGTATTGTTTTCAAAGTTTGTATTTCTGTAGTAATATATGTAATAGTTTGCTTACACATTACTTATTAATCTTCCAGAGAGGTTTAGGGAGTAAAGATTCTTATAGCTAAAGAAGTAGGGACTGTATTCATAAATTAAAGATTATATGTAAGATTTCCTCTGAAATCTTAATAGGAATCAATGTGAAAGTGATTGATTTGGCTATATTTTTATTTAAGAGCATCCTTTAGGATCACCTCTGTTATGTGAAACAAGTATTTGGTAAGCTTGTTTCAATTTCTAAATGTTGAGTATGGATTAAATTATAAAAATGGGAGGGAGGAAGAAAATCAACATTTCTTGGGCACTGAGTGTTTGCTGGGTAGTGTTCTAACATTTGCAAATCTACGTCACTTCCTGCTTAACATTAAATTAGCATTACCACCCACCAGGAATTGTGCTAAAGGGCTTTCAACATATCGTCCCACTTAAACCTTCTAACCTTCTCAAGATCGCTTATTTCTTATAAAGGTGATACTTGTACATGATACTAAATCAGAAAGGGTTTGCAGTGAAAACTAAGTCTCTTTGGTGTCCCATCATCTTCCAGTCATCTGGTTCCTATTCCAAACTGCTGCTACCAGTGTCTTTTGTATTCTTTCAGATACTCTGATATTCTTTCAGATACATAGACCTAATCATACATAAAATGCATGTATCTATTTTAAAGATTTTTATAAAAATGGTGTCATACATGTAGTTCTGCATCTTTTTTCAATTAATGTCTGAGTTTATTTCATGTCAGTGAATATAGAACTGCCTCATTCTTTTTTTTTTTTTGAGACGGAGTCTTGCTCTGTCCCCCAAGCTGGAGTGCAGTGGTACAATCTCGGCCCACTGCAACCTCCGCCTCCCCAGCTCAAGCCATTCTCCCGCCTCAGCCTCCTGAGTAGTTGGGATTACAGGTGCCTGCCACCATGCCCGGCTAATTTTTGTATTTTTTAGTAGAGATGGGGTTTCACCATGTTGGCCAGGCTGGTCTTGAACTCCTGAGCTTAGGTGATCTGCCTGCTTTGGCCTCCCCAAGTGCTGGGATTACAGGCGTGAGCCACCGCACCTGGCCAGAACTGCCTCATTCTTTTTAAAAGATATACTGTAATTTATTTAACTACTTTCCTGTTGGTAATTATCCTTTCTATTTTAATAGGTAAGTTAGCTCCTTTATATTTATTGGAATAACTGATATATTTAGTTATTTAGTTTAAGTTCAATTTTTAATATTTTCTTCGTCTTTTTTTTTTTTTTTTTTTTTTTTGAGATAAGGACTTACTCTGTTGCCCAGGCTATAGTGCAGTGACACGATGATAGGTCACTGTAGTCTCAAACTCCTGGGTTCAAGTAATCCTCTCACCTCAGCCTCCCAAGTAGCTAGAAGTACAAGCATGCACCACCACAGTTGGCTAATTTTTAAATTTTTTGTAGGTACAAGGTCTTGCTACGTTGCTCAGGCTGGTCAAACTTCTAGCCTCAAGCAGTTCTCACACCTCAGCATCCCAAAGTCCTGGGATTACAGATGTGAGCTACCATGCTTGCCCTTTTAAAAATATTTTCTTCTTAAAAAAGTCTTTCACTATGTGGACTGTGCTTGCTTTTGAGGGGAGGACATACATATATATATATATATACACACACACATATATAATATATATATACACACATATATAATATATATACACACATATATAATATATATATACACACATATATAATATATATATACACATATAATATATATACACACATATATAATATATATATACACATATATATAATATATATACACTATATATAATATATATACACTATATATATAATATATATATACACTATATATATAATATATATATACACATATATATATACACACACACATATATATATTCTGATAATTTGGAAGATTTATCTTTTTATTTTAGTGATTGTGTTTATAAGTGTAACTTTATACCATATTTCTTCAGACAGTACCTGTTGGCTCCCTACCATGAGTAATGATGAAATTAGTAAGTATATTTCCTCACCCCTCTCTTCCCACCTGCTTCTAGTTGATTATATTATTTTTCTTGGTTTTATTTTCTGTCGTAAAACATCCATATTCGTCTATTAACATTTGCAAATCTACATTAGGATTTAATGTTAAACAGGTAGTGACATAGATTTGCAAATTGAGCTATCTGCTTTAAATATCTTCTGAGCCCTGTCAGTAAAAGATGAAGAAGTCAATGCACTTCATTTGTCCATTTTTTCCTCCTTTTAACATTTGCCAATTATATTACTTTGATGTTCTCTTTGCCTCAAATGTAAGACCTAGTCATAAGGTTGGATCTGTTCAGGGCTCTCCACCAATCCTTTTGCCATGGTTTCTCCATCTCATGATTAGTTGAAGTTTGTTCTCTCACAGCTTCTTCAGACAGGTGTTAAGGAACACATTTTCCCTGAGTTCTTACATGTTGAAAAGTAGTTTTTTTTCACTTTTATACTTAAACAATAGTTTGGCTTGATATATACTTATTCTTGAATCATTTATTCTCATTTTCTTTCTTCTCTCCCTTCTCTTTCCCTTTTCTTTCCAACAGGGTCCAGGCTGGAGTGCAGTGGTGTGCTCACTGCAGCCTGGACCCTCCTGGGGTCAAGCGATCCCCCCGTCTCAGCCTCCCAAGTAGCTGAGGCTACAGACGTGCAGCACCATGCCCAACTAATTTTTTATTTTCTTGTAGAAACAGAGTCTCACTTTGTTGCCCAGGCTGGTTTCGAACTCCTAGGCTCAAGCAGTCATTTTGCCGTGGCCTCCCAAAGTGCTAGGATTACAGTTGTGAGCCATCCCATCAGCTCATTTTCTTTTAATTGTGATACATGACCGAAAAGCACATGAAGCACAAATGTGTGGTATGATGGCTTAATGAATAATCACAAAGTGAACACCCCAGAAACTTCTGTGTCTATTTGCTGTTTTCTCCTTTCTTTCCTCCAGAGAGAACTATATCCTTTTATGTCATTTACTCCTTTCTTTCTTTATAATATTACTCTGCATGCATTCCTAAACAGTAGAAACTACTTTTGTCAGTTTTTGAAGTCTATATAAGTCGAATCATAACAGTATTTATTCTTATGCTTTACTTATTTGTTCAACATGACATTTGTAAGATCCATCCACATTGTTACTTGAAGCCCTACTTCACATATATTGTCATTGGTGTATAATGTTCTGCTATATAAACATATTGCAATTGATTTCTCTTGTCACTATTGATGGACATTTGGGTTATTTCTAGTTTGGGGCTAAGACGAGCCATGGTGCTTTGAATAGTCTTATATATATCTCCTAATACATATATGTATATATTTATCTTAATATGCATATTTGGGAGTGAAAATACTGGGTCTTAGGGTATGCATATTTCATTCTTCCTAGATATGGCTAAATTATTTTACTTTATACCCCTCCTGCAGTGTGTGAGTTCCTTAGGTCACCCTTCACTGTCTTTTAGCCCAGTGAGCCTTTCAATTAGGCAATATTCCCACTTTAGATGAGAAAACAGGTTCAAAGGAGTCAAAAAGCTTGCTGGAAGTTCATGGTGGTACTGAGTGCCAGAACTGGCATTTGAACTCTGCTCTCTCCAGCTCTAAAGCCCGTTACCTTTCCATCCTGCCTTCTTTACACATAGGACATCCTGACAGGTGTGTAAGGCACTGAAACTTCACCAGGGAAAATGAACATTATCAAATATATTTTTTTAACGGGTAGATTGCTCTCTTTGGGGGATGGCTTGAGTACAGTTATTAGAGATAACCTATTTATCAAAGTCTCATCCAATTTTGTGATGCAGATGGCACTTAGCCAACATATTTAGTTTCCTAACTAAACTAACTATTTCTTCCTTTTGTTTTTGCTTTTAGCATTCAGCCTGTATATGGAGCACAGCATCCTCCTCTTGACCCACGGCTCACCAAAAAGTAAGTCAAGACATTTTCGTTTTATCTATCTACTGCTGTCACCCCTATACCCTCCCCTATTTTGTTGAAATGACAGTTTCCACCTTGACATTTTTTAGCGTCTCTTCTGCCCTATTTTGGACCAGGAGATGAGCAATGTTCTTACTTCCAAATGGTCCATTGCTAAATGGGAAATTAACTCCCATTAGAGATTTTGTGTTTTCCTATATTGGGAACTGGTATATGTAGGGTTTGGTATTGGATTCTTTGGTCAAAAGAGAATAGTCAAAAGGTCTTTATTGATTAAATGTTGTCCCTGAAACCAGAACATTGATGACCTCCAGATCTTTTAGCAGGAGATCTGGTTTCTGAGGCTCACTGCTTCTGAATATAGATAGGTCTGCCACCTTTTCCTCACTTTTACTATGAGAACTAGGGCAACAGAATATAACTGTAGGCTGGCATTCTTTAGTTCCTCTTTCCCTTTGACACACTCAAAGAGACCCAGGCATATGTACAGTAGAGTTAAAAGCTATTTAGGGCTGGGCATGGTGGCTCACGCCTGTAATCCCAGCACTTTGGGAGGCTGAGGCAGGTGGATTACTTGAGGTCAGGAGTTCGAGACCAGCCTGGCCAATATGGTGAAACCCTGTCTCTGCTAAAAATACAAAAATTGGCTGGGTTGGTGGCAGGCAGCTGTAATCCCAGCTACTTGGGAGGCTGAGGCATGAGAATCGCTTGAACCCAGGAGGCAGAGGTTGCAGTGAGCCGAGATCATGCCATTGCACTCCAGCCTGGGCAACAAAGCGAGATGCCGTCTCAAAAAAATAAAAATAAAAATAAATAAATAAAAGCTATTTAGGAGGCTATTTCTCTAGTAGAACTCTAATAAATTATTTTCAAGCACAACAGAGACTCTAGTTAAATCCAAGATGTGTGGCTCTGTATCCATACCCCCAATTATCCCTTTATCCCATCTTTCTCTCATGGACCATCACTGAGCCACAGTGAATTTAAATGAGGGGATAGGTCACCTTCAGAGATTTTCTAAGAACTTTGGCCTCTATTTGGGGGCATGCTTAATTTTAGAGACTAGTTTCTGGCAAAGTTGTTGTTTGTAATGAAAGCTGAATGGTTAGGGAGATGCAGACCTAGGTTCTCATCTTCCTGGGGCCTGTGTATTAGTAGCTGCCCTTTCTTCCTTCACAGTCAATAGGGAAGTAAAGATAATGTACAATTATGGTTCCAACTACATGACATTCTGGAAAAGGCAAAACATGGAGACAGTGAGAAGATCAGTTGCCAAGGGGTGGGGTTGAGGGGAGATACGAATAGGTAGAGTACTGAGGATTTTTAGGGCAGTGCAGCTACTCTGTGTGATACTATAAAAATGGTGGATACTGCCAGGCGCAGTGGCTCATGCCTGTAATCCCAGCACTTTGGGAGGCGGAGGTGGGCGGATCACTTGAGGTCAGGAGTTTGAGACCAGCCTGGCCAACATGGTGAAACCCCATCTCTACTAAAAATAAAAAAATTAGCCGGGCCTGGTGGCAGGCGCCTGTAATTTCAGCTACTCCGGAGGCTGAGGCAGGAGAATTGCTTGACCCTGGGAGCCAGGGGTTGCAGTGGGCTGAAATCAAGCCACTGCACTCCACCCTGGGCAACAGAGCAAGACTCTGTCTCAAAAAACAAAGCAAAACAAAACAAAACAAAAAACGGTGGATACGTGTCATTATGCATTTGTTCAAACCCACAGAATGTACAAGAGTGAACCCTAACTCAAACTACTGACTTTGAGTGATTATAATGTATTAGTGTAGGTTCATCACTTGTAACAAATGTACCACTGTGGTGGCGGATGTTCATAATGGAGAGGCTGTGCCTGTGTGGGAGAGGGGAGTGTATAGGAAATCTCTGTACCTTCCTCTGGATTTTGCTGTGAACCTAAAACTATTCTAAATATATAAATAAAGTGGTTTTTTAAAAAAGAGAAGAAAAAAAGGATAATATACGTTAAAGTATTTTGAATACCTAGAAGAATGCTATATCAAATATGCATTATCAGTATTTAAACATTTAAAAAATAACTTAGCTGAATATGTAGTGCACTTTCTATAATTCTACCAACTTGTTCTTTTTGCGATTTGGTGTGTGTATAAGGCACAGTCTTCTGAATTACTGAGGAAGCATGACTGCTGTTCTTGTCTGCAAGGTGCATGCTTTTTTTTTTTTTTTTTTTTAAATCAGAAACCACTATTGTATAGATTTCTTGAGAGCAGGGACTTTGTTTTGTTCATTACTGTACCCATAGCCTCTAGAACAGCATGTGGCACGTAGTAGGCAGTGAGTAAATATTTATTGAATGAAGGTATGAAACTGTCTCATTTACTTAAACAGCAGGCTTTTCTTTAATGTTCCTTGGTTTGCCCCTTTTGTTAGGTCTTCTTTTTTTTCTTTTGAGATAGGGTCGCTCTATTGAGGCTGGCATGCAGTGGTGTGATCTTGGCTCACTGCAGCCTCCGCCTCCTGGGCTCAAGCAAGCCTCCCATCTCAGCCTCCTTAGTAGCTGGGACTACAGGCGTGCACCACCACATCTGGCTAATTTTTGTACTTTTTGTAGAGACACGGTTTTGCCATGTTGCCCAGGCTGGTCTTGAACCCCTTGGCTGAAGTGATCTGCCTGCCTCGGCCTCCCAAAGTGCTAGGATTGCAGGCAAGAGCCACTATGTCCAGCCTTTTTTTTTTTTTTTTAAACAGAGTCTTGCGCTGCTGCTCAGGCTAGAGTGCACTGGCACGATCAGGGCTCACTGCAGCCTTGACCTCCTGGGCTGAAGCTGTCCTCCTGCCTCAGCTCCCGCATGCCTCACCCCCAACTTCACCCCACAGTGGCTGGGACTACAGGCATGGGCCACCATGCCTGGCTAATTTTTGTATTTTTAGTGTAGATGGGGTTTCACCATGTTGCCCATGCTTGTCTCAAACTCCCGGACTCAAGTGATCAGCCTGCCTTGGCCTCCCAACGTGCTGGGATTACAGAGGTGAGCCACCGCACCTGGCTGTTAGCTCTTAAGGGGAGCATGTTTTCTGTGATATCTGTGTGATCGTCCCATTAAATAGAATGAATTCTACTATTCTTTGGTTTTATCAAGAATCGACTTTCTGGTCTGTTGGCCAGTGAGGCAGGCATTACTGGTTACCTAACTGATAGTCTTCCCTGTGCCTGCTTCTTTCATGCTCAAGAACCGTAATTTTGTTCAGATATTGAGTAAGCAACAATGCACTTAGGGGAGGTATTAACATTGGCTTAAACCTTTCATGATAATTCTTTAGTAATCCCAGTGACTGGCATAGACTGGTCTCATCTCATTGGTTCTGGCCAATCAAAGAAAGTCTCCTGGGGGAGGGTTCTTGGAAAGATTTTCTTTTTTGATCAGAATGGGAGACAGTTCTGTGAAGAAAGCCTCTTTTTGCTGCCACTCACATTTCCTGCGTTTGAATGTGGTAGTGTGAGTGTGATTCTGAAAGCTATAGCAGCCGACTCGTAACCCCGAGGCAAAAAAAAAAAAAAAAAAAAAACGAGAATAGCAAAGACAACAGCCTAGACCTACATCGTGGTCTTGGGATTTAAGGATCATAGTTGAGAATTATGTTACATGTAACCACAACCATTCTGGTCACAACCAGGAGTTATTGACTGGTAATAGATCTGTTCTAGCACAACCTTTGACAAACACGTGGCTAACCTATAAAGCTGTTCATCCACTCATATAAGGCACTGAGTGTAGTGTCCATTTTATGTTTTGATCAAGATCACCATACCTTGTCTGCACCTATCATCAACTGAGCTTTTCCTAATTTTGTATTTAGGACAGATCTTCAGGAATATTTCCATATCCCAAACTGCCAAGGCAAACTTTATATACTATTGTTTTCTCACCTGTTGATGATATAAAATCATGAATATTTTCACTGATCTTTCAGCAGAGTTTCAGTCATGCTTTCAATAGGAGTAATTACTTAGCTTTACAGTTTGGGAGGAGTTTAGTTGTCACTGGATTAATTGGTTCCCTTTTTCATGTATGTGGTGGTTTGATGTTGATATTTTACAACATGGGGTCGCGTCTATGTCTGCACCAGACCATTTTACAATTTCAGATTGTTGCCATAAAACATTTATCACCTCTATTTTAGTACCTTTGTTAGGACATTTTTATGACTTTCTCTGCTACATGATTATAGTTCCACTTCAGCCCATCATTAATTACTGTGTAGTTAATACACATTGCAGCAGAAGCCTTTACATTGGGTCTTCAATCATCTAAACTGCACAAGCACAGTAAGTCGTTCCCTGTCCATGTGTATTGACTTTAATTTGCCAAATGATTACTATTAGTGATACTATTGCCTGCAGTAATTTTTATAGCTCAGATAAAGCTAGTCTCATTGCTGAGCAGCTGCATTGGCCACTTGATGGTATGACAAGCTTCTAAGTTTATTGTTTTTTGAATTGATGCTCAAGTATGCTAGGTCCTAATTCCAAGTTATAAAACTAGTTCACATGGAGCCACACTAGTTACTAAGATATCTGGATTTATTTGATTGTTACTAAATTTCTCCACTTCACATCACTTGTCAGTGTCAAACATTTTTCTAGAAAATTCTGTTAAGTAGAACATCCGTATTAGTAAGACAGTGTAGTATGATCAAATTACAGAATGCTTGATCTTTTGTACTCCTAACCAGTGTAACCTGTGGCCACTCTTTTTCAACATATCCTTAGGTGTTTGTGTTACTAAGGTACTCATCACCAAACACTTTACCAAGTCAAATGTGCCATTTATTAGGTTTTTGAAATTTTTAGTATTCCCTGCACTTCTTAAATCTCTTTTTCTTTGCCGCTTACCATTTCCATGACCTTGGGCACATTACTGAAACTTTCCAAGCCTTAGTTTCTTCATTCATAAAATAGAGATAGTAAGACTCATTTCACAGATTTGTGAGGATTGCATGAGGTATCTGCAAAGGTGCTTTCTAAACTATAATTTATCGTACAGTTGTAAGGAGGTATGGTGAAGGTGTTCGTCAGAGGCCAGTTTGGTTGTGACTTTGATAGAGTTGTGTTTAAATAATCTTGGTTAGGGTGGGGCATGGTGGCTCACGCCTGTAATCCCAACGCTTTGAGAGGCCAAGGTGGGCAGATCACCTGAGGTTAGGAGTTCAAGACCATCTTGGCCAACATTGGTGAAACCCTGTCTCTACTAAAAATACAAAAATTAGCTGGGCGTAGTGGCATGCGCCTGTAATCCCAGCTACTCAAGATGCTGAGGCAAGAGAATCGCTTGAACCCGGAGGCGGAGATTGCAGTGAGCCAAGATTGCACCACTGCACTTCAGCCTGGAAGACAGAGCGAGAATCCATCTTAATAATAATAATAATAAATAATCTTGGTTAGACTTCAAGCCACACTGTGGCATTCTTTTACATTGAGTTAAGTGTAAACTACCTGGGACTGTGTTTAAATGGAGTATATAAACCGAAGGCATCCCCAGCTGGAGTTACCTGGATTAACTTTTTGCTGCAACTACTGGGGTCAACAGAAAGGGGTGACATTTCTCTTACAAGGAGCCCATGCCTAGATGTGGCTTCTTTCCTGTCTACTCAGAATAGGCTATGTGTGTCAGACCTAAGTCTTTTCCTACAAGTTGAGATTTTTTTTTTTCCTACAGGGTGTGAGAGTTGGGCTTTTGGCTGTGTATAGTTGGGGAGAATTATAGCTGTGGTGGTATGTGGCTTGGTTTACTTGGCGACTTCTCTTCCTAGGCTGCAGATCCTTCTAGGCCCTGACCTTCTTCTTTTTAGCTGCTTTTTTCAAGGTAAAGTAAGTAGTTAGTAGCACATGCTGGCCCAGGAGTCAGGTAGACCTGGATTTGAGCCCAGACCTCACTGCCTGCTCATGATCTCAGTAGGCTTCAGTTCCCTCATCTGTAAATGGGACTAACAAAAATACCCACCTCATAGGATTATTAATGGGCATTAGATAAGAAAATGGGTATATATTAAAATTTAGCATAGGGTCTGGTGAGTATTCAATATTTATGAATATTATGAATATGTATGAATATGGCTAGTGAGTAGCCAATATTTATATGTATTTATTTGTGAATTTATGTATCTCCTCTGGAGAGAGCATAACTAGTAAACATGGAAAAGCTTCAAAGCCTTAAATTTACCCATCATTGTTTATTGCTCCTGGTCTGTGGATTCTCTGCCTTCTCTCAGTGGTAACCCAAAGTACCTTTCACTTCTTGCTTTGCTGTTTCATTCTTTTCTTTTTTTCTTTTTTTTTTTTTTTGGAGATGGAGTCTTGCTCTATCACCCAGGCTGGAGTGCAGTGGCACAATTATGGCTCACTGTAACCTCTGCCTTCCGGGTTCAAGTGATTCTCCTGCCTCAGCCTCCTGAGTAGCTGGGATTACAGGTGTGCACCACCACACCTGGCTAATTTTTGTATTTTTAGTAGAGATGAGGTTTCACTATGTTGGTCAGGCTGGTCTTGAACTCCTGACCTCAGGTGATCTGCCTGTCTCAGCCTCCCAAAGTTCTGGGATTACAGGCATGAGCTACCATGCCCAGCCTTCTCTTTCATTCTTGTGGGTGGTTCTCACCAACCTTGTTTTGTCCTCAGACTCTTCCCCTTTTCTAGGTGAAACCAACCCCTTCCTCCACGAAAGCCTCTTTCCTCAGGACAGAGCTGACTTTTAAATTGGTTGGTTGAATTTGGGGTTTTGTGGGCTAGGTATCCTTAAAATCATTTCTAGCAGCCTCAAAATGGTCTGCCTTGAATCTCATGTCTTTATGTCATGGGGAATGACAGCCTTTTCTCCCTTCTTTCTTCTTCATTGTGTTGGAAAGTGTCCTCCCAGTTTCTATTGGCAAGTCTTCATTTGAGTAAATTCCAATCTTAATCTACTTCAAATATATATTGAATCATTATCTGCTTCAAAAATATAATGAAAACTGGTCAGGCATGGTGGCTCATACTTGTAATCCCAGCACTTTGGGAGGCCGAGGAGGGCAGATCACCTGAGGTCAAGAATTTGAGACCAGCCTGATTAGCTGGGCATGGTGGTGCGTGCCTGTAGTCCCAGCTACTCAGGAGGCTGAGGCAAGAGAATCGCCTGAACCGAGGAGGTGGAGGTTGCAGTGAGCCTAGATCGCACCACTGCACTCCAGCCTGGGTGACAGAGCAAGGCTCCTTTTCAAAACAAACAAAAATATATATATATATAAAACGAAAACCTTCAAATGCATAAAAAGCGTATGAAGAAAAATACAACACACACCCTGGTACCCACCCCTCAGCTGGTTAACGGCCTTCATTTTTCTCAGAAGTCAGCACCTGTTAGAACCTGACAGGCAGCCTGGCCCGTCTCTCCCTGTAGTGTGTTCATCCGGTCCTGGTGTGCGTGTGTGTCACCCTGTGTTAGGCCACCAGCTTCAAGTCAGCTCTTTGACCTGAGTTAAAATTCAACTTCTTGATTTGATGATTGATTAAAGAATTCTCAGAACATCCAGTATTTATGCAATCTTAATGTACACGTGGCCTCTAAGGAGGAAAAACAGTAATAACCACATACTCCTGGGTGTTATATTAGATGACAGATCTTTCTTACACAGCTGCATGTTTGTTCTCGACAGCGAATCCCCTGAGGTGGTACTGCAGGTGGTAGATCAGGTCCCCTTTTACAAAGGAGAAGCAGCCATGGTGGATGAGTCCAGAACGTGCAGCCTCAGTTTTATTTTCTTTGATTTGGGTACTTGTCTCCTATAGTTCTTTTTTTTTTTTTTTTTGAGACGGAGTGTCACTCACACTGTCATCCAGGCTGGAGTCAGTGGTGTGATCTTGGCTCACTGCAACTTCCACCTCCCAGGTTTAAGCAATTCTCCTCCCTCAGCCTCCCGAGTAGCTGGGATTATAGGCATGCGCCACCATGCCTGGCTAATTTTTGTATTTTTTTAGTAGAGATGGGGTTTCACCATGTTGGCCAGGCTGATCTCAAACTCCTGACCTCAAGTGATCCATCTGCCTCCACCTCCCAAAGTGCTGGGATTACGGGCGTGAGCCACTGTGCCTGGCCACTCAAATAGTCTTGTTTTAAGAACAAATATTATCATTTCTATAAATAGAAAACAACATTTGTTATAAATAAGAAGAACTTCTGGGCGTGGTGGCTCATGCCTGTAATCCCAGCAATTTGGGAGGCTCAGGTGAGAGGATCACTTGAGGCCAGGAGTTTGAGACTAGCGAGAGCAACATAATGAGACCCTTATCTCTCAAAAAAAAAAAAGCTAGACATGGTGGTGTGCGCCTATAGTCCCAGCTACTCAGGAAGCTGAGGTGGAAGGATTGCTTGAGCCTAGGAGTTCAAGACTGCAGTAAGCCAAGATTTCTCTACTGCACTCCATCACTCCACCCTGGGTGACAGAGCAAGGCCCTGACTCTTAAAAGAAAAGAACCATATAAATACTCAGTGAAAAACCAAACAATCTTATTAAATCCAGAGGCAGATCTTGTTGCTAGCAAATATATTGATTCTGAGGCTGCCGTCACTTTGGCACCTAGTTAGAAAATGGTCTTAAAGACAGAGTAGCACCAAACTTCAACTTTCTTCTCAAGGCCAGCAGAAGAACTTTTAACAGAATAAAAAATGGAACAACTTTTTTATTTTGGGACTTAATGTTTAATGCTACATATGTGGACTACCTAAAATTATCTTGTTTTCTGCCAGTAGTTTATGTGCTGCTCTAAGTGATAGCAGATCAACTGTCAAATCTCTGTGGATTAACATAGTAAAGGTTTATTTCCTGCTCATGCTACATGTCTAAAATGGGGGTGGGGTAAGGGCAGAGGGCAGGCTCCTCGACATAGTTACTGCTGCTCCACATAGCCACTCAGTTACCTAGGCTGAAGGAGGTTCTACCATCTTGCCAGTGCATCATGATAGAAGAAAAGCTATGGATCAGGCATGGTGGCTCACACCTGTAACCCCAACGATTTGGGAGGCCGAGGTGGGAGGATCACTTGAACCCAGGAGTTCAAGACCAGCCTGGGCAACATAGTGAAACCTTGTGTCTACAAAAAATAATAATAAAATTAGCCAGGCATCGTGGTGTACACCTGTAGTCCCAGCTACTCAAGAGGCTGTGGTGGGAGGATCACTTGAGCCCAGGAGGTCAAGGCTGCAGAGAGCCATGATCATACCACTGCACTCCAGCCTAGGTGACAGAAACTCTGTCTCAAAAAAAAAAAAGAGAGAGGTTATACAGAACTGACACCTATTCTCTACTTTGCCTGGAAGTAATCGCCTCATTTCTCCTCAGTCCATTGGCCGGTATTGGTCATATGGCCTCACCTAAGTGTATGGGGGCCAGGAAGTATACAAGAGCACATGGGATATTTGGTGACCATTGCTGTCTCTGCTACATCTGTCTCTGCGATCTCAGGCTGGTCTGGATGTATCTAGATGAAGAATGGATGTGGGCAATTTTTGTTTGAAGAAGCTAATGATTATGTATGTGGTAGTTTGTAATTTATTAATATTACAATAATAAGCAAATGTAGGTGGTCAGATGTGTCAGGCCATTCCTTGGTAATCGTGTCTCCTTTCTTGAAGTTTCATTAAAGAACGATCAAAAGTCAACACAGTTCCTCTGAAGAATAAGAAGGCCTCCAGTTTTCATGAGTTTGCACGGAATACCAGTGATGCTTGGGACATTGGCGATGATGAGGAAGAGGACTTTTCCTCACCTTCTTTCCAAACTCTGAACTCAAAAGTTGCTTTGGCAACTGCAGCCCAAGTTCTAGAAAACCACAGCAAGCTGAGAGTAAAACCAGAACGGTCCCAGTCAACGACATCGGACGTCCCTGCCAACTACAAGGTCATAAAGTCCAGCAGTGATGCCCAGCTGTCCAGAAACTCTAGTAAGTCCTTCCTGCTCCCTTCATAGCCTCAGCCTTCTCAGCAGCGTGCATTTTAAATAAAAGCGATTTTTCTTTGGGGCCTCACTCAGGTAGATATTCAACTGGGCGGTAAATAAACTCAAGCCTGAGATGTGACATCATTAAGCCTGAGTGGTCACAAGCTATACTTGCCCCTCCCACAGTGGTGGCTGCCCAGTCTGGTGACCTGGGCCTTCACTCTCTGACACCCAGGTGTTGTTTGCCATTCTCCTCTTCTCTTCTTCCTTTCCCTGTGGTGGAGTCCACAACTTCTCTGGTTTGATTGCTTCACATTGCTTTAGGCCTGGTCAGGTTTAGAAATAGTAACTGATGTATTTAAAGCTGTTAGTGGCTGAATTTCACAATTGTTTGGCACTGTGGTTTGACTTTCTCAGCCCTAGGGAACAGCCACTAGCATAAGGTTGTCTTTTCCTGTTCCTGAGGGAGGGAGCAAATGTGCCTAAAGGCCCCAGGTCCCAGCTTCCTGACCATCAGGCAGGTCCCATCAGGTTGGGTGGGGTAGAAGTAGAGGCCTCTCTGTTTCTTTTCGGGAAACTGGCCACAGTAATGGTTGATGTGTTGGTGGTTTTATTAGCTTTTGGGGACTCTCAGTGTATTCCTTTAAATATTCATGGTTATGTTTAATGTTGCCCTAATGGGTTTTATAAAGTATGTTGGGAGCTGGAGAGGGAAGCTTTGTCATCGCAGTGAGAGTTAAAGCAGTGAGCTGGTACAGGATGAAAAGGAAGTAGAAGAACATCAGAGCCCTGGAGTGTACCCTGGCTCATGTTCTGAGGGAACTTTTTCGTGGCTGTAAGGTCTTTGCAATCATTGCACAGTTATTTTCCATCACTGATTTGGGCTCTAGCATGAACCTTCAGTGCCATGCACAGATAGGCATTCAGTGTTACTGGACCAGGTGGCCACAGCTGCAGGCCGTGGAAGGTGTCTACACACTGTGATGGAGGGTCTCCAGAGGTTTCCAGTGTGAGGAAGGCCCCTACCGTGATCCATGATGAGCTGCCCTGTGCAGCCAGGACCTCCCCCGCCCAGCCCAGAGCATTCTCCCTGAGGAGGTTTTCTCCTGCCGGCATCTGTCTGTAAATAGGTAATATGAGATTTACCTCTGTCTCAGCTTTGCAGTGTGTGTCTGCATTTTCTAGTCCCCTTGTTACACTAGGCGTCCCAGCCAACTGCCTCATGGAAGTTGTTTTTGTAAACCTTCTAGTAGTGCTGGTTGGTTGATAGTCACTGCATCTGTCTGTAAATAGGTAATATGAAATTTACCTCTGTCTCAGCTTTGCAGTGTGTGTCTGCATTTTCTAGTCCCCTCGTTACACTAGGCATCCCAGCCAACTGCCTCGTGGAAGTTGTTTTTGTAAACCTTCTAGTAGTGCTGGTTGGTTGATAGTCACTGTTTAATTTTTGTTGTGACTACTACTTTTTAAGGCCCAGCCGTGTAAAGAATATGAAACAGTCATGTAAGCACAGCTAGAATTAAAAACTGAGTTTTGCTTGTGGTAATACAAGAGTTTTAGAGTCAGGCTTACCTAAGGTGGTTTTTCACTTCTCACTTGCAAGTTATTTAACCTCCCTGAGCTGCAGTTTCTTGTCTGTAAAATAGTTATACATTCCTACCATATGTTCTAAGGATCAAATGAGAGATCATATGTAAAAGTGACCTATATGCCTTATACATATGAAGCACTCAATATACGTGAGTCCTCTACTGCTTATTCCCCCTACCCACTATCTAGTGTAGAAATGTCAAGAACAAGACAGAGTTCAGTTTGAGTCTTTGTTTGTTATTTCAGTCATATCTTGGCAGAATTAAGAACTGGTTGATTTTGGTGGGAAATGTAGGAGCACAAAGGAACCGCAGCCACCAAAGGCAGGATTGCCTTAGGCCAGAGCTTCTCACCATTGTGCAGGGCACACTGGTGGGCCAAGAACCGGGTACAGGATGTGCGGGGATATTGATCCTTTTAGTCCTTGGAGCAGCTGGGGGTTCTGGGGCTTGTGGAGAGCAACCACCTCCATTTATTGCAGCCTTGTGCTTTGTGGTGTCATCTGCAGTGTCATCATTCCTTATGTGCTCTGTGGTGTGGAATGGGAAGGAAAACACTGCCTTAGACTAAACTAAACTCACTATTTGGCACCAAGAAAAGTTCCAAGTTAGGGTAGAAAGAAAACATTTGATTTTCCTTTAGAGTCACCAAAAAAGTTCTCAAAAGTTGCTGCAGCATCTGGAGTCTCTGTTAGCACCTTTAGAGTCACCAAAAAAGTTCTCAAAAGTTGCTGCAGCATCTGGCGTCTCTGTTACCACCTAAGGTGCCTTGGTGTGTTTGATATAAATGCAGCCCTTTCTCTGGGCAGTGAATGGGGTGTGGCTGGGTTCTGGCCCCTCGCTGCCCTTCAGCTGGGCACCTCAGACAGTGCACACAGGCAGCCACACCCTTGGGGAGGAAACACAATGCTGAACGGTTAGGTTTAAGGCTTCTCAGAATCCATACTCCTCACACAGCCCGTTCTCTTTCTTTTTCAAATGATCTCAGGTGATACATGCCTGAGGAACCCACTCCACAAACAGCAATCACTCCCTCTCCGGCCCATCATCCCCCTCGTTGCCCGGATCTCGGATCAGAACGCTTCTGGGGCCCCCCCAATGACTGTCCGGGAGAAAACCCGCCTAGAAAAATTCCGTCAACTTCTCTCCAGCCAGAACACTGACTTAGGTGAGTCCCTGTGAGCCCAGGCAAGGTAGGAGCTTTGGGTGACTGGAATTCTCAGAGACCTGGAAGCTACTGCTCTTTATTCTTCCTTCTTTTACTTTTCTAGCTTCTCCTGACCTGGTGCCCATTGCAGTGACATGCAGGTATTAAGTCAGACATATGTTACTAGAGATTATGGACCAAATTAGGTGGGACTGGTTTCTGTGGCCTGTAGACCCTAGTGCAACTATTCTGACTTTGGTCTTCCTTATCTCAAGGTGACTCTTACTGAAATCTACACCCACTGGTCTTTCCCTTCCCCTCTAACTTTCATCTCTGAGCTGACAGGACTGCTACTGCAAGGCCGTGTCCTTGGCACTTAGCTGCTCGGGGCTGTTTTGGGCTTTTCACTGTGCTTATGGGTAGCAGGTGGTGGTGGTGGTCTTACATGGATGGAAGGAGACATCAGGCAGTGCTGGTTGCGGTTTGCTTTAGAGCATTTGTGGAGAGTTAACCTAACAAGGCTGTTTTCTATTTACAGATGAACTGAGGAAGTGTAGCTGGCCAGGGGTTCCCAGGGAGGTTCGACCTATAACCTGGAGACTCCTGTCGGTGAGTTCTACCCACTGTGTAGAGAAATGTGAGCCTCACACAGCCCTTCTTGCCTGATGAGGTTAGTCTGGACACATTGGTCTTAACTCCATAGACTTCTCTAGTCCTACTGGATATGACAGAACTATGGGACTATAGTCCTATTTCTGTGCATAAAGAAATACATTCTTGAGAGTTTATTCACACACATGTAGTGGTACACAGACTTGTACCAATAGTCATGGTGTCATGTTCTTAACAGCGAGGAAGAAGAATAGAGTGAGATAGGGTGATCCCAGCACTTGCTTTGAGTAAGCTCCAACGTTCCCTGTGCTTCACTCCTGTTTCAGCCGGAATAACCAAAAGTTGAAACCCACTTTGATCTGTGAAGAGTTGATAAATTGGCCTCCCTTGGAAGCTTTACTAGTCCTGCTTTCACCAAGTACAGAGCACTGTGCCAGCCGCTATGATAGAAACACTTGGGTTTCCTGAGCCTGTAAAATTCATTCATTCATCTAGTGAGGATTTATTGAGAGCCTGCTGTTTGCCAGGCATAGTGCCAGATGCTTTGAGCAGATGCAAAAATGAATAAACCACAGTCCCCACTCTCCAGGCACTCACTGCAGAATGCATTACATAAATGTTTTCAAGAAGAAGGGTCTGTCTCCTGACTGCTCGCCCCCACCTCTACTCTTGCAACCATGCAATCATTGCCTCTGCCACTTCTAATAAGTTTGAATACTATTCAGAGTAGATTTGGTGAGAACGGAAGGGGAACAGAAAATATAAGAATGAGAGTGGGATCTAGACCAGGGATAAGAATGAAAGTTGGCCTGGAGCTTTGGCTAGGCCGGGGGCTGCTGCCAGAAGTTCTGTCTGAGTGTTGTAGCTGTATGTCACAGATTCCATTCAGCTGCTTCCTAAGCTGGTAATTCTGAAAGTTACACTGGAAAAGAATGTAACTGGCACCAACTTACTTGGCACACTGCTGAGATGTGCTGTAGAGGTTGCTATATCCCTGCATTTCTCAGAAGTATGGCCCTGGACACACACAGCCCTCCGAGGCCATGACTTGGGTCCAGCTCCCTCCCACTGACCTACATTCACTGCTGTACTGTGCCAGCTCTGGGAGCTGAGGAGTGCTCACCAGTGGCACAAGCTCCAGCACAGTGCAGGGCCAAGGGAGTAAATAATCCTGGGAAAGCTGGCCTTGCTTCATCTGCTCACATGTGGATCTCATTGAATGAGGAGAGGGCAAAAAATGGGTGGCCAGAACCAAAAAGGGATTTACCCTTGGCAGTTTTCCTTCTTGGTAGTTTCCAAACCACTGCATAGATTAAAATAAAAATTAAGGATTTATCCAACCATTGTCTTTCCCCATCTGACCAGCAGTCTTGTCTATAGGGCTATCTCCCAGCAAACACTGAGAGGAGGAAGTTGACCCTGCAGCGGAAGCGGGAGGAATATTTTGGCTTCATTGAACAGTATTATGACTCTCGAAACGAGGAACATCACCAGGATACCTACAGACAGGTACAGTCACCACCTGCTGCCTCTTTGCTTACCAGTCATATACTTTAGGTATGTCTCATGGTAGTGCTCTCAGGGTACAGGCTTTCCAAGTCTTCAGGCTGTGGTATATTGGTTAGGAGTTAAATTTATCCTCAAAACTGTTTCCCCTCTTTTCATTCAGCAACTCTGATTTTAGCCATTTTAAATAGACAGACTTTTTTGGCACTAGTCAGTGCACTGCTTCTCAAACTTTAATGTACATACAAATCACCTAGGATCTTGATAAGATCTCACCTAGAGATTATGAGAAAATGCAGATTCTGATTTAGCAGGTCTCAGGTAAAGCCTGAAGTTCTGATGTGCTCCCTTGCAATGCTGCTGCTGCTGGTCCACCAACCACACTGTGAGTAGTAAGCGTTATCGAGCATGGAGAGGAAAGACAAGCTTACCTAGCCGTGGTCCAGTCCCTCTGGACTATGACATCAGTATGTCTTCCTGGCAGCTGCACTGCTGTTTTGGCATCTGTGACTGTAGGAGCTGTAGCTTTCAGTAGTCTTGTCAGGGAGTCTTCTGTCATTGCCCATAATGGTCCTCATGGTCTGCGGAAAGGTCTGCTCCCAACATCACATGTGGAGGGAGGAGAAGAGTAGGCCAGGGGTTGCAGAAAGTGGAAGGTGGGCAGCTATTTACAACAAGCCTCAAGAACTGAAGTAGCCTCTGCTGCTGCTGCTGCTGACACAGTCTTTTGCATAGTTAGACTGGGCACTGGGAAATCCCTGAGTTGAAATGGACTATAGTGATGTCTTAGGTAACAGAAGTAAGAACTTTCAGCTTCAGTTACTGAAGGCCAACTCCTTTTGGTCCTTCCCCACTTTTTTTTTTTTTTTTTTTTTTTTTTTGAGATGGAGTCTCACTCTGTCGTCCAGGCTGGAGTGCAGTGGCGTGATCTTGGCTCACTGCAGCCCCCACCTCCTGGATTCAGGTGATTCTCCTGCCTCGGCTTCCTGAGTAGCTGGGATTACAGGCATGTGCCACCAGGCCCGGCTAATTTTTTCTTTATCTTTTTTGAGACCGAGTCTTTTTCTGTCACTTAGGCTGGAGTGCAGTGGCGCAATCTCGGCTTGCTCCAGCCTTTGTCCGCTGGGTTCCAGCGATTCTCCTGCCTCACCCTCCTGGATAGCTGGGATTACAGGCGCACACCACCACACCCAGCTAATTTTTGTAATTTTAGTAGAGATGGGGTTTCGCCATGTTGGCCAGGCTGGTCTTGAACTCCTGGCCTCAGGTGATCCACCCACCTTGGCCTCCCAAAGTGCTGGGATTACAGGTATGAGCCACCATGTAATTTTTGTAATTTTAGTGGAGACGGGGTTTCACCATGTTGGCCAGGCTGGTCTCAAACTCCTGACCTCAAGTGATCCACCCGCCTCAGCCTCCCAAAGTGCTGGGATCACAGGCGTGAGCCATCGCCCTGGCCCTTCCCCGCTTCTTACACATCATGACTTCATAAGCAAGTTCATCTCTGGTTCCCTATTTTAGGACATTTTTGCAGCTTTCTGAGCTCTTCTAGTTCTTAGGAACTGTTGATGAGTAAGATTCTGAAAGATGGGTACCTACTTGGATCATACCTGCTACATACATGCCAGCCCAGAGTGAAACAGACTTCAGAGCAATAAGAAAAAACCCTTAATCTGTGAAGCCTATTGCCATTTGACTTTAGTGGTTTCTTTTGGGAGGTTTCCTCACTGTTTAATAAGCTATTGTTGTCATGGAAACATGTTCCACATGGGCAGGTAGGTATAACTAGATTTTTTTCCTGTGTCAGTCACTTCTTTCTGAAGATAAATTGTGTTTTCTTACTACTTTGATTTCCATTTCTTTTTTTTTTTTGAGACAGAGTCTTGCTCTGTCGCCCAGGCTGGAGTGCAGTGGCCCGATCTCGGCTCACTGCAAGCTCCACCTCCCGGGTTCACACCATTCTCCTGCCTCGGCCTCCCGAGTAGCTGGGACTACAGGCACCCGCCACCACGCCCGGCTAATTTTTTGTATTTTTAGTAGAGACAGGGTTTCACCGTGTTAGCCAGGATGGTCTCGATCTCCTGACCTCATGATCCGCCCGGCTTGGCCTCCCAAAGTGCTGGGATTACAGGCGTGAGCCACCGCACCCAGCCAGATGATTCCCATTTCTTTAAAAAAAAATTGTCAAAAGAACAAACTGGGCCAGGCACGGTGGCTCACACCTGCAATCCCAGCACTTTGGCAGGCCAAGGCGGGTGGGTCACCTGAGGTCAAGAGTTCGAGATCAGCCTGGTCAACATGGTGAAACCCCGTCTCTACTAAAAATGCAAAAATTAGCCAGGCCTGGTGGCAGGTGCCTGTAATCCCAGCTACTTGGGAGGCTGAGGCAGGAGAATCGCTTGAACCCTGGAGGCAGAGGTTGCAGTGAGCTGAGATAGTGCCATTGCACTCCAGCCTGGGGGACAAGAGCGAGACTTCATCTCAAAAAAACAAAAACAAAAAAAAACTGGCATTTGTGTTTTTGGACATGCCTTCTCTTTTTCAGATTCACATTGACATTCCAAGGACGAATCCTCTCATTCCGTTGTTCCAGCAACCACTTGTACAGGAGGTGAGGGAATTACTTAATGTTCTTTGGCGCTTCTCCCCGCATAGTTCTGTGGCACCTGTTTACAGGTTTGCGGCTAATCATAATAGTACCTTATGTTCATATATGCAGCTTTGGTTCCTTCAGAGCATGGTTTCATACATTTTCATTTGATCTTTGTTACAAATCTGTGAGCGGAATAACACTTTGAAAGGCTAAGGAACTTGCTCAGAATTTTGAGGCTACCTGGTGGCAGAATGAAGAACCCACATCTTAGAATTCCTATTCCTGTATTTGCTCTACTTTATCAAGCTGGAAGTAGTGATTTTTTAAATTGTGGTAAAATATACATAATATAAAATTTACTGTGTTAACCATTTTTTAGTGTACAGTTCAGTGGCATTAAGTACAGTCACGTTATTGTATGACCATCATCACCATCCACTTCCAGAACATTTTTCATCTTCCCAAACTGGAACTCTGTATCCATTAAATATTAACTCTCTTCTGCAGCCTCCATTCTATTTGTCTCTAAGAATTTGACTACTCCAGGCAGCTCAAATAAGTGGAATCATACAATATTTGTCCTTCTGTGACTGGCTTATTTCACTTAGCATAATATCTTTAAGGTTCATCCCTGTTGTTGCATGTGTGAATTTCCTTTTTTAAGGCTGAGTAATATTCCGTTGTACATATGTAACACATATTGTTGAGCTGTTCATCTATCAGTGGACACATGGGTTGCTTTCACCTTTTGGCTATTGTGAGTAATGCTGCTGCTAGTATGGGTATGTGAATATCTGTTTGAGTCTCTGTTTTAAATTCTTTTGGGTATATATTTAGAAGTGGGAGTAGTAGTTATATTTTGAGACCTAACAAGTTAATGAAGTACATGGAAGGTGTCAGTGGGGCTATTATGTTTTGACTCAAGCAGTAACTGTAAACTTCTTAAGATTAGGGATTTCCTTTGCAACTTTACAGTAGCCAGGACACTAAGTACTAGTGCTCTTTTAACGGAACTTTCAGTTCTCATAGTAGAGAGGGATGGTGGTTAAAATGCTGAAAATAATTTCTATTTGACTTTGGGTTATATTTATAATTTTGTTTAAATATAGATGTCTCCACTGGTGGGGTCCCTCATGTCTTACCCATAGCATAAAGAAGATTTTGAAGGTAACATCATTATTTTAACTATAAGATTCAGCTCACAGGAAGCTAAAAACCCATTCATGATCCCTTTATCCTCCCATACAGTTTTCCATGGCTCAGCACTGCTTATTCCTCATTTTAACTTGGAGATGTTCAGAGACTTTTCTTTTACCTGTGCATGCTTACTCTGAATTTGGAGATGAGGAAAGTAGTCAGTTTAAAAGGCTTCTCAGCCAGGCGTGATGACTCACTCCTATAATCCCAGCACTTTGGGAGGCCAAGGCCAGAGGGATTGCTTGAGCCCACGAGTTTGAGACCAGCCTGAGCCTAGGAGTTTGAGACCAGTCTGGGTAACATAGCAAGACCCTGTCTCAAAAAAATTACAGAATTAGCCAGGCATGGTGGTGTGTGCCTGTGCTACTGTGCCTGTGCTACTTGGGAGGCTGAGGAGGGAGGATCTCTTGAGCCCAGGTGGTCAAAGCTGCAATGAGCCATGATCGTGCTACTGCACTCCAGCCTGGGTGACAGAGCAAGATCCTGTCTCAAAAAAAAAAAAAAAAAGAGGTTGGGGGGTGGTGGCTTCTTTTAGTAGTGCATCCTGAATACAATATGGGAACTCAAACTTTATTCTCCCCAATTTTTCCTGAATGACCATTTCATCTAGCAGGCTACAGTCATCTTTTAAATTTTTTTTATTTTAACTTTTTAAGAGACAGGGTCTCACTCTGTCACCCAGGCTAGAGTGCAGTGGCATGATCATAGCTCACTGCAACCTCTACTCCCCGGGCTCAAGCAGTCCTCCTGCCTCAGCCTCCCAAGTAGCTGGGGCTGCAATCATGCACCACCACACCTGGCTAATTTTTTTTCTCATAATTTTTTGTAGAGATGGGGTCTTGCTTTGTTGCCCAGGACTGGTCTCGAACCCCTGGCCTCAAGCAATTCTTTCTGCTTCTGCCTCTCAAAATGCTGGAATTACAAGGCGTGAGCCACCATCCAGGCTGGTAAAAATGCCAACCAAGAAGCAAAGAACTAAGTAACACTGAATACGGAAAGGCTTGCTTTGAAAACCTGAAAGATACTTGATAATTGCCTATAGTATGTAAGAATTACCCACACTAGTAGAAGAGACATTGGAAGACCTCCAGCGGTTCTCCTATCCACTCCTCTCTATAAGGCAGGATTATCCCAGACTTTTTCTATAGCGAACATCCCATGGTCTCCCCTGATTACCAGGCTTGGTGCTCTTCAGTTTCCATCTCTTTGACCACTTCACTTGTACCATGTGAGTGTGTCTGTGTTGTTCCACCCTGACTAGAGAGGATGATCACAGGTCTCCTGATTCTGAACAGCTAGCTTCCATGTACTTGGCCATTGTTACAGCCAGGCGCCAAGGATTTGAGTATTTACAAGGGGCTGATCCTATAGAGTAGAAGCCCTTCTAAGTCCTTTGGAAAGACCAACCTGGAGGAGCTTTTTAATAGAGGCATCTAGACAGACCCAGGTCACAAGAAGTGCAAAGAAAGAGAGTGAGGCAGGGAATTATTGAGATTTTCCTGAAAACGATGGTTCTAGCTTTGGCTGTATTTTCAAGATAGAGGGATCATTTAGCAACAGAGAGGAAATAGAGTGTAAGAGCGTTCCCATTAGAGTGTTGGGCCGAATGCAAATGAGGGTGCTATGCCTTTTCCTCAACTACACAAAGCAAATGGGTAGGTCTAGTGAAGGCAGAGAGGCCAGCTCCCTTCCAGGAAAGGCTTTGTTCTCACTACCTATGAAGGCAGCAGTGTTGACAGTGAAAGAAACCGTTTCTCAGCTCTGTTTGCCCGCTGTAGGCACAACGATCTATGACAGAGAGGCTGGGAAGCATCCTTTATGTCTCTAGATTCTCTGTGTCCCTCCTACACTAGATAACCATCTCCAAAAACCATATAACCATTTCCTGTTTGTTGGTCTCCCTGGGAGGTTTTTCTGCCTTCCACCTGCTTGAGAGGGCCTCTTCAATCTGATGCAGTGGTGACTGGCTGAGATTCTCCCAAGTCCACATGCTTTCTAATCTCCTACCCTATCATCTGCATGTACTCACATCACCTCTGCCATCTCTCTGGTGTGGTTCTCAGAGGCATGAGGCAGCCCAGTCAAAGCCAGTCTCAAGAATGTGTCAGACTTGGGAATTGTGGTCACCAGGATGAAACCAGGCAATGGGTATTATCAGGTTGAGAGAAGATGGGGAGAAGCTCAGAGGGCCTAATGAAAGCGAGGGGAGTATAGTTGAGTGGGACAGGGCATGATTATGTAAAGGGACCATAAAGATCTTTCCTTTGTCCCCAGTGTAGGCCTCTGGCTTCTTATGGCTAATATGCTAAACCCCAGGGCCTTTCCCATGGGGCCCTGGCTGGTTTCTCTGTTCTCAAATTCCCAGCTATAGGAGTCCATAGGATTTTGTTTGACTTCCTATCCTTAGCAAACATCTGAGTTGTATCCTGATATGTGAACTGACTTCCTGCAATGTGCAGTCTGTCACTTGGTCCTAGTCAGGCTGGGTTAGAATTAAATCAAGACCACCTTTCTTCTCAGGCAGGGAGAGGGGAGGGTGGTAGAAAAGGTATTTCCTGTCTAAATCCTATAATGACCAAAAAAAAAAAAATTTAGAAAAAAGCATCAGAACTGGGATGTCCTGATATCTTGCTCTTGGAAATAGGAAACCATATCTACAGATGAGAATGTGGTGGCCTGAATTAACAGCATTCATCCCAAATGTTTTCTAAGGCATTTGGGTTTGCTGTTCTTTCCTTCTCCCAATTTTATATTGTGGTGACCAGATAATGAAAAAATGAATAAAGGGCAAGAAGTATCTACCCCTACTTGAAAACAATTAGTGTATTTAGAAACTTTTTGCATTTATATACTTCTTTATCCCACAGTATCTTAAAATTTTCCTAAAAATTCTACACCAACCTGGAGGTAAATTGTGAAGTAGGTAAACGGAGGGAAGGAGTGTGTGTCCCCGTGATTTAACACTCGTGTCTTTCTTTCTCATTTTCCTAGATCTTTGAAAGAATTCTATTTATTTGGGCCATCCGCCACCCTGCCAGTGGGTATGTCCAGGGAATTAATGACCTGGTCACTCCATTCTTTGTCGTCTTCCTCTCAGAATATGTGGGTAAGAAGCATTAGTACCAAGCTGAACAAGCTATTGCTCTTTCTTATCTGCCGTCTGTCTGTTTGTTTTTCCCAAGAGTCCAGCCAGTAGGTATGTCTTGCTAGAAAATAGAGAGTGCCTTTGGCATACACAGCTAAAACTACTTTTAACAGCGGTTGCTGCCTGGAATTTATCTCTTAAGATGGTCACAGATCTCACCTAAAAAGACCTGCTTTGTCACAAGAATGACCACATTGATATGTTTTGTGGTTTGATGGTTTATTTGAGATTATTTTAGGATTATTTTGAACTTGTTTCCGACATAGGCCCTCATCCATGTAAACTGGAATTTTAGATTGGACATCAAGCCTGCACACTCCAGTTCACTTGCTGTATCTTAGGAGCAGGATGTGGACGTGCAGAGGACAAAAGATTGTGGCACCAGAACACAGCACATACGGGAAGTGATGGAATGGGCCAAGGAGGACTCCAGGACCTTGATTTCTCCCCACTCCTTCTTCACCTCTCACCCCATTGGGTTCTTGTCACTTTGGAGAGAGATTAGATTTCATGGCAGCAGGTGGGTTTTCTTGTAGTCCCAGCCTCTGCCAGCCAGCCTAAGTTAAGCAGAGTCTTAAAGGAGTTGAGGATCCTGTGTTTCTCTGTTTTGGTTTCCTTAATCACTTGTGCTGAGAGAGTCACAGGAAAACCCATCTGCCATGGCCTGATGCTTTGTTTCCTTAGGTAAGGAGAACCTCATGTAGGAATAAGAACATCGAAAGGATCTTAGAAAGCCATTCATGTAATCCCTCATTTCACTGAGAAGTTGTGAGATTCTCTGTCTCCTTATTAGAGGCAGAGCTAGAACTAAAACCATTTTCTTTAGACTCTGAGGGTAGTGGATGATTGTGGTTTTTGGAGGAAGCCATTTGGAGGGGTTAGAGGGTTGGGTAATGAGAAATGGGTGAGAGTGGAACCCTTTGGAGAGGAGAGCATAAGAAATGTCTCACTTGGCCTATCCTATCCAGGTTTTGCGATGGGGCTCAAAGGGATGATGAGGTCTTTCATGAGGCGATCTCAGAAAATTAAGAATTAAGGCAACTAAGAAAGCTTTTTCTAGAGGACTTTTTACATATCCTCCCCACCCCCCCGCCTTAATAGATCAACTTTTGGAAGCAGCGTAATTCTGCTGTGTGTTGTATAATTTTATCAAGAGAGCATTTCAGCTGATCTGTTGTGATTTTTTAGTTGCTTCTTGCAGTAGTAATTTTCTAAAATAGTATTGAAGAATGAGCCTAGGATGGTATTAATCCATTCATTAATCTACATTTGAAGTCTAAATGCTGTCATGAAATCTTGCTAACAGTGTTATGCCAGTTAAAAATAATCCTCAGCAGCTGTAGTTCTGATTAGTTATTTAATTATCTTCTTAGCTACCATTTATATTTTGTTCCAAGCATGTCTTCACTTTCTTCAAGTGCCCATCCCATTACTACCTCAACCCCATCAAGCAGTGTGCCTTCCTGGGATAGATATGACTGCTTTCTGATCTTGGTACAGGCATATCTTGTTTTATTGAGCTTTGTAGTTACTGCATTTTTATAAATTGAAGATTTGTGGCAACCCTGTGTTGAGCAAGTCTATCAGTGCCATTTTTCAAAAGCGTGTGTTCACTTTGTGTCTCTGTGTCACATTCTGATAATTCTCACAGTATTTTTAACTTTTCATTATTATTATTATTATTATTATTTTTTTTTTTGAGACAGAGTCTCGCTCTGTCGCCCAGGCTGGAGTGCAGTGGCGTGATCTCGGCTCACAGCAACCTCCGCTGCCCGGGTTCAAGCGATTCTTGTGCCTCAGCCTCCCGAGTAGCTGGGACTACAGGCGCCTGCCACCACGCCCGGCTAATTTTTTGTGTTTTTAGTAGAGATGGGGTTTCACCATGTTAGCCAGGATGGTCTCGATCTCCTGACCTCGTGATCCGCCCACCTCGGCCTCCCAAAGTGCTGGGATTACAGGCATCAGCCACCGTGCCTGGCCCAACTTTACATTATTATTATATCTGTCATGGTCATCTGTGATCAGCAAACTTTGATGTTACTATTGTAATTATTTCAGGGTGCCATGAACTGCCTCCATCTAAGACAGTGAACTTAATTTATAAGTGTTGTGTGTGTTCTGATTGCTCCACCAGCTGGTCCTTCCTCATCTCCCTCTCCTTGGGCCTCCCTATTCCCTGAGACACAACAATATTCAAATTAGGTCAATTAATAACCCTGCAAAGGCTTGTAAGTGTTCAAGGGAAAGGAAGAGTTACATGTCTCTCACTTTAAATCAAAAGCTATAAATGATTAAGCTTAGTGAAGAAGGTAGGTCAAAAGCTGAGACAGACTGAAAGCTATGCCTCTTGTGCCAGCATGCCTAATTGTGAGCAAAGGAAAAGTTCTTGAAGTAAAATTAAAAGTGCTACTCCAGTGAACACACAAATAGTAAGAGATCAAAATAGCCTTATTGCTGATATGGATAGAAGAATGAACTAGCCACAACATTCCCTTAATCCAGAGCTTAACCCAGAGCAAGGCCTTAATTCTCTTCACTTTCATAAAGGCTAAGAGAGGTGAGAAAGCTACAGAAGAAAAGTTTGAAGCTAGGAGAAGTTGGTTTTCATGAAGTTTAGGGAAAGAAGCCATCTCCATAACATGAAAGTGCATGGTGAAGCGACAAGTGCTGATGTAGAAGCTGCAGCAAATTGTCCGGAAGATCTAGTTAAGATCATTGATGAAGGCGGTACACTAAACAGCAGATTTTCAATATAGACAAAACAGTCTTCTATTGGAAAAAGATGCTATCTGGGACTTTCTTTTTTAAATTTAATTATTTTTTTAAGAGACAGTGGCATGATCATAGCACAGTGTAACCTTATACTCTGGCTAAAGCAATCCTCCTGCCCCTCCGAGTAGCTAGAACTGCAGATGCACACCCACCACACCCGGCTAACTTTATAAAAACAATTTTTGTAGAGAGGGGGGTCTTGGTATGTTGCCCAGGCTGGTCTTGAATTCCTGGTTCAAGTGGTCCTCCCATCTTGGCCTCCTGAGTAGTTGGGATTACAAGTACGTAGTAGCCACTATGGCCAGCCTGCCATCTAGGACTTTCATAGCTAGAGGGGAGTAGTCAATGTCTGGCTTCAAAGGACAGGCTGACACTCTTGTTAGGGGCTAAGGCAGCTGGTGACTTTAAGTTGAAGCCCGTGCTCATTTACCATTCCAAAAACCCTAGGGACCTTAAGAATTATGCAAAATATACTTTGCCTGTGCTTTATAAGTGGAACAACAAAGCTTAGATGACAGCACATCTGTTTATGGCATGATTTATTGAATATTTTGAGGCCACTGTTGAGACCTCTTGCTCACAAAAAAAGATTTCTTTTAAAATATCACTGTCCATTGACAATGAACCTAGACACCTGAGAGCTCTGATGGAAATGTACAAGGAGATTAATGTTTTCATACCTGCCAACACAGCGTCTGTTCTGCAGCCTGTGGATCAAGAAGTCATTTCAACTTATGAGTCTTATTATTTAAGAAATATATTTAGTTATTTAGTAAAGCTATAGCTGACATACTTTCTTGAGATGGAATCTACTCCTGGTGAAGATGCTGTGAACATTTGAAATGACAGGAAAAGATTTAGAATATTACATAAACTCAATTAGTAAAGCAGTGGCAGGATTTGAGAAGGTTGACTCCAATTTTTAAAAAAATTTTATTTATTTATTTATTTGGAGACAGGGTCCCACTCTGTTGCCCAGGCTGGAGTGCAGTGGTGTAATCATAGCTCAAACTGTAACCTCAAACTCCTGGGCTCAAGTGATCCTACTGCCTCAGCCTTCTGAGTAGGTGGGACTACAGGTGTGCGCCACCATACCCAGCCAATTTTTTTATTTTTTATAGAGATGGGGTTTTCATTGTGTTGCCCAGGCTGGTCTTCAATTCCTGGCCTCAAGCAGTCCTTTTGCCTTGGCCTCCCAAAGTCCTGAGAGTATAGGCGTGAGCTACCACACCTGGCCAGATTGACTTCATTTTTTAATTTTTTATTTTTTTCAGATAAATAGAAAGTCTGGTTTTATTTTAAGCTTTACATTTTTGTCAAGTGCAAGGTCAGCCAGCTAAGATTTCCAATAATTACTGAAGTAATAACTTCTGCTGGCATGTCTTCTGAGTCTCCGTTTCCTCCACTGATATTCATCCAAATAATAAGAGAAACACAATTGCAGTTGAGTTTACTATTATCAATGGCACTGTCATCAAGGTTCTTACAGATCAAATAAGGTTCATTAGCTGAGATTTAATTCCTGGCTCCTCTCCAAATCCATCGATTCCCTGGTCTCTTCCCCAGCCAAAGTTCCACATGGCTGGGGAGGCCTCACAATCATAGCAGAAGACAAATGAGGAGCAGAGTCATGTCTTACATGGTGGCAGGCAAGAGACTAACTTCAATTTTGGAAGAAGTTCTACCGTGGGTAAAATGCTATCAAACAGAGTCACATGCTACAGAGAAATCTTTTGTGAAAGGAAAAATCAATCAATGTGGCCAACTTCATTACTGTCTTGTTTAAGAAATTGTCACAGCCAGCCCAGCCTTTAGCAACCATCACCCTGGTCAGTCAGCAGCCATCAACATTGAGGCAAGATCCTCCACTAGCAAAAAGATTATGACTTGCTGAAGGCTCAGATGATTGTTAGCACTTTTTAACAATAAAATATTATTTACTAATTAGTGGGGTGTGGTGGCATGCACCTGTAATTCCAGCTACTGGAGAGGCTGAAGCAGGAGAACTGCTTGAACCCAGGAGGCAGATGTTGCAGTGAGCTGAGATCGCACCACTGTACTCCTGCCTGGGCAACAGAGGGAGACTCCATCTCAAAAAATAATAATAAATAAAAAATAAAGTATTATTTATTTGTTGATTGATTGATTAATTGAGACAGGATCTCACTCTGTCACCCAGGCTGGATTGATTGATTGATCGAGACAGGGTCTCACTCTGTCACCCAGGCTGGAGTGCAGTGGCATGATCATGGCTCATTGTAGCCTCAATCTGCTGGCTCAAGTGATCCTCTCACCTCAGCGTCCTGGATAGTTGGGACTACAGGGGAGTGCCATCACATTTGGCTAATTTTTTGTATTTTTTTTAGAGATAAATTTTTGCCACATTGCCGAGGCTCGTCTTGAACCCCTGAGCTCAAGCATCCTCCTGCCTCAGCTTCCCAAAGTGTTGGGATTACAGGCATGAGCCACCATGCCTGATCCTAGTCTTACCACCTCTCTCCATTCTCTACTCCCTCACCATTGTGAATTATTTTGAAGCAAATCTCAATGTCAAACATCGTATCATTTTATGCATAAATTTTTTATATGTATCTCTGAAAAGTATATATGTATACACACACACATACACACACGTGCACACACATATATATATATTATAATTTTTTGGTTTTTTTTTTGAGACAGTCTCACTCTGTCGCCCAGACTGGAGTGCAGTGGCACGATCTCAGCTCACTGCAAGCTCCATCTCCCGGGCTCAAGCAATCCTCCCACTTCAGCCTCCCAAGTAGTTGGGACTATAGCCTTGCACCACCATGCCTGGCTAATTTTTGTATTTTTTGTAGAGACAGGGTTTTGCCATGTTGCCCAGGCTGGTCCTGAACTCCTGGACTCAAGCCATTTACCTGCTTCAGCCTCCTAAAGTGCTGGGATTACAGGCGTGAGCCACTGCACCTGGCCAAAGACATTTTTTAAAACACACAGCCATAATGCAATTATCACATCTAAAAAATAGTAATAGCTCCTTTATGTAATCTAATATACAGTCGTATTCATAAATCTATTCAACAGTTTGAATCAGGGTCCAAATCAGAGCTGCGTATTATAGTTGGTTGTCTTTCTTAATCCTCCAGCTCCCATCCATCTCTCTTTCCCTTAGGAGTTTGTAGCTGTAGCCCTTGTTTTTCTGGCCAAGCAGTAACATTACACTGGTTTTTAAAGTACTTTACTATTTGCAAAGAACTTGGACATACTGATTTCCTTTAGTAGGGCCCAATATCTCTTTAAGGTAGATGTATCAAGCCATTTTATAAGGTGAAATATCCAAGATTCAGGGGTCTAATGAGCTTCTTGAACTCAAATACCTGTGCTTGGCTTTAATACCTGTGCTCTCTATATGACTTGGTGGTGTCTCAACTTCAATCCTTGTCCTTGGACTTCTAATGGCTTCACCTATTATATTTAATGCTCTAAAGCAGGCAGTGCCTTTCTTATTGCTTATCTTTCTAAAAAAAATTGTAGTAGAAGTATGTTTATTAAAAAATCAAAACAACATTCTACTGTAAAGATATATGCACATGTATGTTTATTGCAACACTGTTCACAATAGTAAAGACTTGGAACCAACCCAAATGCCCATCAATGATAGACTGGATAAAGAAAATGTGACACATTTACACCATGGAATACTATGCAGCCATAAAAAAGAATGAGTTCATGTCCTTTGCAGGGACATGGATGAAGCTGGAAACCATCATTCTCAGCAAACTAACACAGGAACAGAAAACCAAATATCACATGTTCTCACTCATAAGTGGGAGTTGAACAATGAGAACACATGGACACAGGGAGGGGAACATCACACACCAGGGCCTGTTAGGGGTTGGGGGGCCCAGGGGAGAGATAGCATTAGGAGAAATACGTAATGTAAATGACAGGTTGATGGGTGCAGCAAACCACCATGGCATGTGTATACCTATGTAACAAACCTGCGCGTCCTACACATGTATCCCAGAACTTAAAGTATAATTTAAAAAAAAAATCAAAACAATATAGAAGTGTTAACAAACACACACCCACCTCCAAGATAACTACAGTTGTTAACCTCTTGTTGTGTGTTCTTCCAGACCTTTTCCTATGTATGGATGGAGCTGCATACATTGTTTTTCTTTACTGGGTTCAGAAAAATGAAATCAAGCTATTCATACTTTTCTGTATTTTGCTTGTGTTCATTTAAAAATATCATATAGCAAGCTTTCAAAGCCTGAACATATAGATCCACTTCATTATTTTCAGCAATTCCATTATTTCTATAACAAGACTTAACTATAGTTTAACTTTTCTTCTCTAGAAGAACATTTAAGTTGCCTACAGTTTTTTTTTTTTTTTTTTTTTTTTGAGACGGAGTCTTGCTCTGTTGCCCAAGCCGGAGTGCAGTGGCGCGATCTCGGCTCACTGCAAGCTCCGCCTCCCGGGTTCACGCCATTCTCTTGCCTCAGCCTCCCGATTAGCTGGGACTACAGGCGCCCGCCACCACGCACAGCTAATTTTTTGTATTTTTAGGAAAGACGGGGTTTCACCATGTTAGCCAGGATGGTCTCGATCTCCTGACCTCGTGATCCGCCCACCTCGGCCTCCCAGAGTGTTGGGATTACAGGCGTGAGCCACCGCGCCTGGCCTAAGTTGCCTACAGTTTTTAGCTGTTATAAGTAACATTGCAGTGAATATCCTTGTACATATTTTCTTGTGCACTTGTTAAAATATGTATTTCTCTGAAAGAGTCCTAGAAGTGAAATTACTAATCCTGAAAGCATGCCAAATAGGTACTACTGAATTATAATCCAAAAATGTTTATACCAGTTTGTACTCCAGCCATGAAATGTGTGGATGCACTTTTCCTCACCTCCTTAGCAAAACCTGTGTATGGATGAAGTCTAGTGTATTTCACCTGTCTAGCAGATAAACCATGGTTTGTGTTTCAGTTTTTGTTTCCACTTTCTGGTCAGTGATATTATGTATCTTTTCTCATCTGTATTATCATTTTCTTTTGTGGTCTGCTGGTTTAATCATTTACCTATTTTTTCTAATGGATTATTGACCTGTCTTGTTTTGTAAGAGCTTTTTGTATATTAGATAAATTTATCCTTCATCTGCTATGTGTTAAAAATATTAGGTTGAATCATATAAATTGTTAATACTCAACCTTTTTTTTACCGCCCAACATGGGAATTTTATGTAGTCCAACCTAATATTTTCCCCAGACCATTATTTATCTCTTAACTTTGCTACTTGTGTCTCTTTATGTAGAACTTAGTAATTTTTATACAGTCAGATCTGTCCATTCAACAAGTATTTATTAAGCTGTTACTATGTGCCAGGAGATAGACATGGGCCTGCCCTTGTGGCAACTCCTGTCTGGTAGGGAGGCTCACAAACAAGTCACCAGATAATTGCAAACTGTGATGAAGCCTCTGAGGGAAGCAGCTTCTCCTTTAGGGTTTTTGGATTTGGTATCTTGCTTAGGAACTCTTTCCTTCCCCACCTCAAGATTACAAAAATACTGGCCGGGCATGGTGGCTCACATCTGTAATCCCAGCACTTTGGGAGGCTGAGACAGGCGGATCACATGAGATCAGGAGTTCCAGACCAATTTGGTCAACATGGCAAAACCCGTCTCTACCAAAAATACACAAATTAGCCGGGCATGGTGGCGGCTGCCTGTTATCTCAGCTACTCGGGAGGCTGAGGCAGGAGAATCGCTTGAACCTGGGAGGCAGAGGTTGCAGTGAGCCGAGATCACGCCACTGCACTCTAGCCTGGGTGACAGAGTGAGACTCTGTCAAAAAAAAAAAAAAAAAAAGATTACAAAAATACTCTCCCGTGTTTTCTTCTAATACTCTTGTGGCTTTAACATTTAACTTTTTAAATTCCATTACTAATTTATTTTCTTGTATGATGAGAACTGAGATTTATAGTTACTATTCCAGTTGCATAGCTAATTATTTCGACACCATTTATAAATAATACACCATCTTTTCACCGATGTGAAATCTCTCTTCATAATATTACGTAATTTTAATTACATGGTTCTGCTGCTTTGTTGGTTTGATTTTATTTGTCTCCATTTCTATCCAGTACCACACAGCTTAGATTTTTTGAGTTTATAAAGTTGTTAAATTATTATTATTATATATTTTATTTATTTATTTATTTTGAGATGGAATCTCACTCTGTTGCCTAGGCTGGAGTGCAATGGCACAATCTTGGCTCACTGCAACTTTCATCTCCCAGGTTCAAGCCATCCTCCCACCTCAGCCTCCCTAGTAGCTGGAACTACAGGCATCGCCACTATGCCTGGCTAATTTTTGTATTTTTGAGTAGAGACGGGGTTTTACCACGCTGGCCAGGCTGGTCTGGAACTCCTGGCCTGAAGTCCTCCACCCACCTTGGCCTCCCAAAACACCGGGATTACAGGCATGAGCCACCGTGCCTGGCTATTATTTTTTATTAGTGGCTTTTTAAAAAAAATTCCCCCCACCCAGGGCCAGTCTCTTTCATTATCCTTTAAAAAAATACTGTCTTGGTTGTTCTTCCAGATGAACTTATTTTTCAATTTTGTTTATTTTTTATCTTTTTCTCATAGTGATAAGAGCACTTAACATGAGGTCTACCCTCTTAACAAATTTTGAGGTGCACAATACAGTATCGTAAGCTGTGGGCACATGGTTGTACAGCAGATCTCTAGAACATATTCATCTTGCCTACAGTTGTCAAATTTGTACCCTCTGAACGTCAACCCTCTGTTTCCCCTTCCCCCTATCCCCTGGCAGCCACTACTCTGTCTGTTTCTATGTTTGTGACTATTTTAGATACCTCATGTAAGTGGATTCATATAGCATGTGTCCTTTTGTAAACCAACTTTTACTTTGCATAATGTCTTCCAGGTTCATCTGGTTGAACTTGAGAATCAACTTTTGTCAAATGTAGGAGTGGGGAACCTTTTATTAATACAATTTTTATTGGAGTTGCAATAAATTTATAAATTACAATTTTTGTGGGTTTTTTGGTAACAGCTTTATTGGGATGTACTTCGTGTGCCAGACAATTTACTCATTTAAAGGGTACAGTGAATAATTTTTAGTATATTTACAGAGTTGTATGTCACCACAATCAATTTTAAAACATTTTATCACCCCAGAAAGAACACTCGTACTCTTTAGCCATCACCCCTAAGCCTCCCATCCCGTGTATCCCTGGGCAACCACTAATCTTCTGTATCTAGGGATTTCCCTATCCTGGACATTTTATATAAATGGAACCACACAGTATGGAGTCTTTTGTGTCTGGCTTCTTTTACTTAGCGTAATGTCTTCAAGATTCATTCATGTTGTAGCACGTGTCAGTACTTCATTCTTTTCTATGGCCAAATATTCTATTATATGGATGTACTACATCTTATTTACCTGTCAGTTGCTGGATATAAATTAAATTCCAAAGAAATACAGACTTCTCCCCACCCTCACACCTTTCTTGAACAGAGATAGATACAACATTGTGGCCAGCAAGCATCATTTTTTTGTCTGGGCAATGATGCTTCTCTTCTCTACTTCTCTCATGTTGGCGTATCTGGATGAGGCAGCTGCTGTCAAAGGTTTTTTGCTATGGCCCTCCTGGTGTGACTCTCCCTACTGTAGGAAGCCTCAAGTATCTTTCTCATGGAACAGGCCAGCAGTTGCCCTCATTATCCTGGGTAGGTCTCTCCAGGCATCCTTACCCCACTGCCCCATCTCACTGAATCATAGCATAGGGGATCTGCCCTAGTGGAGCCGTGGGGTCCACATGCCACTGGGACATTATTTGGCTTCTCTCATATCTCTTCCCCTACCTATTCTCTACCACCTCTATCACTTTTAAAAATTAGTACCTGAGCCTGCTTCATGCTTTATGTTATGTTTGTTGTAAAGTAGTTGGAAACAGTGAGTTCCAGTGATTCCCCTGTGAGTTGATAGAGAAGTTGTCTATAGCTCTAGCCTTGCCCCCAAGCAGCTTCTTTATCTGCTGAAGCCAGCTGCTCCTGTAAAAGTGGGTCCTCTGCAGATAAGCCAGCTGTGTCTGGGTCTAGTGGTGACAGTGCTGCAGGTGGGGAGGTCACCCCTGGGGAGATAAAGTCTCTGGAATCTTATCTCTGAGACTGTGGTATAATTCTAAACTCTTTCCTCCAAGAGCTTTTAGGCTTAGGCAATATTAGTCTAGCTCTGAACTACTGAGGTCCAATATAATTGACCATGCAGCCATCATCAAAATAAACTGCTTAACAGGAACAACAGAAGTGATTCATATAAGGAAGTCATGGAGAAGAGCAGGACTTATGATGTTTCCTATTTTCAAAAGAAGAGTGGTGTCTGATGATATTTTTAGGTACAAAATGCAACACCAATTATCAAGTAACCTTTTCTCTTTTCCTTTGCATAAAACAGCACAGTAGGATTTTCACCGTAGATTTTACCTGGAAGCATGACAGCAGTGGAACTCTCGGAAAGGAAGTCCTCCGCAGACCTCTGACTTGTGTCCGGTTCCCTACATGGCATTTCCACCTGATTATGTCATAGATGATCACTTAGGATTAGCTAGGCTGCACATAACAGGGAACCCAAGTAACAGTTCCTTAAGTAAGATAGAAAAGCTTATTTCTCTCACATTAAAAGTCCAGAGGTGAGTGATCTGGGGCTTATCTGCTGCTCCAAAATATCAGAGATCCAGGTTGCTCTCTCTCATTCTGCAGTCTTCAGCATGTGGTTTCTTTCTCATGATCCAAGAGCTGTTTGTGCTCCAGCCATCACATCAATATTCCAGCCAGTATGGAGAAGGAAAGGAAGCAAGGCATACTTCTTCTGTTTAAGAACATTTCTGAAAGCTGTGCATGACTCTGGGGCTTGATTCTCTTTTGTTTGAACTTAATCTCGTGGGCACACCTAGCAGCAAGTGAGGCTGAGAAACAGTCTGTCTTAGGTGGCCAATACACTTAGGGGTCCTGTCACCAAGGAGGAAGAAGGGAACAGTTATTTTTAGGCAATCTTTGCTATTCTTAGGCTCCTCAGACTCGGTGTTTGGCTCTTCTCCTTCCCTTACCCAGGCACCCTTTTCTCTTAGTTGGCAGTATTTCCTGTCACTTAAGTCAGAAATGCTAAGAATTGTTCATGATTCTGTTTCCTTACTCTTCCATATCCAATCATTTACAAAGCTCTGGTGATTTTACGTCCTAAATGTTTCTTAATCTGCTTCTTCTTCATTCTCACTATGCACGCCCTAGGTCAGGCCTGGATTGCTGAACCAGCCAAGCATGTTTTCTCACCCCCGGTTTTATCTCCTTCAAACCCATCTTGCACACCATTCAAACAGAGACTCGCCCACAGAACTCCTCTGACAAAAATCCTTCCTTAGCATTCCATCACCTATAGGTTAAATGTCCAGGTTTTCTAACTTGGCATGTAAAGGCCCTGTGACCTGCTCCCTGCTTCGCCCCTTAAACTCAACAATCCAAAATGGACATTGTAAATGTAAAGCCTTGTCCTGCACCACCTCTTTATCTCCTGAGCTAATCTTTGTGCACCCTTTAAGACTCCCCTTCCTCCTAGAAGCCTTCCCTGGGGTCCCCCTGACCCCCGGCATCTAATAGTGCTATTTCTGTCACTCTGTAGATTTCTCCTGTGGCACTTTACCTCGCTAGTTGTTTGTGTTTCCCTCCTACTCTCTGCCACCAGACTTTCTGATTCTTTGAGGCCAAAGAGTATTTTAAACATCTTCATATCCCCAGTACCTTCATTTTGGTGTCCAAAATAGGCATTCCACACATGTCCAGATGAATGAGAGAATGAAAATTCCATAACTGCAGAATACTCAGAAATTAGTACAGCTTCACTAGGCTTGGCCACTGGAGGGCAGTGAGTTACACTTTTCTGATACTGTGCTGAATTAGCCGAAAGTTCTCTCTCCCCTAAGGGATGGAGGTGGAGCACCACCACTTAGTCAACAAGTCTTTGATGAGCACCCACATGTGCAGGGCACTGCTCTAGGCACTGGGGTTTATGACCATAAACGAAGTAGACAAAAACCCTGCCTTCTACTTCTAGGTATTTATTCAAGGAAAATGAAGGCTTATAGCCCCAAAAGACATGCACAAACATATTCACAGCAACTTTATACAGACATAAAATGAAACAACCCTAATATCAGCTAATATGAGAACAGATATCCATACCACAGAGCAGTACTCAGCAATAAATGAGAACGTACTATTAGTAGTACAGCAACATGGAAGAGTCTCAGAAACCATGAAACAGAATGAAAGAAGCCAGATACCAAAAAATATATATATTGTATGATTCACATTATATGGAGTTAAAAATAGGTAAAGCTTATCTATGGCGATAGAAATGAGAGCAAAGTTTACCTATGGTGGGAGGTGGGCTGAGAATGAGCATAAGGAAACATTTCCGGGGTGATGGAAATATTCTCTATTTGGATGGGGGCATTTTTTTTTTAAACCATAGACATAAACATGTGTCAAGACTCATAGAACTGTGCACATATGTGCAGTTTACTATGCGTAATTCTACTTTTTTAAAAAAATCGCTTTCTTAGTTTAATTTCTGGTGGGCAGAAACAGACAATCAACTGAAAAAACAGATATTTGTAGGATTGAGATAAGTGCTATGGATAGAAACAAAGCAAGAAAGAGGGACAGGGATGTGCCATGCTGGCAAGTGTGGGAGCAGGAGGCAGGTTTTAAACCGGGTGGTGAGCCGCCTTCACACTGAGGAGATGACATTTGAGCAGAGCCCTGAAGGAGGTAAGGGAGGGAGCTGTGCAGTTAATTTTTGATAGTCAACACTCACATTTTCAAAGAAAAGGTAGTGTGGATCCTGTTGTCTTGTCTTGCTCCTGGGCTGTTGTGGATTGTGCTCGCCCCCCACGCTCAGTCCTGGGAGGCGGCATCCTCCATCTTACATCTGACTCTTTGCATCAGCTTTGCCCAGTCTGTTCCTCCCTGTCTGGCTAGGCCAAAGATGAAACTGGACAAACTTTATTATTGTCTCAAGAGGCCATTCCTTTTCTGCTTTTTAAAATGTGAACTTCATATTAAATCATACATTTAGAAAAGTGCATCTGTCATACATGCACAGTTCGATGAATTTCCCCAAAATAACCAGCACTCACAGCAAGACGTGGAACGTTTCTAGGACTTCAGAAGTCCCTTTGTGTTCCCTCCTAGTCCCTACCCCGTCCTCTCCTCCCCTGCCCCTACAAGGGTAACTACTTTACTGATTTCTAACACCTAGATTAGTTTTGCCTATTTCCTTTTTTTTTTTTGAGACGGAGTGTTGCTCTGTCCCCCAGGCTGGAGTGCAGTGGCGCAATCTTGGCTCACTGCAAGCTCTGCCTCCCGGGTTCACGCCATTCTCCTGCCTCAGCCTCCCGAGTAGCTGGGACTACAGGCGCCCGCCACCACGCCTGGCTATTATTTTTTTGTATTTTTAGTAGAGACAAGGTTTCACTGTGTTAGCCAGAATGGTCTCGATCTCCTGACCTCGTGATCCACCCGTCTCGGCCTCCCAAAGTGCTAGGATTACAGGCGTCAGCCACCGCGCCCGGTCAGTTTTGCCTATTTCTAAGCTTTATCTAATTTGAATCATATAGTAAGAATTTTCCACTTTAATGTTGTTAGTTTGGAGGGAATTGGTGGGGAGTGGGCTTGATGCTGAGTTTTTAGCAGCCACCCTATTTGGGACTCAAGCTGCCTCCTGGCCCCATCTTCGTAGATGAAGCAGCCTCCCATGTGATAGGCAGCTGAGAAATATTGAGGCTCTTGCCAGCAGTGTGTGGAGATAGCCCAGTCAGGATGCTGAGCTGCTTTCAGTGACACTTGAAGACAGTGTGTGCGTTTGGTGGGACAGTGGTGCGTCCAGTGCTGGATTTCCTGTCATTGCAGGAGGTGAGCTCTCCAAGGGCAAGTTGTGGCTTGTCATTTCTGAGACTATAAGACCTAGCCTAGTCCTCTACCCTGGCAGTGAGCTGAGCAGGATGTGCACATTTGCTCTCTGTCCCTCATCTGACCCCAGGGATAAGTGAGAAATCGTAACAGAGGAGATGTTGAGGTAGCCAACATATTGAAGATATTTGAGCCTACATGAGTAGCCTCTGTGAACAGCTGACACTGGCAGTGGGGACCCTGAGCCTCCCAGAGCCTGTTCACATCCACAGCGTCTTAGTAACATGCTGCCCATCTCTGTGAGTGGTCTTTGGGCAGGTCCTAGAAGATTAAGTATGTGCTGGACCTTGCCTTTCCTTTGCCTCCTCTTCCTTTACTCCATAACCCAAATACTCAGAGTTTGGGCTCATATAATCTGGGATCCTATAGCCAATGTCAGGAGGCTGACTTAACCAGCAGCAACTAATGTTTGCTAAATAAAAGTAAAAGTAATACAGCAACCTAAGGAAAATAGTGAAAACTTGGTGGTATGTTGGTTTTTAAAATTAATTTTAACCAGGGCATCATGATACATGTATACCCATGCTATCCTATACTGAGCAGCCAGAGTTCATGTATTATTCTGAGTTAATAGTCACCACCCTGATTGACAGGCACAGTGTCAGAATGCTGTATGGTCAGCTAAGCAGCATCTTCAAAATAGCACATCTCCTCTGACAGTCAGAAAAACATGGGCCTTGTGAAACAGAACCACCTCCCAGTGGGTCTCTTCTCTGTGGGAATCTCGAAATAAGTCTTTCCTCCAACCATCTCATTGGAGTGGCCATCTCTCTCAGAGACCAGCTCCCCCTGTCTTTGTCAGGTGGTTTGGCTTTCCCAGGTTTAGCGAGGGGCCTCTCCACCCTCTCTACACTTACAGGTTTGCAGTGCTATTATTGTCTCAGCTGCTGCCATCAGGTACTTTCCTGAAAATGCCAGATGCATAACACCCAACAATACGTTTATATATAGCGCTTGAACCAGTTCAAAATTATTACATAGAAGTGATAAGATGAATTCTTGACAGTTTTCTTAAAACTGCTTTTTTCTGAATGAAATATTTGTTGCTGTTTTAAGAGGTTCTTTAGATATGGTCAAAAATATTTTTTTATTTTTCTCAGTCAGTTTACTTTTGTTATGAGAAATTTTTTTTTCTTTTTTTTCTTTTTTTTTTTTTGAGACAGAGTCTTCTCGCTCTGTCGCCCAGGCTGGAGTGCAGTGGCATAATCTCGGCTCACTGCAATTTCTGCCTCCCGGGTTCAAGCAATTCTCCTGCCTCAGCCTCCTGAGTAGCTGGGACTACAGGCACCTGCCACCATGCCCGGCTAATTTTTATATTTTTGGTAGAGACGGGGTTTCACCATATTGGCCAGGCTAGTCTCAAACTCCTGACCTTGTGATCCACCTGCCTGGAGCTCCCAAAGTGCTGGGATTACAGGCGTGAGCCACAGCGCCTGGCCTGTTATCAGAAAATATTACGCAAGGTATTCTTATGAGTCCGGTTCAACAACAACAACAACAAGGACCCGAATCAGGTAAACCAGAGGCTTTGGAAAATAGAAAGGCCATCTGCAGCTGAGGCGTTGGAGCCTCTTGGTCCGGCCGGTCAGGTTGAATCATGCTGGCCCACCAGATCACATCTAGAAATTGTCCTGAGATCACAGATGGTTCCTGGGAAATGCCTAGAGCAGTGAATAGACAAGTTACTCTTGTTGGTGTTGGTAAAACCAGTTCTTCCTAAAACTGTCAGGGAATTTTTGAGGCATATATTAAGCTGATTTTTTAGGACTGGGGCTCAGAGTTCTTGGAAAAATAAACAGTTGACTGGAGCCATCACTCAAGTACATTTCATCAGTTAATAAATGGGCATGTTCTTTGTAAGGCCCAGAGTGGCCAATTTGATTTTTATAAAGAGCTTTTGAGCTTCCTCCTTGTGGATGCCTTGCCTTTTAAAATAGCCATAAAATATCCCTTAAAATCTTGTTTCCTCCCATCTGAGTCCTGCTGCTGTATGCTCTTGTCATGACAACCAGAGACGCTGCCCTCACTCGAGACTGCACTGCTGGCATGGTTTCCCATTTCAGCTTCAATTATGTGTTGAATTTCCTCAAGTGGACGCTTAATGATCCTTCTGAACAGATTGTTTATGCTGAATGAAGCCCTTCAGAGAGCATTTGCTCCTCCCTTTCTCCACTGCTTTTTGCTGGTGCACTCAGCTCACAGTTTTTGACTAAATGTTTGAATTTTATCCACCCAGCAGGCAGAAAAATAGAACTAAACCCTCCCTCCCACTCTCTGAAGTGCTGGGGAACTATCTCACTGGCTGTGAAAACAAAGGGCTAATGGGCAAACAACAGCCCCCATTTCAGTGCCCCAAAATAGGGTTCAGCACCTTGTCTGTTGTTCCCTTTGCTCCCTAGATGGCTAACAGTTTGGAGTGGGTACAGTTACCGAGCATGGCACCTTACCAACTTATGACCTCATGTTGTTAGTCAGGTTTTCCTCCTTAAGACGAAAGACAGAAGTAGAGAACTTTTAAAATTGACTTATTTTTAAGGTATATTTTGGGATGGCAGGTATATCAGTTAGGATTAAGTTTGGCTGTGAATAATAGAGATCCAGAATTTCAGTGCTGGCTGGGCATGGAGGCTCACACCTGTAATCTCAGCACTTTGGGAGGCCAAGGTGGGAGTTCACTTAAGCCCAGGAGTTCAAGACCAGCCTAGGCAATATAGTAAGATCCTGTCTCTTAAAAAAAAAAAAAAAAAGACAGTGCCAGTGGCTTAAATAAGGTAGAAGTGTATTTATTCCTTTGGTAACAATAATAATTATGCCAGCTAACTTTTATGTAATGCTTACTTTATGCCAGGCACTGTTGTTAGCACTTTTCATATATTAACTAACTTATTTAATCCATAAAATATCCTATGACACTAGTACTGATATTACCACTTTAACAGATGAGGAATTGAGACACAGAAAGTAAAGCCATTTGTGCAAAGTCACATAGCTACTGAATGACAGAGCCAGGACTTGAGCTCTGCAGCCTGGCTTCAGAGTCTGCTCTTAGCCATGTGCTTGCTATTCTGTCTGACAAAAAAGCCACAGGTCACTAGGGCTGGTGTGACAGCGATGCTCCTGTTGCCCTCAGGAACTGGGGCTCTTGCTCTCTTTTTACCCTGCCATGTGTGGTTTCCAATTATGCTTGTATTTGCATTGCAATGTTCTGGAATCCTAAAATGCCCAAGTTGGAAAAGACCTTTCAATTTATTATGGAGCTCTGGATCTTCCTTTAGGAAATGTGTAGGAGGAGTTGGGGTGGTTTTAGTCTCCATCCTTCCCTGTGGGTTTCACTTTTTTCCAACGACCCTATTTTCATAAAGAGGGAGCTGCTGCCTAGGATGGATTAGAAGTCATGCTCATGAATAGGGAAAGGGCTCTCCTCCCTTGTGCACCGTTGTGAGGCTAGTCCTGGAGAAGAGTCTGCCTGAGCCTGTGACCCAGAGCAGTTCTCAAAGGAAACAGTTCCTTGGGGCATTGTTTATGGTCATGAGAGTTGGAGGCAACCTGGGTATATCCATCCCTGAGGAAATGGATAAAGTGTGATGGAGGCGCACCATGCAGCAATGAACTAGAGGTATGTACAGGAACACGGACCTTAGAAATGTAACATGAAGCAAAAAGTCAAAGGAAGATCCTAAGCCGGGTTTTACAGCCCAATATCATTTAACTAAATTAATTAATTATATAATATTAAAATATAATATAAAACATAATATAAAATATTAGGTAAAATAATTTAAACTGTTAATATATAAATATATATTATAAAATATAAAATTATATTTACATAATTTTATTTTTATATAATGTATAATTATATTTAAATATATGTGAAATATAATTTTATATATAATTATATTTTAATATAGCTTTATATATGTAAGTATATCTATATAGATATACTTACATATATTTTAAAATATGTATGTATACTACCATATATAAGAAAACAAATATGTATATATACTTACATATATAAAAAAACAAAAAAACCTACATAGTAAATGTTTAAGTTAGGATACAATAAAAGAATAAAAGGAATAATAGGAATAAAAGAAAAATAATAAAAAGAATAATAGGAATAAAAGAAAAATGATATTTCTTGGAAGAATTTTTAAATATGATTTCTCGGCTGGGCACGGTAGCTCACGCCTGTAATCCTACCACTTTGAGAGGCCAAGGCAGGCAGATCACCTGAGGTCAGGAGTTTGAGACAAGCCTGGCCAACATGGTGAAACCCCGTCGCTACTGAAAATACAAAATTAGCCAGGCATAGTGGCTCATGCCTGTGATCCCAGCTTCTTGGGAGGCTGAGGCAGGAGAATTGCTTGAACCTGGAAGGTAGAGGCTGCAGTGAGCTGAGATCGTGCCATTGCACTCCAGCCTGGGAGATAAGAGCAAAACTCTGTCTCAAAATAAAAATAAAATGTGATTTCTCAAATTGATCTTTATATGCTATCTAGATTTTTAGTTTCTGCAAGCTTAGTGTTGTTTTACAAAGTCTTCTTTATTCTTTTTTGGTGATAAAAGGCAGATGTAGTCAATTGTGGCTCTTTTTTCCTAAAATACTGTGCATATAAAATGACTATAAAAATTATGCTTATTATAGAAATTTTGAAAAGTCCAATAAAGCTTTAAGAAAATAAAATCCTTCATTCGTACCACCTGGGGAATAAATACTGTAAACCTTGAGATGTTTTGTCTTTCCTCTGTGCTTATATAAACACATAAATATTGTATGCACAGTAAGAAAGTATGCCATAAATAATTTTTCCCCTCTTTTCTCCTTAATATTGTGGCATGCTTTTTTATGTCGTTACAAGTTCCTCATAAATTCCATCTAAGATAGCTATATTGTGCCTACTGTGTGCCAGGCACTATATTTAGCACTTTATATATATTAACTGCAGCTGGCCTTCAAGTTGGATTTTTTTTTTTTTAGGTCATTCCTAGAGTCATGGCTTTTCTGATAAAGCACCCCACCCTTCTCAAGAGGGGTTTTTTTTTTTTCAGCCTTGATGTTCATTTAAAAATGTCTCTTTAAACGGGTGAGAATCCGAGAGTTGTTACATGTTTTCTCAAGGAGGTTCAGATATAGGTCTTAGTAACAATGCTTAGAAATGAAAAGGCTGGGGTCAGGTGCAGTGGCTCACACCTGTAATCCTAGCACTTTGTGAGGCTGAGGTGTGAGGATCACTTGAGTCCAGGAGTTTGAGACCAGCCTGGGAAACATGGTAAAAACTCATCTCTACAAAAACGACAAAAAATTAGCTGGGCGTGGTTGTATGCACCTGTAGTCCCAGCTACTTGGGAGGCTGAGGTGGGAGGATCATCTGAGCCTGGGAAGTCAAGGCTGCAGTGAGCCGAGATCGTGCCACTGCACTCCAGCCTGGGCGTCAGAGTGAGACCCTGTCTCAAAAAAAAGAAAGGAAGAAAGAAAAAAAAAGGCTAGATTCTGAATACATTTTGTCTAATGCCTGTGTCTCTGTAGCACAAGGGATTGCAGTGAACATCTGTTTCCAGAATAGGGGTTGTGGGTCTGAGGAGAAAAGCTGTCTGGTAGAGAACTCAAGGGCTTGATTGTTTCTGTGTGTGGCCTCTGACAGGCATACACAGGGGCCTTTCTTGTTGGGCAAACACAGCACTTCTTACTACTTCACCTCTCTGTGACAGGAAGTGGGAGTTAAACATGGGCTAGGAAGGACACATCACATAGCCTTTTCCTTCTTCAGGTTTCTGGAAGGCTGCTTATGTTTTCCTCACTTGCATCTCAGACGAGACAGATTCTCACTCCTGTTACTCAGTGGGAGGTTTCCATGAGAAGCTAACAGATAGTCCTTTCCAAAGAGGTCTCGTGGCTAGATAAACTTGGGAAATGCTGGATAAACAAAGTTAAGCAGATTTACTTAATGCAGAATTTCTGTTAACTTCTCAAACCCTTTTGTGTGCTGTGATCTTTGCTAATCTCCAAGATGGGGATATCTAATGCAACATTTCTCAACCATATTTGTCTGTGGAACCCCCCCTTTTTTTTGAGTGTTCTGTAGGATTGATGTTTTGCAGAACCCATCTTGAGAAATACCATCTTGTTGGAATTAAGTCCTAGAAGCACTCACAGGCTTGACTCATCTTCCTTTACATGCATACCTTCTCTTTTGAGTGGCAAGACTGTGGGTCTGCCTTATCAGAACTTGGGAATTCCATCTTTAAAATAAACTGTGGGGGCTTTCTGATCCTAGCTGTTCTCCCTATATATGAGTGTGAGTGTGCTAGACAGCTCACTGAGCTGAAATCAAAGAAATTTTCCAGGCCATCTTCAGGGATCTGAGTATAATTCATTGAACATGAGACCTGAAGTATCATTTTCTAAAACTGAACGAACAAATGCCAAGGAAGAGAAAGATATGTTGGACCTGATGGGACTAGCATGAGAAATGGCCTGTCCAGTGTTGTAGTGAGATCTTCAAGAACAAATATGTTCTTGAAGGGACATATTTGCCCACCTGACACAGACAGTAGAGGGGCAGGCCCTTGTTTCTTAACATCAGGTTAGCCTGGTCCTCACTTGGCCTTAAAGACCCCATTGAAGACACTCGAATCTATCTTTCTCTCTCCATTTTTAGATAAGACCTCTGGACTTTCTTCACCTTTTGTTTTACAGAAGAGGATGTGGAGAACTTTGACGTGACCAACTTGTCTCAAGACATGCTGCGAAGCATTGAGGCTGACAGCTTTTGGTGCATGAGCAAGCTGCTGGATGGAATCCAGGTGAGCTGCTTCTGCCCTTGTGGGAACAAACGTCTAGGTCCAGAGGCTCCCAGCAGGGCTTTGGTTTCTTTCTTGCTCTTCTGTATCAGGCAGGACCACCCACCCACCCACTATGGCTCCTCCTCCTTTTCATCCATCTCTATCCTTCTTCATTGGCTTTACAGCTTTCAAACAGCAATGGTGGGTCGGGCACGGTGGCTCACGCCTGTAATCCCAACACTTTGGGAGGCCAAGACTGGAGGATCGCTTGAGCTCAGGAGTTCAAAACCAGCCTAGGCAACATAGAGAGACCCCTTCTCTACAAAAAATTTTAAAATTAGCCAGGCGTGGTGGCGTGTGCCTATAGTACCAGGTCCTCAGTGGGCTAAGGTGGGAGGATCACTTGAGCCTAGGAGGTCAAAGCTGTAGTGAGCCATGATCACACCACTGCACTCCAGCCTGGGCGATAGAGTGAGACCCTATCTCAAAAAAAAAAAAAACAAAACAGTGATGGTGTAGTGTCCCTTGGAGTCTGCAGAAATCTCCATGTTGCCTTGACTTCGTCTTTGGAGTAGACTGCTCCTTTCTGCTCTGTACCCCAAGCACATGGGTTTGCTTCCACACTGCAGGGCTCCATTGGGCTTTCCCCCAACACTGTTGTTCTGTAGATTTCTTTGTTTCCCAGAACACTGTCACTGGCCATTGGTACTAGCTTTGGAAAATGGCCTGAACTTCTAAACGTGTTTCAGTGAATGTCAGGTGATAACACAAGTTAGAGTCCATGTTCATCCTGGGCTCTGTGTCATTTGCAGGATAACTACACCTTTGCACAACCAGGAATCCAGAAGAAGGTGAAGGCACTGGAAGAGCTTGTCAGCCGGATTGATGGTAGGTTCAGAGGGAGAAGAGTTCTCTAGCAATAGCAGAGTTGATTCTGTTATGAGGCGGTTGTGCTTGTGGGTCCTCTCCTCAGCTGTCTTCCTAGCCATGACCCTTTCCAGCGCACTGAGTGCTGCTGGCAGCACCGGGATCCTTCCACATCTCAGCAGGAAGGTGAAGTGAGAACTGTGCTGTTATATCAAGTTCTTCTTTCCCCTTGGTTTCCTATCACCAGGCTCTATCGGTTCTCCTTCAGCAGCTCTCTTCAGTACGCCCGTTCCCCACTTCCCCAGCCACAGCTCTGGTCCAGCTTCCTCCTCAGAGGGCTTGCCTTCTCCATACTCTTCTCTTCCAAACTATCTGTCACGCAATTGCATCTTTCTGCAGCTCTGTTCTGGCCACGTCCCTCTTCTGCTCTGAAGCCTCCCATAGCTCTCCATTGCCTTCAGCATCCAGCCTGTCGTCCGGCCTTGTCCTTCACGTTATGATGTAACTCATAACTCCTGGGCTTGATATGGGGTCCTCAGGCCTGGCTGATACCCCAGCAGGACTTTATACAGCTTCCCAGGACTTGTGTGGGGTGGGGAAATTGAGATGTGGCTCTTCCTAAGGCACATGTCTTTGAGGAACAGCCTTACAGGAATTCCTCAGCTTTGGCCTAGAGTCATAGAATGTTAGAACGAAAGGACAACTCAGGAAGCTCTGCTGTTGACTGATGTTTAAGTGAGGCATGGGGAGAGAAGTCGGTGGGATCTCTAACACTAGTGAAGTTGTAGTAGCTCCCATAGGACTCTGCCTGTCCTGACACCAGCTAACAAATGTTATTCCCAGGCTTTCCTACTCATTGGATTTTCTGCTTCACCCAAGCAAAGCCTTTCTCCCTTACCTGCTGCCCACCCCCACCCCCAACATTGTATATCTTTCTCTCTTCTTTCCCAGGTTCTCTTTTCATGAAAACCTTCATTGAGTTGTTCCACTCACTCTATTTTATGACTTAGCATTTCAATCTTCTGAACCCATTTGTTTATTCACAGTTACTTCCCGTATGTCACATGTGGAATTTTTTTTCCGCTGTGTCTTATCACCCTGGCCCAGCTGTTAGCCCTCACGTTTGGGCCCCTTGTGCAGGTCTCTTGACATCCCTCAACCGGAGCCTAGCACAGAGTGTATGCTGCCCTCTTCTGGGGGATAAGCTGGCTGCCAGAGGCTGGTCATCAATCAAGTTTCAACAGGCAGATGCTGTGGTTTCTGCCACTGTCTGCCCTATCCTTATTTTTTCCGCCCTTACAAATACGTGATACATAAAGGCATAATACTTTGGAATAGTGGATTTTTAAGTATATATATCTTGGATGTTTCTTTGCATTGTAGAAGTAATACTTCCTCATTAAAAAAATTTAAACAGGCTGGGGACGGTGACTCACACCTGTAATCCCAGCCGAGGCAGGAGGATCACTTGAGCCCAGGAGTTCAAGACCAGCCTGGGCAACATGGTGAGACCCCATCTCTACAAAAAATTTAAGAAGTAGCTGGGCATGGTGGCACACGACTGTAGTCCCAGCTACTCAGGAGGTTGAGATGGAAGGATCACTCGAGCCCAGGAGGTCAAGGCTACAGTGAGCCAAGATCGCACCACTGTATTCCAGCCAGGGTGATAAGGTAGGAATCCTTCCTCTCCTTAAATTCTTCTCCCCAGAAATAACTTGTTTTTTGAGATGGAGTCTTGCTCTGTCGCCCAGGCTAGAGTGCACTGGTGCGATCTTGGCTCACTACAGCCTTGACCTCCTGGCTCAAAGGATCTTCCCACCTCAGCCTCCTGAGTTGCTGGAATTATAGGTGCGCACCATGACGCCTGGCCAATTTTTGTATTTTCAGTAAAGACAGGCTTTTGTCATGTTGCCTAGCCTGGTCTTGAGCTCCTGGGCTCAACACTCCGCCCACCTCGGCCTCCCTAAGTGCTGGGATTACAGGTGTGAGCCACAGCACCTGGCCATAACCATTGTTAATAGTTCTTCTTTCAAGAATTGTTTGAAATATTTACCACATTCCAGGTGCCATTGTAAGCACTTTACTTGTGTGTTCTCATTTATCTTCCCTGAAACCCTCTGAGGTGTGAATGATTATTCCCATTTTATAGGGTAGGAAACTGAGGACAGTAATTTAGAAAACAATCCCACTAAGCATTATTTGGAGAGCTGTCCTGTGGAACAGCAATCAGGTTTGTTTGGGCTTGCCTGAGAATATCACACGAACACCAAAGGGTGGGAGTGAGGAGGCAGCTGGTTTTGTTGAATATGGTGAAGCGCTTTCTGGTGAATCACTTCATACATCAGTGGAAGAGGCTTCCCTTGAGTGGAGTTTGTGAGCCCCTTTCGCTGGCAGTGTTCACATCCCTGCTGGCTAGCCATCTGGCGGGGATGCTGAAGAGGAGTTCCTCGCCAGTAGGAGGGTGGCCAAGGTGACCTCCATGGTTCTTTTCAGTTCTGGCTTCTTCTCTGATGAGTACTAAGGTTGAGCAGCCAAGTGAACCTCATTATCCTCTGCTTTGTGGCCAGAGCGGCCCCACAAAGGAAGCGGGGCTCCTAGAACATCACTGGGGGATGTTAAAATAGTTCTGTCTGCTGGGCTGAGTTAACCATGCAGTGTTGCTGTGAGATGATGGAATCAAACATAAAGGACAGTCAGATGGCTGTCTGCCTCCTCTGTGTCTGCTTACCCATGGGAGGGGGCAGTAAGAAGTGGGAGCTGCTATTTTGGCTCCTGTGGCCCTTTCAGGGTCCAGTCCCCTAGGTTGATCCCCAATGATGCTTCCTGTTTCAGAGCAGGTACATAATCACTTCAGGAGGTACGAGGTAGAATACCTGCAGTTTGCCTTCCGCTGGATGAACAACCTGCTTATGCGGGAGCTTCCTCTTCGCTGCACCATCCGCCTGTGGGACACATATCAGGTAGGAGGGATTCCCCGGCCTCTCTGTGCCAGGCTGTCTCTGAGGTGTCCAGCTCTCTGCCATGTTGTGGAATGTAGCTGCTTAGAAGCTTCCCCTTCTCCTCTTTTCTACTTCCATGTCTGCTTTAGCCTCAGGGCAGGGCCTTTGCTAAGTCTCTTCAGAACTCCATCTCCCCAACCGTGAAAGAGTTTCCCACCTCCCAGAAGGAATGGAACTGAGAGGACCAGAGCTGAATCTTTGTCAGGGCTGGGAGACCTAACTCTATTTTTCTGCTTCCCAGTCTGAACCAGAAGGGTTCTCCCACTTTCATCTCTACGTGTGTGCAGCCTTCTTGATCAAGTGGAGGAAAGAGATCTTGGATGAGGAGGATTTTCAGGTGAGTGGCCAAGAGCTTAGTGTGGGCAGGGAATGAACATTAGAATGGGAGTTAGCCCCTCAGTGGGCAGTGCAGACAGAAGGTGCCATAGCAGGTACCTGGCTGGGAGTAGGAAGGGAGAAGGGGTGCTCTGAAGGGGTCGTCCCTCTTAGTTGGCAGGAAGTCACTGGAGCCCAGGGGTTCTTCAGTGTGAGAAGGGTGTTTGTGCCAGAATGGCTGCAGAGTGACTGGGCAGGCCTAAGAGATCTTTCAGTCATTCACTGACAAGCATTTATTGAATGCTTGCTACATGCCAGCACTGTCAAAGACAAAGGCTATATTAAGAAGTGAAACAGAGAGGTCTCTGTTCTCATAAAGCTTACGTACTCTGATAGTTGTGGGGAGACATACAGTAAATAACATCATAGTAAATAGTAAATTGAAAAGAATGTAAAGGTGCTAAGAAATAATATTTTTTTAAAAAGTAGAGCAGGGTAAAGGTTTTATTAGGTGGTAGAGAAGGGACAGGTTGCAATTTCGAATAAAGTAGTCTTGATAGGTTCACTGAGAAGGTAACATCTGAGCAAAGACCTGGGGAAGGTGAAGGAGCAAGCCACGTGGACATCAGCAGGAAGAGTGTCTAGGCAGAGGAAACAGCCAGTGCAGGGGCCTCAGGCAGCAGCATGCCTGAGCTATGGAAGGAATCATGACGGTCACTGGTGTGGCCTGGAGCAGAGTGATCCAAGGGAAGAATAGGAAGAGGTGAGGTCAGAGGAGTCACAGGGACCCAGATCACAGAGGACTTTGTAGCCACTGTAAGAACTTTGGCTTTTACTCTGAGTGGAAGAGGAACTCTAAGAGCCATGAGTAGAGGAGAGTGGCACAATCTGACTTAGTTTCAGTAGGGCCACCCTGGCTTCTATGTAGACTGTAGGTGTGGGCAAGAGTGGAAGCAGAGACCACCCAGGATGCTACTGTAATCCTCCAGATGAGACATGAAGGTGGTAGGACCTGGATAGTGACAGTGGAGGTGTGAGAAGTGGCCAGATTTTGGATCTGTTTAGTAAGTAGAGCCAACAAGATTTCCTGATGAATTGGGTGTAGAGTACAACAGAAAGGGGTGAGTCTGGATGGCTTTACAGTTTATGGAGAAGGCTACAGGATGGCTTTATGGTTTATGGAGAAGGCTACAGTGGGGACAGCAAGAGTCCAGCTTCAGCCATATTGGATTTGAAGTACCATTAGACGTCTAAATAGAGATGCAGACTAGGCAAATATATCTTGAGTTTGGAGTTTGAAAGAGAGATCTGGACTGGACCTATAAATTTAGGAGCCTTTGCCTAGATGCTGCTTAAAGCCGACACACTGGATGAGATCCCTAAGGAAGTAAGGATGGACAGAGAAGGGGACCAGGGCCCAGCCTTGACACACTCTTATATGACTACATGAAGAGGTCAGGGAGCAGAGGTGGCTGAGAGGGGATGACCAGCAAGAGTACAGCCTCCTGGAACCCCTGGGTGGGGGTGCTTCAGAGTCCCTATGTAGAAAACTCAAGAAGGGCCTATGTTAGGTGGTGGGTAGGCTAGGAGCTGTTCCAGGGTCAGGGAAATAAGGATTGAGGAGATTGTCAGGCTCTCCAGAGAGAATCATTAGGGTTGGGGGTGGCGAGTGTATTGCTTTTATGCTTTGCACGTTTCTGAACTGAGAGGTTTTTTGGTTTGTTTGTTTTTAATAGGTATATACCTCTTTTAAAAGCAGGGGGAAAAGCCAGAGAAAGTTGAATGCTTTTCTAAGTTCTAACTAATAACATAGATGTTCTGAAGAGTGGCAGCGTCTCCATGTGATCCCTGAGCATTACCACTCTGTGATTGGTGTTAGGGGGCAAAAGAACAGAAGACTATTTAGTAGATAGATGGAAAGACAGGACCCAGCTTGCCCAAGTAAGGGCTTTGGAAGAAAAAGGAGAGCAGATGCATTGACTTCTGTGAGTAGATGCTAGCCATGGTGCCGAGGCTTCAGGCCACTGATTAAGAACCATGGCTTCTGCCAGTGAGCAGCATGTGTGGCATTCCAGGATAAATGAGGACAAGGGGCTGGAATGGCTGTATGCTGGGATGAGCTATCCATTTGGATAATGTGGTTGAGGTGGAGCCGGATAGTAAGAGCATGAAGTTTAATTTAGTTATCATGAGCCAGGCTCAGAGCTTTGCCATATGTGATAAAAGTGCTTCCCAGATCAGCTCAGGGAGGTGCAGATGATTCCTGGAATGGCTTTTAGCAGTTCACAATATCGGCAGAACAGAGGACAATACTCTGTGACTTTACAGCTATGTTAATCCTAGAGATATTCTTTACTGGGTAGCATTTTCAATTATCTGGTAGGTCTGAGGCCTTTTGGCAATACCCAACAGAACAGCATTGGAGGCTATTGTCTGCTGCTGTATTAACACCTCGATTAATCCTGTTTGTGGAAGAGTCTCACATCTTTCTTTTAGACAAAATAGAATGGGCGATTAAACTGGATAAGGTGAAAAGTTCCTCCCACCTCCATAGTTCTAAAATTCTATGAATGATAAAAGAAGAAAATGTGCCTGGGTGTTAGGCTAGACAGGCAGTGTCCTTTAGGAGACAGAATCATGGCAGAGGTGTGAGGAACAAGGGCACAAAGCATTGTGTAAGGTTGTGAACTGTTGGGTGTGACTTTTGCAGAGAAAGTAGGCACATGTATCCTAACTGCTGAAGGGCTGCTTGTAGTGAAATCACTGTGAAGGAAGCTCTGTAGATGAATACAGGTATTGTAAAAAACCAAACATGTCCAGCCTAGGAGAGAAGTTTTAGGGCTAAAAGCCACGTTAAGTGACTCAGAGAAAAACCAGCTGAAGTGGTTACAGAAATAAAAGTGGTAGTTGCAGCAGTTTTAGCAGACCAGCAAACTGGTTACACTTGAAGAACAGGGAAAAAGAGCCAGATATAAAGGGAGCCAGTAAGGGGTTCAGAGAGGAAGCAGATATCTTCCTGTCAAGGTTAGGGACTGTGCAGAGTAGTACAGTGGTTAAACCATGGTCTTTGGAGCCAGACTGCCTGGGGTCGGATCCCAGCTCTCACACTTTCCTAAACATGCAGCTGTAAGTAAGTAACTTGTTTCTCTGTGCCTCCGTTTTCTTATCTATAAATGGGGCAATAGTACCTACCTCCTTGGGCTATGATGAGAATAAAGAAACAAATACATGTGAGACAGTTAGAATAGTGTACTTGATATATAGACCTCGAAACAGTGAGCTTATTATCATTAATATTAATACTTCCTTTAGTGTATTCACGAGTCCTGGAAGCAATGAGGCGAGCTTTAAAAACCCACTTTTCTAATTAAGTGGTTTTTAACATAATGAGTAAACCATACAAGGTTCATACTGAGGGAAACTGGTTTGGAGAGGAGGCATCAGAGTACACAGGGGCAAAGGGCTGGGTCCCAGCTGCGACAAAAGCCCCCAGCAGGAAGGGTGCGTGCTTCTCCCTGGCCAAGCAGTTGTCTAGGGCCGCTGCCTGGCAGAGAGGACCAAAAACTGACAAAGGAGATCACACTGAGAGGTTTCCTTCCTGAGACCGCTGGGCAAAGGAGCCTGAGGCACATTTGCACATAGTACTCTGGGAGCAGAATGGCTGGATCCTCCGGGCCCGTGGCAGCTTGAAATGCGAGCTGCCAGCAGAGCTGGGCCAAAGCCTCTTTTGTGGTAGGTGGGGACTCTTGACAATTCCTGCCCTCAGCCTGGGCTAGTGTAATAGAATCATAATAATATGTTAGGTTGAATCATATGCAGTTGTTTTTGTAGATTAAAATGGTTGAATATTGGCAATTTCGTGAGGCTCAATCTAATAGCAGCTAATTCTTAGCACTTTGAATATACAGGCACTATTCTAAATGTTTTCCTGTGTTAATTCATTTCATCCTTGCAACAATCCTACAAGGTAGGCTATAATACCCCATTTTACAAATGGGGAAACTGTCATAGCAAGATTTTTTTTTTTTAAGTAACCAGGCCAAGGTCACCTGAGTGAGTGATAGAGGCCTGGAATCCACTCTCTGAACCACTGTGCTTTGCTGCCTGTCAGTCCCAGGCCTGCCAGATGCTTCCTGGAGCTCTTGAGCTAAACTTACATGGTGGCTGTTCCCAGGCAAGGATCTGCTTAGGTTTCCACCTCCCTCAAGATTTCTTCTTCCCCATCTCTCCCCCTACATTGGAGGTTGCTAGCAGGCTTTCTTCTCACAAAGAAACATTTAGCAACAACAACAAAAACTTGTTGTTTTAAAACTGAAAAAGAATTCCTCCCAGGGTCTTCCTTGTGACCTCCTCCTATTCTGGCTTCTGGGTTTTTCTCCTTCCACTGCCAGAAAGATCTGTGATCTCCTGCTGCCCTTTCATGCTCTCCCTCCAAGTGGCCTGAAATCACCTAACACACATCCCTGGGGAAAGCAGAGGCTCTAATGCTCCAGGGTGGACTGCAGCAGGGAGCCCCCAGGGCTGGTGCAGGTTATGGGTGAAGAGCAGCTCTGGGCCTGTCTGTGGAGTCCTAGAGCCTGCTTGGGCCCTTGTGGAGCTCTCAGGCTTCTGTTAGATCAGTGGCTGGGGAGGCCGTGTTGACTGGGGAGGAGCATGAGTCTCTGAGACACAAGAAGTGTTCTCTGTTTTCATCTGGGTGGTGGTTAATTGGGTGTGTACTTATGTAAAAAGTCATCAACCTGCATGCTTAAGATTTATGTCATGAGTCCACCCTCAAAAGGTTGGGAGGAAAGTAAATGGTGGAGACAATGTAAGAGCGCTCGAACCTACCTACCAAATAGACAAATAGATGTTTTCTACCCATTTTGATGTGGGTCATTTTTACATAATCACAATTCATTACCACCATGTACAGTTGTGTACTACTAAGGAAGTGAATGGAGCTTCTGTTACCCAGCAGTGAGCCTGAAGAGGACTGTATCTGCCCAGAGGACAGGGCCATCTGGGCTAGCAATAGGAGGCCTGTCAGGGCCTCCTGTTGCCACTCTGGTCCTAGAAAAAGGAATTAAGAGGCCAGGCACGGTGGCTTATGCCTGTAATCCCAGCACTTTGGGAGGCCACGGCAGGCAGATCACCTGAGGTCAGGAGTTCAAGACCAGCCTGGCCAACGTGGTGAAACTCCGTCAGCCAGGTGTGATGGCACACACCTGTAATCCCAGCTACTCGGGAAGCTGAGGCAGGAGAATCGCTTGAACCTGGGAGGCGGAGATTGCAGTGAGCCGAGATCGTGCCAGTGCACTCCAGCCAGGGCAGCAAAGTGAGACTCTGTCTCAAAAAAAGAAAAAGAAAAAGGAAGTAAGCAAAGGGAACTTTTGAGGGAACAAGGCTGGAGCCTGTGAGTGCTGAGAGACCTGCTATCCCCATAGGTGTTTGTAATAAAAACATGTTTTTATTCCCAACACCCATTGGCAGAATATGCCATCAAGGCAGGTTGCAGTTGTCAGACTTGGGGAAGACTTCCCAAAGCAGATTAATGTCAGACCTCGGGACAGGAACTGGTTGAGTGAGTTCTGTGATGAGGAAAGGCGTGACAAGCCCCCTGTGGTCAGTGCAGCACCACATAATTACAACCCAAAACCAAGGGGTTACAACGGGGAGCAGGGGAACACCTCCAGAAGTCAAAAATTCACTGCACGTGTAGACGAGCATGAGCTGTGCCCAGTTGTGGGCACTTAGATGAGCAGCAGGCAGAAACTCTGTACAGAATAAAGCAACCCATAGGAGGCCTGAAAACTGACTCTAGGATAATATTTCTATGAAGAGCGTGTGCCTGAGTCAGAGGGGACAGGCGCCTGAGCAAATACCTGGTCACTCTATTCTAAAAAGTCATCTCGGGAAAGCAGCAGCAGCAGCAGCAGCAGCGAAGCCCAGAACATGGGAGCCCAGGAAGATGTCAGCAGGCGCCAGCAAGGCCTCAGAGGGCTCAGGATGGAATTTGAGAAGCACCATGCAGGGCACTCTGAGGACTAATAATCAAAGTTTCTTCAAATGCATAAAAAGATGCCAGTCGCAGTGGCTCATGCCTGTAATCCCAGCGCTTTGGGAGACTGAGGCAGGAGGATCGCTTGAGCCCAGGAGTTCGAGAGCACCCTGGGCAACATAGGGAGACCCTGTCTCTAAAAAAAATATTTAAAAATTAGCCAGGCATGGTGGCACACACCTGTAGTCCCAGCTACTTAGGAAGGTTGGGTGGGAGGATCATCTGAGCCAGGGAGGGCGAGGCTGCAATGAGCCATCAGTGGACAACAGAGTGAGTCTCAAATGAGTGAGTGAGTGAGTGAAATGACAAGGGGGTCAGCTGGAAGAAAATGTTGGAGAGATTCCCACTCTGAAGGTTTCTTTTGTAGGAGACAGGTCAGGGTTATTAAATAGTGCTAAGCCCATGGGATGTTCCAGACCTCAATAATAAAGTAAATGTAAATAAATCCCTTGAACCAGATGGCATCCACCCACCACTTCTGCAAGAACACAGGGGTGCGATTGTGGAACATTGCCGAATGGAGGCCCTGTCTTTACAGACATTTGGTGAATTGCCAGTTTGAATCCTTCACACAAGGGTTCAGAGGGAACCCTGGGAACTGAAGATCTTTCTGCCCAAAACAAGCTGGTGTGAGAAAGGGCACGGTTCCTAGACATGTGAACAAAAACAAGCCACTGAGGGGAACTCTGCACAGCTTTCTTTGAGAGGAAACTTTGCCAAATTCCTAGATTCAGGAAAAGCCAATGAATAAAAGTTTGACTCTCAACAAGCTTATATCATAGGGACATGTTTTTGAAAAGTTGTATAGGGACCAGAGGAAATGTTTTACTACCTCACTGATTCTCAGAATAGAAGAGGTTTGTTTTAAAGTATTTATTTGACTAGAAAGGCATTTTTACATGCTTGAATACACTATACATTTGCAAAGAAAGTTCCAGTACTGCAAAGTGATTCTAGATACAGTATCTTATTTAATAGCACATATTTAATGTTCTTTTGTTGCTCATCATTATACATCCTGTGTTTGGTTGTGCCAGCCCTTATTGCAGAGTAAAATTAGTCAACTCTTAGTCACCAGCTGGGTCACACTGGTGGCTGGGAAAGACCAAGAAGAGGCAGAGGAAGAGGTGGCACCGATGATAAAAATCCATTCAAGAATTTAGCTGTGACACATCTACAGCAGGTTCAAATCTCTCAGCTGTAAGACAAACTGGATACTTTATAAGGACTGTGGCCTATTATGCACCAAAATGCCTTACTGAAATTGTCTGGATGAGCTGCCTGCTGGGTCCAGTGATACATTAGTAAACGAAGAAGTTGAAATAGAAGGCTAACATATGCTTTGGATCGCTTGGCAGTGTGACACCAATATGGCATCAAGCCTTACTATGAGTCCAAGGACTTAATGACTAAATAAAAGTAAAAATGAACAAAAAAAAAAAGTGAATGCTTCTAGATTTCCTTCAAACAGCCTCTTTTATGACTTCTCTTCTTTTTGTTCCTTCTACTTTATGCCTTACTTCTCTTCTCACACCAGGGCAGGCAGTATATAGTCTAGTAATTATGAGCACATGCCCAGATTGGGCTCAAATCCCTGGCTAGCACTACCCTGTGACCCTAGGCAAGTTCCTTAACCTCTGTGCCTCAATTTCCTCATCTGTAAAATGGAAGTTAATATGTATCTCATAGAGTAGATGTAGGATTAAACAAACTAGTACAAAGTACATGTGAAACATCTAGAGCCCCATCTGTTATGTAATAAGTGCTCAATAAATAATAAATGCCGTTATACTGATTATCTTTGGTGTTCTTCCTCTTCCTCCTCAATTATTCTCCCACCTTTATTGGACAGTCTGCAGTGGAATTTTCCTATACCTTTCCCTTTTCAAAGTCTCTGCTTATTACCCATTATCTTTACCTTTGGCCTCTTACCTAATTGTTTTTTTTCCACCCATCACATGTGGCTCAAAGTCCTTCTCTGCCATATTGCCTTTTCCTGTGTGAATTTTCAGCAGGTACCTGTGCCTGGCCCTTTTCTGCTATTTCAGCCATTTCCAACTGTTTTCTACAAAGGGTGTTTGCTCCCTTTCTATTAATTGGGAATCTCTTTCTGATACTTGCCCTACAAGCTTTCTCCTCCTCCTGACTATAGTATCTCATCTGACTGCATGTGATACTTAAGTGCTCCCATGAACTGGCTTTGTAACAAATCTTCAGTTGTTCCCTGCCCCGGTAGTGTCTCTTCTCTGCCCCTAGATAAAAGCTCCTGATTTGTGATTAGCACCTTCATCCCCCAGCCATAATTATCGTTTCTACTTTTTTTTTTTTTTTTTTTTTTTTTTTGAGATGGAGTCTCACTGTGTCGCCCAGGCTGGAGTGCAGTGGCACAATCTTGGCTCACTGCCACCTCTGCCTCCCGGGTTCAAGCAATTCTTCTGCCTCAGCCTCCCATGTAGCTGGGACTACAGGGGCACGCCATGACGCCCAGCTAATTTTTTGTATTTTAGTAGAGATGGGGTTTCACCATGTTAGCCAGGCTGGTCGCGAACTCCTAAGCTCAGGCAATCCACCCAACTCTGCCTCCCAAAGTGAGTTTCTACTTTTTTAATCCACTGGGCAGGGTTTCCCATTGTTGCAGCATGAGGACAGCAGGTGGTAGACTAGGGTCGGGGCTAGAGGTGGGGATGTTGCAGTTTTAGGCATAGCCACCAGGTGGCAGAGTGGTTCCTTACGGCTAAGCATCACTTCCCTTGGGGGAAGTGGGGACATTCACTTGTGCAGGGGTGGAATTATTTGGAAGCTTTTGAGAGGTTTCTGTTAAGACTGGAAGAATTGGAAATTATAGGTAGATCTCATCTCAACAAAGAGTATTCTCGGCTGGGCGCGGTGGCTCACGCCTGTAATCCCAACACTTTGGGAGGCTGAGGCGGGCAGATTACGAGGTCAAGAGATCAAGACCATCCTGGCCAACATGGTGAAACCCAGTCTCCACTAAAAATGCAAAAATTAGCTGGGTGCAGTGGCGCGCACCTGTAATCTCAGCTACTCAGGAGGCTGAGGCAGGAGAATCGCTTGAACCTGGGAGTTGGAGGTTGCAGTGAGCCAAGATTGCTGCTGCACTCCAGCCTGGTGACAGAGTGAGACTGCGCCTCAAAAAAAAAAAAAAAAAAGTATTCTCTTCTAGAGAGCTATGTCCTTTGTTGGCTGTTCTTGTTTGTTATCAGTTTGCAAGTGTATGTAACCATCATAGAAAAATTTAGAAAATTCCAGTAAGAAATCTTAGGCTGGGCACAGTGGCTCACGCCTGTAATCCCAGCACTTTGGGAGGCCGAGGTGGGCAGATCCCGAGGTCAGGAGATTGAGATCATCCTGGCTTAACGGTGAAACCCCGTCTCTACTAAAAATAAAAAACAATTAACCAGGCATGGTGGCTCATGCCTGTAGTCCCAGCTACTCAGGAGGCTGAGGCAGTAGAATTGCTTGAACCTGGGAGGTGGAGGTGGTGGTGAGCCAAGATCATGCCACTGCACTCCAGCCTGGGTGACGGAGCGAGACTACGTCTCAAAAAAAAACAGAAAAAGAAATCTTACCACACAGAGGTGAATATCACAAATTTTAAAAAAATTGATTAGTATGCATTTTATTTTATGTATTAATATTTAAAACCATTATTCTGAGGAGATTGATGGGGTTCACCAGACAGCCCAAGAGTCTAAGGTACAGAAAAGACTGAGACCATTATAAAGAGAGCCTGCCTAACTTAGGATACAAGTGGTCTACCTGAGGAGAATGTTAGCAAAAAGAGGCAACACCTTTTCCAGTTGTTGTGGGATAGGGACATGGTGCGGGAAGGAGGTAGGAAGCAGCAGAGATGGGTAAAAGGGGCCAGAGGCCAGGGAGTACATGGTGGCATGGGGGTGGGGGCATGTAGTATGGTCCAAGGTCAACATTTTAAAAAATAAGTTGAGATAGGGCCGGGCGCGGTGGCTCGCGCCTGTAATCCCAGCACTTTGGGAGGCCGAGGCGGGCGGATCACGAGGTCAGGAGATCGAGACCATCCTGGCTAACACGGTGAAACCCCGTCTCTACTAAAAATGCAAAAAATTAGCCGGGCGTGGTGGTGGGCGCCTGTAGTCCCAGCTGCTCGGGAGGCTGAGGCAGGAGAATGGCGTGAACCCGGGAGGCGGAGCTTGCAGTGAGCCGAGATCGTGCCACTGCACTCCAGCCTGGGCGACAGAGCCAGACTCCGACTCAAAAAAAAAAAAAAAAAAAAAAAAAAAAATAAGTTGAGATAGAAATGATGGTTCTCTTTCAAACAAAACAAACAAAAAAAGCTTTGAGGCAGACAGGACTGAGGCCAGAATAGAACCAAGAGGGAATTACTCCTGTGAGAGGGGAATATTCCAAAGATGTTCCGATCAGCTAAAGGCAGAGTTTTTAAAAGCAGAGCATCTGCTGGCTTGAGTGAATATCAATAACTGGTTGAATAACTGGTCTGGTTGAGTGAATTTCCGTAATCATGTGACTGGAGGGGTTTGCCTGGAGGGTTGGAGAGAGCAGATGCCAGCAACCATGGAGGGGAGAGTGGGGACCTTGGGATGTGCACTCCTCCGGGGGTTCACCACCATCATGACGGCTTTGAGTTCTGTTCTTGGGCTTGGGGATCAAAGGGAAGACTTTGCATTAGCAAAGTTTGTTTTTTTTTTAAATGAGAATATTTAGTGCTGGTAGAGATCTAGGGAAATGGGCATTTTTCTGGAATATATTTTCTGGTTGAATGTTAAAGACCTTTAAAATGTTTGTGGTGGGCCAGGCGCGGTAGCTCATGCCTGTAATCCCAGCACTTTGGGAGGCTGAGGCGGGCGGATCACCTGAGGTCAGGAGTTCGAGACCAGCCTGGCCAACATGGTGAAACCCCATCTCTACTAAAAATACAAAAATTAGCCAAGTGTGATGGCTAATCCCAGCTACTCGGGAGGCTGAGGCAGGAGAATCGCTTGAACCTGGGAGGCGGAGGTTGCGGTGAACTGAGATTGTGCCACTGCGTTCCAGCCTGGGCAATAGAGCAAGACTCTGTCTCTAAATAAATAAATAGATAGATAGATAAAAATAAAATGTTTATGCCCTTTGAAATAGTAATTTCATTTCTAGGAATTTGGCTTAGGGAAATAATCCAAGATAAGGCTTTGTGCATAAAGATGTTCATTATAATTTTTTATAGTGAAAAACCAGAAATAATTAAATGCTCAAAACAGGAGGATGTAAATTCTGGTACATCTTACATCATGGAAAATTCTTTGGATATTGAAAATATCTACAAGGAATTTTTAATATTAGAGGAAATGCTTACGGTAAATGTTGCATAGATTCAAAATTATGTAGAGAAAATATTTCAAGTATGTAAAATATGTAGGAAAAGGACTGGAAGGAAATATGCCAAAATGTTTTAAAATGGCTTCCTCTTGATCGTGAAGTTATGGGTAATTTATTTTCTGTTTTTTTTTTACTTTTTAGTAAACAAAATTTCCACAGAGTAGCTTCACCCAGGCTGGAGTGTAATGGCGTGATCTCGGCTCACTGCAACCTCCGCCTCCCAGATTGAAGCAGTTCTCCTGCCTCAGCCTCCCAAGTAGCTGGGACTACAGGCGGCCACCACAATGCCTGGCTAATTTTTGTATTTTTAGTAGAGACGGGGTTTCACCATGTTGGCCAGGCTGGTCTCAAACTCCTTACCTCAAGTGATTGGCCCACTTCGGCCTCCCAAAGTGCTGGGATTACAGGCATGAGCCACTGCGCCCAGCCCAGAGTAGTTATTACTAAAAAAAAAAGTTATTTCATAACACAATAATACACAAATATTTTATAAGATACATAAATATAATGAGAGAAAAGTGAAAGGCTTCCCTCCCAAAGGGTAACCACTGTGAACAGTTTCCCACTTCTCTAAAATGTTTATGTGTACATGTACATATACAAATATATTGTTGTGTTTTTTCTTTTACCTAAGTGGGATCATACTGTAAATATTGTTCTGCAACTGCCTTTTTTATCCTTTCCAAAATGTCTTCTTTATCTTCATATACTGATACATGTAGACCGGCTTCGCTTGTTTCAAGTGCTGCCTTGCATCTCATGATGCAGATAATCCATGGTTTATCTCACCATTCCCATATTGCCAGACGCTTTTCTAGTATCCTTTCTCCACTATTTGAAGCAATGATGCAGTGAATACCTTTGTACACACAGTAGTGTGACTATTTCCCTAGGATAGAGAGTTAGAAGCAGAGTTGCTGGATGAAAGACCATGTGCATTTCTTATTTTGATAGATATGGTATGTATTTGTTAAGATGATATAAACTTGTCTACTGTAACCAAGACCTCAAAATAACAGTGGCTTAAAACAAGAGAGTTGTTTATTTCCCTTCAACTAACAGTCTAAGTGTAAGCAGTCCAGGGCTAACATTATGGTTTTGGAGTGTTAGGGACTCTGATTTGTCTTATTACTCTGCCATCTTCAACACATGCTTTAACTTTATGGTCTAAGATGATCACTTCTACTCCTCCATTCATATCCATTTTCTAAGAGGGAGAGAAGTTTAGAGCAAAACCTAGAAGTTACACCTATCATTTTTGTTCACATCCAGAATTGGCCAGAACCTAATCGTATTGGCCACACATAGCAGTGATGTGCATTGGGCAGTTTTGTGCCCAGCTACACTTCTAGTACTAAAGGAAGAAATCTCATAAAGGATGCACAAGACCTTTACACTGAGAACTGCAGAATGCTGCTGGAGTATTCGGATCAGCTAGGAGCAGGGTTTGTAAGTCATCATAGTGTGAGTGGCCACTGGCATTAGTGCGTTAGCTATTCACATTGCTAGTCTGTTTTCCCATTTGGCTGTTTGCCTTCTTTCTTACTGATTTGTAGGCAGTCCTTATGGATTACATATATTAACCTTTTATCTTCTATAGATGTTATAAATATTTTGTCCGTTTCTTTTTTTTTTTTTTTTTTTTTTTTTTTTTTTTTTTGAGACAGAGTCTCACTCAGTCGCCAGGCTGGAGTGCAGTGGCGCGATCTGGGCTCCCTGCAACCTCCGCCTCCCAGGTTCAAATGATTTTCCTGCCTCAGCCTCCCAAGTAGCTGTGACTACAGGCGTGTGCTACCTTGCCTGGCTAATTGTTTGTATTTTTAGTAGAGACAGGTTTCACTGTGTTAGCCAGGATGGTTTCGATCTCCTGACCTCGCGATCCATCCGCCTCAGCCTCCCAAAGTGTGGGATTACAGGCGTGAGCCACCGCGCCTGGCCTATATTTTAACTTTGTCAAAGGATCACTTGAGCCCAGGAGTTCAAGGCTGCAGCAAGCTGTGATTGCGTCACTGCACTCCAGCTTGGGTGACAGAGCGAGATCCTGTCTCAAAAAAAAGTCATAATTATTGTTACAACTATTTAAAGAAATATGCATGTGAAGAAAAGACTGAAAATGAATACTTTAAGATTAAGAGAGGTATATTTGGATAAGTGATTATTTTTCTCTCTTAAAAATCTTTATTGTTGTCATTCCCTATTTATGTTTTTTATGTTTTTAAAGAGACAGGTGTTAGTGGACTAGAGAATCAGCAGAGGCTTTCAAGACCTCCTGAGGTGAACTAGGACTGAAAGCTGTGTACTGTTTGGGAGGAAGGAGGCTGGACTCTTTGAGATGTGTGAGCCAGGAGGAAGGGGCCCCATTCTAGGCCTTGGTCTCTAAGAATGGGTTCACTTGTCTGATGGTCTACGGTCTGGTATGATATAAAAGTCCTTTCTTGCATTCCAGGGTCTCCTCATGCTGCTACAGAACCTACCTACAATACACTGGGGCAACGAAGAAATTGGGCTGCTTCTCGCCGAGGCATACAGACTCAAGTACATGTTTGCCGATGCCCCAAATCACTACCGCCGATAGGTGCTGTCTCCTCCGGGGACCCAGACTGCCTTCATCTCTGATGGCAGTCTGATCACTGTGGCCACTGTGCGAGCCGTGGACCCCGGCCAGGAACCACTCCTGTTGTACAAAGCTCACACCCACCGCCCAGGTCTTAACTTTCTGGCATCCACCACTCCATGTCTCTGGATGTGTCACTTGGACCACTGTCAGTATTCCATGCCGCGTGGATGGGCCCAGTTCTGGGAGAGGACAGAAAAGGTGGTACAGGGTTGTCTGCCCCTTTAAAAGAAACTGGACAAAGAAGGGGAAGGCTCAGGGTCTCACCTCACATTGTCCCTACAAGGACAGGCCCCAACTGATAACCGTTGCTTTTTTTTTTTTGTGAACATAGTTTGATTTGATCACAGGTCAAAAACGCCTTATATTTTCGAAAGACTCCTGGCCCCTCTTCCCTCTTCCTGGTTTCCTAGCCGTTCCCCTTCTGCCCCAGTCTGAGCCAGTGAGGGGTAGCTTTTTAAAACCATTATTCTAGATGGAGGAGGCACTGATGCTTGTAACTCTGGAAAGAGGCCTACACCCAAGGGCTAGGAATTTTATTTTTCCTTTTCTCACCAGGTGTCTGCATGTGTGTGTGGGTGTGAATGTGTATACATGCCCATCAGCATTTAGTCACATGTCTGAATTTCTGTGTCCAGACGAGCCCCATCAAACTAGTTGGGAAGGGCCCCAGTGACCAAGTGTATAAGCATCCCTTGAAGAGGGATTGGGGCAGGGGAGGCAGAAGGGGCTCTCCAGACCCCTTTTCCATGATGACCCACTCCAAGATATTATGTGTAAATTGTGTTATTATGTATATGGGTAAAGATGTACAAATATATGTCCTCTTTGTAGCAGATATGATTTTATATTTATAATGTGCATCAACATGTGAAAGCAATCTAGGTCACTAGCACAGAGGAAGTTGCCAGGAAGGTGGCTTCAGCACCTCCAGGTTGGTTCTGGGTGTCCTGCTGTGAGGGGTAGAACGGGAGGCTGCTGAAGTGAGTAGCTGAGCAGCTGGAGCCATCCCAAGCATCAGTGTCTCAGAGTCCTCCTCGCCCCTTTCTTCACCCCGCCCCCCAACCCCCAGACTTTCCTGGAGCATCTGCCCTTTGCTCCTAGCAGCCTCCCCAGGAAGGGACTGCAGAGGCGGGCAAGCCCTCTCTATGTGTTTTTATCCCCACCTTCCCCGGAATCTGGGGAGGGCTTTTGTTTTTACGTTTTCAAGTTCAGCATTGTATTCGGACAGAAGCTGTGACTGAAGACTCAGTGCCAAGGAAAGGGGCTTCTTGTGTGTCCCTCGGGTTTGGGGCTCTTCTCAGAGAGCAGCACTCCATATCCCTTACTGTCACCTTCACTCCCCACACAGCTCATGAGATGTGTGACCCCTGTTTGAGTTTTGGTATTTGGTAGTGGAGGGTGGGGGGATGGGGGCCAGCAGCTGTCATCCTCCTGGGAAGCCGAGCAGTGTCCCTGGTGGGTAACACCCTCAAGTCTCTTTGCCAGTGAGGCCCCACCACATCGGTGTGAGTTA